>NC_000016.10:55774621-56077651 GCF_000001405.40 Homo sapiens
GGTAGCTTTGAAAGCTTGTTTGGGGAAAGCATCCAAATTTAAAGGGCTGGTACATAGGAGGAGAGAAAATGGGGATGCCAAGAATTTTTAGAATTTTTGAGAATTTTTTAAGAATTCATTGGTTATAAGCAACAGTTGCCCATTGACCAGACTTAAGTCAAGAAGGAGCATTAGCCTGGTGTGGTGGCTCATGCCTGTAATCCCTGCAATTTGGGAGACCGAATGAGAAGGATTGCTTGAGCCCAGGAGTTTGAGACCAGCCAGGGCAACAGAGTGATACCCTGTCTCTACAAAAAAAAAAAAAATTACGCTGGTCATGGTGGTGCAAGCCTGTGGGCCCATCTACATGGAGTCTGAAGAGGGAGGATCACCCAAGCCCAGGAGGTCTAGGCTGCAGTGAGCTGTGTTTGCATGACGGCACTCCAGCCTGGGCAACAAAGCAAGACCTTGTCTCAAAATCTTGTTTATAAACGGAGAATTAATTTTTCAAGGAAATAGAGGTCTGGGATGAGGCTGGGCTTTGTGAAAAAAACACGAAACAGAAATTACAAAATGATGGGAATCCTAGACTCTCTTATTCTTTTTCCTCTTTCTCTCCTCTGTCTCTCTCTCTGTCTTTCTCTCTCTCGCCCTCTACTTCTCCCTGTTTATTTATTCAAGAAACACCCTGGGTATTGATTCTGTCCCAGATCCTACACGAGGCTCTTGGGGCATGTGCACTCGCCCTGGCTCCCCCACCATGGAGCCTGCCTGCTCTCCCTCTGTGCCCTTATTTCTGGCTGCACTTTGCTTCCAGTCTGCATGAGCACCCTATCAGCCCCTGAGCTTAAGGACTCTCCTTTGGTTCCAGAAAGTAGTCAGGCTGTCTTTTCTGTTGTGAAAAATGAGCGTTTTTACATTAGCAGCTCTCCACCCTGATTCCAGGTCACTTAGGAGAGAGGCTCACTGTCTCGTCTGTGCTTCAGTGTCCCTGGATTCTTAGAAAAGAAGGAAACCAGAGTGTGCTTGGCAGACTGACCCCAATCCCCAGGACAGGCAGAAGGCAGCCTCTCCCTCAGGAGGGCTTTTTTTATTTTAATATTTTTTACATTTTTTAAAGTTGGAAAGAGGTTCTTGGTGCATTAATTGGTGTTGCTCTGTGGCTTCACTTAGGACAAAGGTGAACAGACCATCACTCATGGCCAAATCTGGATCTGTGCCTGCATGGCCCTTGAGCTAAGGATGGTTTTTTAAATTTTTTGATGATTGAAAGGAATCAAAAGGAGAATAATATTTCATGAACCATAAAATTATATGAAATTCAAATTTCAGTGTCCATAAAGGAAGTTTTCTTTGAACACAGTGACACTCATTCATTTACCTCATGTCTATGGCTGTGTTTCATGTCAACAGCAGTGTTGAAGTTACAGCAGAGACCACGTGGCCCACACAGCCTCCAATATTTACTATTTGGCCTTTGATGGGCACATTGCCGACCTGTGCCCTAAAGAGTCGTGCTTGATTGCTGCTTGGGACTCTAGTACACAAATGTGCAGGTGGAAACTCCTGGCCATGAAACCCCATCTATGTCTTGCAAAGGATGACACCCTGGTTTTTTTCAGAACTCACCTTTAAATCACATTCGCTACCTTCTGAAGCACCTCTGTGTGAATCATCTTGTCTAGGCCTCCTACAATTCTGCACATGTTTATTGTGTGGGAGACATGGCACTCTCCCACATGTGTTAACTCATGAGGTAGGTGCAGTCATTATTCCCATCCATGAGTGGAGAAACCAAGGCCCAAAGAAATCAGGTGGACTGCCTGCAGCCTAATGGCTGGTAAGTGGAACAACCAGGATTTGAAAGCAGACAAGGAAATTCAGGATTCCATGCTCTCTATCCCAGCTCCACCTTGCCTTTCATGACACATTCAGCTGGAGATGATTATGTCCGTTTCAATGGAGATAAGGTAGCAGAGATGAGAGATTACATAATTGACCCATGTTACAATTGAGATTAGTAACAGAGGCAACGATCTGTGGGACCTGGAACCCACACCCATGGGTCTACAGTATCTTCTGCTGCCCCCTGCCACTGGTACAAGTTGGGCTTGGGATAGAATGCCACTTTCCATGTTGATGGAGGGAAGGGACTTCACTCTTGAACTCTGTTGCCTGTGATCTTTGCAGCAAATTGCTATCACTGCTGGGTGTAAAACCACCACCTCAGCTGTGATGGTTCACTGCCTGCGACAGAAGACGGAAGAGGAGCTCTTGGAGACGACATTGAAAATGGTAGGTTGCCTGTTCCCGTAGCCCAAACACTGTAAACTTGGTCCCAGACTTCTTCATTTCAGCGGTCCTCTTGCCCTGGGACAGTTACCTGGGACAATTTCTCAAGTCTCGGGAGTCTCAGTATCTGAATGGGGAATCTAATTTGTCCTTTTTAATCGTAAAATGGCACAAATGTATAAAAAGAAAGTCAAAAAATAACATGATAAAGAATTGACCAAATTTACTATTTGATGAAAATTTAATATTTTGCCATTCTTGTTTTCAGATGTATTTTTGAGAAACTAAACATTACATATTCCCAGGGGACACCATCATGCTGAATTTGGGGGATGGAGATATTAAGCTCAAAGATTTTCAGAAAGATGTCACAATTTATCTTGGTTGACTTAGAAACTGTCTGTATTAGACCTGGTGGTGGTCCAGTTACATATATTTTCTGAGACTCTGACTCATTTATTGTTCTAGGATAGTCATTTGTCCACTCAATCATTAATCCATCTACTATGATCTTCTTATCCATCTGTATGTTCACTAATTCATCGCTTTCACTTATCTATTTTTATCAATCTAATATCAACCTGTTCGTAACTTTTTATGTATCTATTTTCAATCCATCCACCATTCATGGATCATCCAGCCACCTTATATCTCAACTCCATCACCCATTCCTCCAAAATCAACAATCCAGTTATCGCCTGTCTGCTAGTTTTCACCCATCTATTCATGTATCCATTCAATTCAACTGTACTCCATGTATTGACCAACTCCATCCATCCCTCCATTGATCCATCCATCCATCCATGCTAAATATGTAGGGGTGGGTGTTAGAGGTAGCAAAACAGACATGAAGTGGACATAGTCCCTGCTCTCAAGGAACTATCCAAAGAGAAATACATTCATATACTTCGCAGGTTGAGTATGGTGGCAGCACAGAGGGGAAGCATTCATTGTAGTAATCAGGGATGCTTCACAGAGAAGGCGGAGGAGCCAGATTTGAGACCAGACAGTGGAATTCAGGAGTTCATGCCCTTAACCCTGACTCCACCTTATCTTTCCTGAGAAATTCAGCTTTCAGATCATTGTGCCCATTTTAACAGAGGTAACAAAGACAGATAAATTTTGTAATTGCCCCATGTCACAGTTCTAATTAGTCAGAGGCAACACTGTGGGACACAGAGCCCACACCTGCGGGTCTAGAGTATCTTCTGCCTTCCCTGCTCCCTGCCATCCTCACATATTAGGACCTGGGGACCTTTAGGATTGATGGATGGCTGTGGCAGTCTCTCATCACAGGGAAGCCCAGCAGGACAAACACCCAGATGACACAGCACCCAGGGCCGTTGGGAACTATTCCCTTTGAGGGAGAAGAGTGTGAATTCCAAGCTCAGGAGTAGCCTGGACTCTCTCTTTGGACCTGAGGCTACTCCTGGGTCCCAGGGCCGGCCTCTACCACTGGACTCTGCTTGTGTTTCCATGGGTTGAGTCCAATGTGGTCTTGGGGCTTAGGTCTTGGTTCAGTCTCTAAGTGACCAAAGTGTTCAAGGAATTAAAACACACCTGTTTTCTAATGCCAGGAAGGAGGCAAATATTCCAGCAATTCTGCATGTGGCATCAGAGGACCCAGCTTAAAAGGGGAGAGTTGAGTCTTTGGGAAAACCTATCCCTAAGATCCTGGAACATCCTTTTGAGTTTTTCTGAGATCTTGTGGAAGTGCTTCCATGATTACGCATTGCCTCCAGTATGCACACATGCAGACACACAGACAAACACACATAGACACACACAGAGAAACACATACAGGCACACACACACACACACACAGACACACACAGACACCCACACACACAAAGAGACACACACACACACTCTTGGCTAGTGGGACTTCAATCCTTAATGGAGGGACATGCACTGGTTACGTCCGGAGCACAGGTCAGATCTTGGAACTACAATGCAACACTACAGTCACTGCAATCTTGGTGAACACACACCAAAGAGAAGCATGGGGTAGGGTGAGTCTCAGTGAGCTTGCATGAGTCAGGGCTTTCTGATAGGAGATGAGGAAACTCCCTTAAGTACCTTGAACAGAAAAAGAAATGTGTTGCAATAGCATCCTCATGTAAACTGAAAATCTCAGGAGTTGATGGCTTCAGGCATGGCTGGATCCAGATGATCATAGGATATTATTGAGAATCTACCATTCTCTATCCTTCAGCTTTGCACATTTCTGTGTTGGTTTCACTCTTAGGTAGATGTGTCTCCTCTGAAGGTTAAAGACAACAGCACTCTGGACTTATGTTCTATCTGCTTAAAAACCCTGTTTCTAAATAATTCCTGCAAAAGTTTTGGGGTAAACTATTGGATTGACATGGGTGTATGCCCATCCCTGAACTAATATTCATGTTCAGGGAGATGGAGCACCCCAGGTCACATATAGATATATGAATTCATGGAGTGATGGGAGAAGAAGGAGGTCTCTGAAGGAGAATTGGTGAGTTCTTCCCAGGTGAAGAGGAAGGGGAGAGGGATGGGGGGCCAGGCAGCCTCAACCAGCGGGGGTCCTCTCCAGAGCTCCATCGACCCTGGCTCAGAGTCCCCGGCCTGTCTTCCCCATGCTGATGCCCACCCCTCCCTGCTATGCCTTCACCCTGTGCTTAGGCCTAGCAGAGCCAGAGTCCTGCCCACTTCCTTTCAGCCCAGCCAGCTTGGCACCAGGAGGGAGAACCTGACACCCCTGTTGCCCCACTCACCCAGCTCAGTGTTCTCCTGGGAAGCCTCTCACCCACATCCTCTGCTTTTGTCTTCACAGAAATTCTTATCTCTGGACTTACAGGGAGACCTCAAAGAGGTAAGGACCTTTTGTTTCTGGATTACGGGTTTTGAGTCTTAGCACCTTTAAGTTCCAATGAACTGTGAGTGAAAGAATCCCCTCTCGGGTGGTTATAGTAACTCCTGTGTGTTTGTTGCCGAGGCCCAGAGAGGGGTAGTGACTCACCTGGGTAACACAACCAGGAAGACTAGTGGCTGGCCTGGAACCTATTTTCCTGACTCCCAGTCCAGTGCTCCCAGGCATCACCTCTGTGTGCCCTGGGCTCTGCCCACTCCCCTGCTTTTTTACATTTTCTACTCCCCAAAATGGCACTATGGAAGAAGGCTGAACCAGAATCTTCCACTCTCAGGAGGCAGAGATAATAGCGATGATTAGCCATGGAGGGAGGAAGCCTAAATCTCAGTCCAAGGACACTCGCCTCCTCCCAGCACACAGGAAACTCCAACAGTATCCTCCTGATCTCCTCACCCCCACCCCCACCTCCCAATGGGTTGACAGTTTCTGGTGACATCACCTCTGACGAATCTTACAATCCTGTCCTCTCTGCTGCCTCCCTGGAGGCCGCAGCACTCTCCTAAATGGTCATGGGCGGAGTACATGAGATTCATTCAGCAAAGATAATAAACACTTCCTATGTGCCAGGACTTGTTTAGGAGCTGGGGATATAACAGTGAAAAAAGAAAGACTCCCTGCCCTCTTGGGACCTTCCTTTACAGTGCAAGGACAGTGCAATAAAAAAGCAAATCAAGTATGTATTCCATTTGATGGTGTGCAGCATTAGGGGATAGAGTTTGTGGGTGGTTTCAATTTCAGTAGCAGGATCAGGGAATGGTTCAATGAGAAGGTGGCATTTGAGCCAAGCTCTGGAGGAGGCAGGAAGCCAGCTGTCAGGAAACCTGGAGAAGCCTATTCCAGGCAGAGGGAATAGTCACTGCAAAGACCCTGACAGAAGGGGCCAGTCTGGCTGGAGAGGACCGAGTGTGGGGACAGACTGGCTTGAGGCTAAAGAGGTAATTGGCAGTGGGAGAGAGATCAATTAAAGTACTTGGATTTGGATTCAGAGCAAGATGGGAAACCTTTGGAGGTTTTGAACAGAGGAGTCACATGTTCTTAGATCTCACAAAGGTCTCTGCCTCCGGTGTTCAAATAGACTGTAGGAAAGGGGCAGAGTGGATGCAGTTGACCAGCTGGGCAGCCACTGCATTGCCGTAATCCAGGCAAGGGCAAGGGCTCCTGGCTGCTTAGACAGGGCTGTGGCAGTGGGGATGGGAGGAGTAGTTGGAGTCTGGATATCTTTGAAGGAATAGCTGACAGGATTTGCTGATGGACAGGATGCAGCGGGTGAGAAAGAGAGAGGAGTGGAGGACGCCCTGAGTTTTCTGACACAAGCAAGGTTATGCCCACACAGGGCAGCCACTTGCAAACTCTGAGTGGACAACAGCAATCACTTGTCATTGTTGCTGATGGCAGTCTTCCTGCATTGCTGCTGCCCAACTGGGGCTCTCCTGTCTCTTGCCTCAACTTTTATCCTCTTCTACTTCACCTCCCCTCCCCATTTCCACGTCTCATGGTGCAGCCAGACTGTCCTTCCTTAACAGAGTTAGAGCACGTCACTCCCACTTCTTAAAAGCCTGACCTTCCTTATGAGACAAATCCCCTTCCCTCCATGGAGTTAGTCCTTCAAAACACACCTGCGTGCACACTGTGTGCCAGACTGTGCAGAAGGTAGGCTCTGCACCTGTCCCTCCCTCTAGACCCTGCCCCACAGCATTTCTCCAAGCCCAGAACTCTTGGTTGTTTCTGGAATTTACCCTGCACAGTGACACCTATGTCCTTTTGCTCATGCGGTTCCCACTGTTTAGAAATTCTCACTCCTTTCCTCACCTGTCAATACCATTCACTGCCCAGAGCCCACCGCAGGCGGGCGGCACCTCCTCCACGTAGTCTGCCCTGCATCTTCCTTCCAGAGGGGCTGCTCCTCTTTCCGGCCCCTCACGGCAGCCCTGCCTGAACTGCACAGCCTCTCAAGGCACCCAGACTTGCACCCCAATCCTGTTCTGTGCGTCAGCCATGTTGGATTAGGATCTGATCTTGTCCAGCTAGGTCTGGTCCACTTTTCAGAACATCTCCCCCAAGGCAGTCCGAACTAGCTTGTCATTCATTGGCTTTTGTAGGCAGACCAAAGGTCCCGGAAGCCATAGGGTCTCAAAGGCTAGGAATTTTCCAGTTCCATCTGATATCCAGGAGGGAAACACAGCCCATGGGGCGTGAAACTGGGAAGATGGCACAGAGGACTGGTGTCTATGAGAGGGACCCACAGCAACCTTGCTAACAAGTAATACCTAACAGTTATTCAGCCTTTCCAGACACCAGGTGCTGTGCTAAGTATTTTACATGTGTTCAGCTATTTAATCCTCACAATAACTCACCTCTTAGATGAGAAAACTGAGGCCCAAACAGGTGAAACTCCTAGCCAGTAAGTAGCAGAGCCAGGCTTCAGATGCAGTTAATCTGGTTTCAAAGTCCATGCTCTATCTTAGCAACTACACCATTGTGACTAAATATGAAATATAACTGTACCCAGAACCAGCTGCCCTGATGGCAACGCGTGAGTCAGACTCTCTCTAATCTGTGACCACATAAAAATTATTCATTAAAGGTAAAACCTAAAATTAAGACATGGATCAATATACTGTGAGTTAATCACTGATTCTTTTACTCATAATTTTCTCTCTAATAGGGAATCTCGTCCTAGTCTAGGCTCCTTGAGTGATGAGGGTTCAGTACTTCCTCAAAGCCACCCATGGATCAATAACAGCTCTTGTTTAAATACAGATAGATAGCATAATCTCTTCCTCATTAATCATGGATTTTGCGTTTATAAATTCACCTGCTTGCTAAAATGTCCTTATAAACCCCAAATCGATACTGGTGGCACTTTCATGGTCACACAGGCAGGCACAGAGCAGGGGAAGCTGGATTTGCATGATGGGCATGTTCCATCTGAGATCTGGTGAGGCAACCCCTGTCTTCTTGTTTCATCTCTGATGTTTACAAGTGTCCTCTTCGCAGTCTATTTAGTGCCGTGTGTTCTGCATTTTTGTGCTTTTTGTAGTGATGTCACTGTTTAGAGCGAACCCAAGAGTAGCGCTGCTGTCTGGCGTTCCTGAGCTAAACAGGCTGTGCTGTGCCTTACGGGGAAGGTGCCTGTGTGAGACAAGCTTGGATGAGGCAGGAGCTGCAGTGCTGCTGGCCGTGCATTTGGTGTTGAAAAATCCACATAATAGCACATTCAGAAAAAGGAGAAGGAAATTGGCTGATTCATACATGAGGCTGTGATAGAAAGGGCTAAAGTAACACCTATTGTGTGGGATGGAGCCGTGGAAGTCTCTTTCAACAGAAACCCACACATAAAAGAAGGTTGATGAAAATGTTGTGGCCAGAGGTTTGCAAAAACCTAACCCAGTATTTCCCCCTTGAGTGATGACCCTGTATTCTCTAATTCAGTACTCATGGGGGCTTTATCAGAAGCAACTGCCAGGACTACCGAAAATCAACTGTGGACACACAGAGGAAAATGCATGCACTTCAAATTGAAATATACAGACATGTAATTTTACATAGATAATACATGTATTTCAATATGAGTGAAGATTTCTTCCTCTCCTCATCATCTGACCAGTGTCAGCCTCTGCCTGAAGTTCTACCCCTGAGTCACAGAGGCCTACCCCCTTAAGTTAGGACCCTGAGTATGTGCAGCCGTGGCCCATGGCCATGCCGGTCTGTGGTACTGGTCTCACCCTCAGACAGGCAGAGTTGGGGACATGGGTGTGACTAGGGAGGGAATCACAGGCACTGCACTTCTCTCTCCCCCAGAGTCACCACTATTTGGCCACCGTGATTGATGGGGTGGTGCTGCTGAAAACACCTGAAGAGCTTCAAGCTGAAAGGAAGTTCCACACTGTCCCCTACATGGTCGGAATTAACAAGCAGGAGTTTGGCTGGATGCTTCCAATGGTGAGAAGGTGCAAGCCTCTTGGAGGGACTCACCCACCACCATCAGCCCTCCTGTCTCTAGTCCCAGAAGTGCTTCCCTCTCCGAGCCACACTCTGAGTCCTGGGCAGCTGTTCCCTTCAGCAGGAGTTACCATTTCCATGGAAATCTGCTCCAGGAGGGCACAGTTGTCACCGGGATATCAGTGCCCTGGGATCCCCTCTCCCCAGACTCTCTGATTATCTTCCTGTTGAAGAATCCTGAAGTGTCTGTGCTGGGAGGACCAGTAGAGAAAATAACTGTGCAGATGGGAAAACTGAGGGGGCCTGCATGGGGGAAGGAGTTGAGGAGTCTGGAGAGGCAGTCGGGGGCTTCCCGGCTTCCTGCCTCGGGCTGGGTGTGCGTAGTTCCCCTGAAAATCACTCATGCTCTTCATCACCTCATTGAAAATATCCAAAGAAAGTGGCTTCTTCTTGAGTTACCATTGACTTCTAGGGAACAGTAGACATCAGGGTCTACTAAGAGAGTGGAGGGTCAGAGGAAGATGAGGATGGAAAAGCTACCTAATCGGGTGCTATGCTCAATACCTGGTAACAAAATAATCTATACAGCAAACTCCAGAGACCCAAATTACCCATGATCAAACCTGCACAGTTACCCCCAAACCTAAAATAAAAGTTGGAAACAGATAAATGGAAAAAGTAATTGAGTTCTAGAAGTAAAGAAGCGTTCTCCTTCCAGTTGAAGATAAACAAAACTGACCCTTGTTAAAGCAGTAGGACAGGTTTATTCAGTAATATGATTGCAATAGGGGAAATATTCCGGCGTGGACTGGACTCACATCCCCAAAACAAAAGCCTGGTGATGTTTCATAAGCCAGGGGCGCCAAGGGAAACACACTGTGGTCTGTGGGGAGAGGCTTGGTCCATGTGACTAGACCACCTGGATCTCTTCATCCTGGCTCACCTGGGGCAGAAACAAACTCCTCTTATCTTTAGGACAGGAAGCCATGCGTTAGACTGCAGGAAGAATCCACTGAAGTCAGGCTCTATTCTTTCCACAGGGACTGGGAAGATCAAGAGTGAGCTCCTTGAATGTTTGCACTGCAAAGAGAAGGGTCTCACGTCCCCCAGGAAACAGGGTTGGGTGATAGATTCACATCCCAAACGACAGAGAAAGGGTTTATTATTGCAGGCTTTCTAAAGTAACTGCTCTATTTGGGTCCAGGGGACATCTGCTTTTCTCTAGGTTTTCGCTGGAGCAAGAGTAAATTATCCTGGCAGAGTTGAGCCTCCACAGGCAGGCATGTTAAGGATGCTGCGGTCATTCTAGGGACACAGCCTTAAGCTGCTAGAAGTGAGGCTAGAGTTTGATTGAGTCTGTAAGTGCAGAGGTTCTGGAAGAGTTGTTATGTGCGTAGAGATGTGCAGTTCACCCCTCAGAAGGATTTCAGAGGTTATACCAAAGACCAAAGCCATGAAGGCAGGATCTAAGGCTTTCTGTGTCATCTGTGCCAGGTGGGGGTACTTGGGAGGTCTGTGTCCTCTTCCCCAGAGCCCTCTATTCTACACTGGCCTGGCAGAAACTTTCCCTCTGTGTGTCACTGACCACTGTAGGGATCTCAACCACACACACATACACACACACACACACACACTGCAAAACACTGTCACAGCGTCTCCAATTTTTTTTTTATAATCTTTGTAATGCTTGAATTTCTGGATGTAAGCCCGTTTGATTCATTAATTTTGCCAATTTCAGTAAAAACCCATGCCCCTGAAAGCCCAACAAAATTTGAGGACCTTCAGACTGTATTGATTTGGTTGGGTGGTAAGTTTGTTTCTTCTCATTAATTCCCAATGACTCATAAACGCTTAACTTTTTTTTTTAAAACAGTTGATCAGCTATCCACTCTCCAAAGGGAAACTGGACCAGAAGACAGCCATGTCACTCTTATTGAAGTCCTATCCCCTTCTTGTAAGAATCTAGGAATCACGGGAATTGGCTGAGACCTAGAGAGGGACAAGGACTTGCCCAAATCATAGAGAAATTAAATGGCAGAATGAAGACTGGGGCCTGAGGGTTTCCCCCATCTTTCCACCTTTCCCACTTCACTTTCCACCCTAGCGGGGAGTTGCACAGGGCTTGTGAGTTTCACCACTGAGGTAGGCCTTCCTGGTGGGCTGGAGAAGCTACATCACTCACCAGGGGGTGGTGGTCACTTTATTGATCTATTTTAGCACATTCCTAAGGAACTGATTCCAGAAGCCATTGAGAAGTACTTAGGAGGAACAGATGACCCTGTCAAAAAGAAAGACCTGTTCCTGGACTTAATGGGGGATGTGATCTTGGGTGTCCCATCTGTGATTCTGGCCCAGAACCACAGAGGTAAGTCCCAGAGGTCGAACAGGGGAGGGACATGAACCCCACCTGCTTCTGTATCTGACCCACTTACCTCCCAACATAGACAGACATGGAAACAGCTGAGGGTCAGGCCTCAAAAGCTGATTCCATATGGCATGGGATGAGGTGCTGTCTTATTTTGGTTTATGCCAGCAGAAGACTGTGAGAAAAAGAATCCAGAGGCAAGTGGTTTTTTTTAAGGTGATGATCCCAGATAACAGCAGTAGGGAGATGGGGAAGTGAGAGAGGAAAGAGATGGAATCCAATCCATGATGTGTTGCCAAGGGAGTATCCTCTGTGGACAACTGGAGCTGGGAAACTCATGGAAACACGGAGAATACAGCACTCATGGGCATCCCATCTGAGTGGTAAGGGAGCCGGGTATTTATCCACCAGCTTCCACTGGTCATTGTTTGAAGGTTCTTGCAAGGAGTTGTTTATTCCCTATGACTTTGTCCTGCTGCACACAAGGGCAGAGTAGTCTCTTGTGAACAGACAAAGGCCTCAGGCTGGGAGCTGCAGATGCTGGAGGTGGAAGTCAGGCTGGCATGCCCAGGAAGAGGGGATATAGGTGAGACACAGAAAGCATCTGCTGCAAGGGCTCCATGCCTGGAGTTATCATGGGACATAGGGCTGCTGTAGGACAAATATTGAAAGATGAGTCTTGGAAAGTTTTTAAGGTCCAAGCTGGCTGCAAACAAGTTTGTTAAGTATTGGAGCTGGAGGAACAGTGGGAGCCCTGCATGGGATCCAGAGGGTTGTCTAGGACCAAGAAGACCAAAAGGACAAGCCAGGGCAGGTGTGCGGGAGGTGGTCTGGAAAATGGCAATGTCTGAGCCTGGCTTTTGTCTATCTCAGTGTGTGCAGGAACGTGCAAGCACAGGGCCAGGACAGGGTCTATGCAGGACCTTCTACCACTGACCCAAGGCTGTGTGGGTGGGGCGTGAGGTTAGGGATGCTTGGGCTCACCTCTAGAGAGAAGTATCCTTTCCTGGGTGCCAACTAGAGGAGGCTCACAGGACTCTTTCTTCCAGCTCTCATTCGCCTAGTCTGCAAGCCAGGAAATGTCCTCTCTCTAACCATGCTGGAAGGGTTTTTAAATTTAGAACTTCATAAGCATGATAAAAACTAGCTAACACTGATCTAGCAGGTTCCCAGACACTCCTTTGCACAGGAAGGGGCAGGTGCTCATAACCCTGATTTCTTCACAGGGTCTTGATAAAACCATTTAACCAAGACCACTGGAGTTTAATCTGTTCTTTCTTAAACTTGGCCTTGCCCAATGCTCTACGTCTGATCTACATATAGTGTTCCCGTCTCCATCTTCTGCTGGTTTGAGCAATACTGAACCTCTGTTCTTCATCTGATTTCCCATGACTTTAAGTTCAGGGTTTTTTTTGTTGTTGGTTTGTTTGTTTGTTTGTTTGTTTGTTTTTACCAGGACTACACAGATTTTATCAACTTTCACTTATTGTTGTCTCACTCTTTTTGATGAAAATAACATTTCTGAATATAAAATTAATATGTTAAATTATAGAAAGTTTCAAAAATATGGAAACACAAAAAGAAGAAACTAGGTATGACTCATAATTCCACTACCTGGAGGCAAGTGCTATAAATTTTTTGTGTTTTCATCTAAAGATTTTCCATGTCCTATATAGTTTAAAAATCAATTTTATATTTTGCTTTTGTTCGTAGAACACTATGTTGTGAGGATTTTCTCAATGTTGATACAAACTCATCAAAGCATGCCTTATTCCATGAAATGGCTGTGTTAAATAGACTTTAATATTCCTATCCTATTAGACATTTAGCCTGGCTGCTCACATTCTGATGCTACAATAACATTGAGCTCAGCCTAATGTTCATAAGTCTCTAACCACATGTCTAATAATTTTCTTAGGATTATTTTTAGAAGTGAATAACTAGGCAGGACCACAGAAACGTTTTAGAACTCTGAGCAAATATTGCAAAATTGCATTCCATTGCATAAGAAAGTGGATTTCTTCTTTTTTTTTTTTTTTGGGGGGGGGCGGATGGAGTCTCGCTCTGTCACCCAGGCTGAGAGCAGTGGCATGGTCTCGGCTCACTACCAGCTCTGCCTCCTGGGTTCACACCATTCTCCTGCCTCAGCCTCCTGAGTAGCTGCCTGCCACCACGCTCGGTTAATTTTTTGTATTTTTAGTACAGACGGGGTTTCTCCGTGTTACCCAGGATGGTCTCGATCTCTGGACCTCGTGATCCGCCCATCTCAGCCTCCCAAAGTGCTGGGATTACAGGCGTGAACCACCGCACCCAGCCAATAATGTGGATTCTTTTTCTCATTTGGGATGCTAAGGTTAAAAATTAACATAACGCTGCCAGTTTCATAAACCTTCCCCACCAATAAGAAGCACATCAGCTAGCATAACACTGCCAGCTTCATAAGCCTTCCCCACCAACAAGAAACACATCAGCCTGTTTTAATCTGCATGTCCTCCATGACTAGCCCTCTCATTGTCTCTGCTTCTCTTATTATGTCTAATTGTCATTACCCAAATCTGTGCGCTACTTTCCTCTGAAGACTTGTGTTGTGATTGTAAGAATTGTATAAATATCAATGGCTTTAGCCAAAGAGTTTTACAAAGTACGTTTTGGGCAGCATGCTGCCTATAATAAGTTCTATCATTCACAAAAGCTCTTTCTTCTATGGTTGGCTCTGAGTTTCTTTGGAAAATGTTCGAGGGGCAAAGGCAAGGTCAAACCCTCCTTTTAGCAAGTTTTGTTTGACCTTGAAGCAGCCATTTAACAGGTGGATTACAGAGCCACAGAAGGATGGCATCTTCCCAGGTGCGCTTCCTGCTGAGCCGAGGGTGCAGTGCAGGAGGCTGACAAAGATGAGTGAATAGATTATTCTTCATTCTCACATTGAAATGACATGTGCGGGTGGGGCATGAGGTTAGGGATGCGTGAGCTCCCATTGTTAAATCCTTTTGTGAACGAATTTTTAATGATGTTAAGAAATGATGGCTGGAGGCGGTGGCTCTTGCCAACACTCTCAGCATTTTGGGAGGCTGAGGTGGGAGGATTATGAGAGCCTAGGATTTCAAGATCAGCCTGGGCAACATAGTGAGACCCTGTCTCTACAAAACAATTTAAAAGGGAAGTGATTACAGTGTACTACAAAATACCATATATAATATCATCCCCAGTTAAATACATAAAAGAGAGATATGCTAAAATAAAAAAGAAGCATTCTCTGAGTGGTAGAGTTATGAGTGATACTTTAAATTTGATTGTTAAAATTGATTTTTAAATTATATAGGATATGGAAAAATTTTAGAAGGAAATACAAAAAATGCATGGCCCTTGCCTCAGGTAGTGGAATTATGAGTGATATCTAGTTTTGCTTTATGCGTTTCCATATTTTTGTTTCTTCTAATTATTCCTAATTGTTTTTATTTTCCAAATTTCTTACTGTACCCAAAGGGGAGGACATTGTAAATTTTCTCCACCAGCCTGGCATTGCCCTGACTCTTTCCGTCTTAGTGTCACTTCTCAGTGGGTATCATGACCAGTGCAAAGTGCTGAGGCACAGGGCCAGGCGGCCCACGAGGTAGCCCTGAAGGGGCAGCGATCTGTGGCTCCAATGAGCCAATCATTGGGAAACTGGCATCTTCCTGGGGCTGGGACAGGAGAGCTTTGTTGGTGGGAGAGGAGGGCAGAGCCGAAGGAGAGAGGGCAGGGGAGAGGCAAGGTCACCCTTGCTCAGCGCCTTCTTTTCTCTGCCAGGGCTTTACTGCCTTAACACCCTAACACTCCCAGGCCAGGCAGGCAGCAAGACACATGGGGACAGTGAGCTATAAAGCAGTGAGTGCCGCAGGTTCCTGAGACACAAGAGGCAGATTGTTCCCTCTCTGCATATGTTTGTATTTAAATAGCCTCATGTTCAGACAAGCAACTTGGATTTGCTTCAGTCTTCTCAGGATGGGTGAGAAAAACACTGGAAATGCTCAAAACGAGGCAGAACAGAAGACACCTGTCATGGTGGAGATGGCATCCAAGTGAATGAACGCGAGTCTGTTATCAATGAATTATATCCGGTGTAACCAGATGTAGAGAGATTGTCTTGTGTGAGAATGCACCAGCAGGCAAAGGGGTTTACGAGGCAGAGTCAGGGTCCCTGCACCGGCAGCTGTTTTAAATGAATTGACCCAGGGTTTCCACATTCATTCATTAAACATTTGTTCATTGAACAAATATTTGGCTCTAATTCCGCTTCCACCTCAGACAGCTATGCAGCCCGGAGCACATCACTGAGCTTTCCTGAGACTCTGTTTCTCTACTGTGCTGACAGCCAGAGGTTTGCTGCAGAGCTGGAGACCTTGGTAGCCTCCAGGTGTGTGTCTGGCAACATGAACTGTGCATGAATCCTTGTCTTCTCAGATGCTGGAGCACCCACCTACATGTATGAGTTTCAGTACCGTCCAAGCTTCTCATCAGACATGAAACCCAAGACGGTGATAGGAGACCACGGGGATGAGCTCTTCTCCGTCTTTGGGGCCCCATTTTTAAAAGGTAATGCTCCTTCCTGTCTGTGAGCTAGGAGTTAGAGACTTGGGTTCCAGTCTTGGTGTGGTGGCCTTCAGCAATTTTGTCCTCTCCTGGTCTTAGTTTCCTGATTCTGTATAACAGGGTTGAATGTCACTGGGTTGTCCGCCGGCTTCCTCCCACTCTAACACATGTGAGGAGGGATGTGTATTCATGTGCCCTCTGCACAGACGCTCAGAATCCTGCTGTGTGACATCAAGACAGGTGGTGGTGGGGGTCTCCTGCAGGATTCACTATGACAGGGTTGAATGTCACTGGGTTGTTCCCCGGCTTCCTCCCGCTCTAACACACCTGAGGGAGGATGTGTATCATGTACCCTCTGCCACAGACACTCAGAATCCTGGGCTGTGTCATCAACAAGATAGGCGGTGGGACACATGCGGGGCCCTGCTCTAGGTTGAGAAGCCACCAATCAATTTCCCTCTCCCAGGAGCGCTGAGACAGTGAGTGAGGGTGAGATTAGAATTGGTGTTAACCCTAAGTCAGGTCTAATGTGTGCCTGTTTGTCTTTCTGTCTGTCTCTAACAAAAACTCATAAACCTTTACATTTAGTACATTTAATAATTGTTGATTTAGAATTCACAGGATGTATGAATTTGGAACAGGAGAAGAGAATATTTTTTATATGGTTTATAGTCAGCAAGGTGGCCATCCCACAGGCTGGGAAGGTGCCTCTGGCCAAGCCCAGAAACGGGCTCATTGGAGGAGGGGTTGGGTAGGAGCTTTATGTGAACGGATTGGCTAAACATACATGTTCAACAGGTTACAGGGGGAGCAATGGATATTCATGAAGACAGTCCTGACACATGTGTATTAAACAAACACGTATGTAACATGGCCCATGTTCACCTGGTGGTGGAGACCTAATATTTAAATGTATTACAATTAGGGCCTGTAAGTCCAAAGGTCTTCTCAGGACACGAAGCTCAGCAAGTGAGGAGCTTCTGTACACCGGCCAGGTCCAGTCCATGGCTGGTGATGTTCTTATCTGGAGAAAGTTACTGAAATCAGTCTCTTATGCAATCAAAGCAGTAGTTAAGTCTGGCAAGTCAGGGTTCTGTTTGTCTGCGTATCCCAGCTGCAGCCGTTGTTATTGTTTTCCTTTTGCTTAGCTCCAGGCCAGTGCTGGTTTAGCTGCTAGAGAAAGAGAAGCACCTCGTGGCAGTGAGAACAAAGTGGATTCTTTTTTTTTTTTATTATTATACTTTAAGTTTTAGGGTACATGTGCACATTGTGCAGGTTAGTTACATATGTATACATGTGCCGTGCTGGTGCGCTGCACCCACTAACTCGTCATCTAGCATTAGGTATATCTCCCAGTGCTATCCCTCCCCCCTCCCCCCACCCCACCACAGTCCCCAGAGTGTGATATTCCCCTTCCTGTGTCCATGTGATCTCATTGTTCAATTCCCACCTATGAGTGAGAATATGCGGTGTTTGGTTTTTTGTTCTTGCGATAGTTTACTGAGAATGATGGTTTCCAATTTCATCCATGTCCCTACAAAGGACATGAACTCATCATTTTTTATGGCTGCATAGTATTCCACGGTGTATATGTGCCACATTTTCTTAATCCAGTCTATCATTGTTGGACATTTGGGTTGGTTCCAAGTCTTTGCTATTGTGAATAATGCCGCAATAAACATACGTGTGCATGTGTCTTTATAGCAGCATGATTTATAGTCATTTGGGTATATACCCAGTAATGGGATGGCTGGGTCAAATGGTATTTCTAGTTCTAGATCCCTGAGGAATCGCCACACTGACTTCCACAATGGTTGAACTAGTTTACAGTCCCACCAACAGTGTAAAAGTGTTCCTATTTCTCCACATCCTCTCCAGCACCTGTTGTTTCCTGACTTTTTAGAGATGCAGGCCTGAACCCTTGCCCGACGTGGCCTTAGGTCTCGTTTTTAATTTGGTGTCTTATTGCCACAAAGAGTGTGTTCTGTCAGAATGATGACCTTCATTTTATTGCTGATGCTGGTCCGGTGGTGTCTAAATCACAAAAGGGAGGGAGTATTATGAGGCGTGTCTGACCTCCTGTCCGTTCCCAGGCAGGAACAGAGTTGAAGGTTTTTCGAGGCTCCCCTTAGCCCAGAGAGGGTCTGTTCAGTCAGTTGGGGGTGTCAGGATTTTATTTTTAGTTTACATTATACAATAGTTTAAAAAATCCTTTCACGGTGTCTTCTAAGTCTTAACTCTCAGCAGTTACAGATCAGATGGGACTCACCCCATGGCTGCTCAGAACGCACCAGCGCCTCTGGGCATCTCACTGTGCATGCTTAGGCGCCTTGCGGCTCTGTTGTTTTTCAGAATGTGAATTGTGGGTGTGTGCTGGGGAGGGAGAAAAGACCCAAGAGAGAGCAACCCTGGAAAGTGGGGTTGCTGTAGAGGAAACCCTGGGGTGGGGCATTTCCTGTGACCCTGAGCGGGGAGGAGGCAGGCGAGGGTCACAGGAGACAAAGGCAGCCAGCCAATGGAATGACGCATGCCCATTGCTGAGCCCTAGGTCAGATATGCTGAAAGGTAAAGTACACACAAATCCACCACGATCTTCTAAAAGTGCAGACCTCAGCTCAGTGGGTGTGGGGCATGTGCCAAGACTATGTTTCCAGCAGACTCGCATGTGATGTTGACGCTGCAGTCCACGGACCACACTTTGAGTAACAAAGGCTTTTTTTCTTCTTCCCCACAGAGGGTGCCTCAGAAGAGGAGATCAGACTTAGCAAGATGGTGATGAAATTCTGGGCCAACTTTGCTCGCAATGGGTGAGGCTGGTGGCAAAGACAGAGCACGGCTGGTGAGGGTGGGGGGCGGGGCATGCCTATTGGGAAGGGGCAGCTTCTAAGGTTCTAGTGATCAAACTTCTGACCCTGTGACCATAGCACTCTGATAATGAGAGCTCTCTGCAAACGGAGAGGCCGCCCCTGGAGATAGTGAGCTCTCCATCTCTGGAGGTATACAAGCCTCTTGACAGAGATAACTTGGGCATCCTCACACATCTCTGAAGATTGTTGGGAACACACAGCAGCTTTGGGGCAATTCTAATTGATTCTGTTTCCAGAAACCCCAATGGGGAAGGGCTGCCCCACTGGCCAGAGTACAACCAGAAGGAAGGGTATCTGCAGATTGGTGCCAACACCCAGGCGGCCCAGAAGCTGAAGGACAAAGAAGTAGCTTTCTGGACCAACCTCTTTGCCAAGAAGGCAGTGGAGAAGCCACCCCAGACAGAACACATAGAGCTGTGAATGAAGATCCAGCCGGCCTTGGGAGCCTGGAGGAGCAAAGACTGGGGTCTTTTGCGAAAGGGATTGCAGGTTCAGAAGGCATCTTACCATGGCTGGGGAATTGTCTGGTGGTGGGGGGCAGGGGACAGAGGCCATGAAGGAGCAAGTTTTGTATTTGTGACCTCAGCTTTGGGAATAAAGGATCTTTTGAAGGCCAAATTGGTGCTTGTGTCTTGTACTGGAGATTAATACTTTGTCCTCAGAGACAGAACGGTGATGAAAGAGGCGATGTGAGAAGGAAGGTGGCTTTGCTGGGGATGGCCTGGTCTCAGGATGAGCAGAGTCCAGAGGGCTGGGTCATGGACGGTGCTCAGGGGAGCTCTGGGCCTGATGCACCTTTCTGGGCCCCCAACAATTTCCAACAATACGAGTTGGGGTGGCCAGAGTGCAGGATCCCTACCCTCTATTTGGAGTTGCCCATGGAAATGGAAGTGGCCCAGGCTGAGAATGAGTCTGGATCAGGGAAGAGGGAGACGTGCTGAGGTGATCCCGTGGCACTGTTGCATGGCACTTACTGACCGTTGCACAGGCCTGCAACACCTTTCTGAGTATGTACACTAGCCTCCCATACCCCTCCATGAGGTTGTCTCTTCCACCAACTGGTCGAAACTCCTTCTGTAGCCTGGACCACTTCTGGTGTGGGCAGTGACCACCTTGGAGGTGGTCCATTCTTCTCCAGAGGGTCATCCTAAACTGTGTCTTTCAGAATCCCATGGGTGATTTCTGGATTCTGTTAGTACGTAGAAAGCTCTAAAGCATGTCATTCCCGCCTTATCAGCAAGAGGAAGCCGGATTGTCCTCAAAATCATAACTTTTCCTGCACCAAAGAGCTGAAGTTGCAAGGCACATGGTTCCCTCGAAATCGAAGGGAAGACAAGCACCTGGGGGAGTGGTGGGATGTGAACACTGGCTTACTTCTCACCTGCAGGCAGGAGACGGCGTGACCATAATGAGCAGAAATACTCTATGAATTTTATTCAGTGCTGAAGGCCAAGGGTGGGCCACTGTGAGAGTATAAAACCTCTGGGAACCATGGACCCATGGGGAGTTGACTCCCATCACAGACTCTACTCCATGGGTATTTATCAGGGCCCATGAGAAAGATTGGGGTAGACAGTGAGACTGGAGAAAGTCTGCCTTCAGGAATGCAGGCATGAGCCCTGCTGACACCCTTCACCCCTAAAGAACAAAATCCTTCAATCATTGCGGAATGGCCAGGAAATCTTGTCCTCCTCAAGGTACTGGTAGAGACATATTGAGGTTGAAGATAAGGAACCTTTTAAAACTCTATACCCCTTGGAGAGGGACAGGGAGTCATCTTGGGCCCAGATTATCGGTCTTTTACTGCTGGGGATGGTCAGTATCTCTGACAAACCTCCATCTCCAACAGCAAGAAATGAAGGTCCTGCCTAAGGTTGAGGCTGGACCACGACAAGAGCAGGCACTCCTGGCTGCTACCATGGAGTTAGCCAGTCCCAGGTAACAGAAATCTGCTGCTGGGAGAGACAGCAAAGCATGCAGATCAACCCTCTTGTAAAAGCAGGTGCACAGGACAGGCCTAAAGCTGAGAGTGGAACAAGACATTAGGAAAATCGTTCAGAAAACCGGCCTTTACACAAGCACACCAGAACCAGCACAAGGTAGCACTGGAAGCATTTGAAGCAGATGGTGCATTGATGATAGCCATAGCAACAACAAAACTATTCCCCGATCACCACACTCGAAATACACACGCACACACACACACACACGCATGCATGTACACACAAAATCAGTCTAGCAGCAGAAGAAAAGATATGTCCACTTCCTGTCACGGATACTACTTACTTCAGTTTCAACTCACTTACCCATGATGTCAAGTATTGAATTCAAAATTGCAAACCTTATAAAGGAAGCAACACCTATGAACAAGAGACAAAGCAGTTGGGCACAGTGGTGCATGCCTGTAGTCCCAGCTACTTAGGAGGCTGATGCAGGAGGATTGCTTGAACCTGTGAGTTCAAGGCTGTAGTGCACTGTAATTGCACCTATGAATAACCACCTGCACTCTAGTCATGGTATTATGGTGAAATAGCATCGCTTAGAGTGAGAGAGAGAGAGAGAGAGACAGACAGACAAATCAATCAACAGAACCAGATTCAGAGATAACCTAGGTGTTAGACTAACAGACTGGGAATTTAAAATAACTATATGGAATACTTCCATGAACAGATGGCTAGTTTCAGCAGAGAGGTAGAAACTATGAGAAAGAAGCAAATAGAAATGTTAGAAATGAAAAAAAATAGTAACAGAAATTAGAAATGCCTCTAATGGATTCATCAGTAGATCTGACACAGCTGACGAATGAATGAGTGTAGCAGAAGACAGGCCAATATAAATTACCCAACTTAAAATGAAGAAAATCAGTGAAAAAAAAACAAAACAGGGAATCAAAGAACTGTCAGATAATATCCAATGGTCCAACATATGCATAACTGGAATCCCAGAAAGAGAAGACAAAGCAGGCAGAAGAAAATATTTGAAGAGATAATGGCTGAGAATTTTCCAAAAGTAATGAAAAACATCAAGGCATACGTCCAAGAGCCTGGAAAACCCCAAGCAGGATTCAACAACAACAGCAACAACAGCAACAAAAACATACACATTTAGACACACACTGAGAAAATATTGAAGGCAGCCAGAGGAAAAAGACATTGCATACAAAGAAAGGGATTAGAGCAGATTTTTCACTGGAAACTATGCAAGCCAAAAAATAATGGAGTGACACCTTTAAAGTATTCAAACGAAAAAAATCTTTGCAGAATTCTATATCCAGAAAAAACACTGTTCAAAAAATACAGGGAAAAATGTTTTCAGATGAACAATAGAGAGAATTTATACTTACATACTTGTGCTACCAAAAATGTAAAAGGAAATTCTCTACGCAAAAGGTATATGATACAGGATAAAAACTTTGATATTTATCAAAGAAGTGAAGCTCTACATATAGCTTTAAAATAAAGGTAATGTAGGCTATTTTTCCTATATTTAATTACTGTTTAAAACAAAAATAGCACCAATGAACTGTGGATTTAGAGCATACGTAAGAATAAAATATACAACAAAAATAATATGAAAGATGAGAGACAGGTATTTGAAGCACACTTTTGTAAGATTCTTACACTCTGTGTAATTGGTATTGTCTGAAGGTATAAGGTGATTAATGTATATTGTATGTATATTGTATACCCAGGAAAACCAATAAATAATTTTAAAAGGAGACATGAATAATAACACAATAGAGGAGATAACATGAAATCATAAATACTCGCTACACGAGCAAGCAGACAGAAGAAGAACAAAGACACAGGAACAAATGAAAAAGTACTGCAGAAGTGACAGATTTTAATCCAACCGTATCAATAACTATACTACACAAAAATGATGTAAACACACCAATTAAAAATGATTTTCAGATTGGATTAAAGAAAACACAAAACGCAACCTAACGCTGCGTCGTAGTTAGTCCAAATTCACGTTTCAGTGTTTGACTCCTGGTGGCTTTTAAGCCTCAGCCTTCCCTTGTCCCCTCTTGCTGACACCTGGAAAGCTGATAAGAAAGCCTGGGTGCTTCCTCCTTTGTTGCTGGAGGAAAATTCAAAGCTTACCGTGAGAAAGCTGACCACGGCCCCAGTGCGGAATCCTCATACCACACCTGGTCGTCCTGTCCAAGACAGCGTCCCAGAGCTCCTTGAGCCTCAGCGGGGGGAAGAAACAGCATATTTTTTCCTCCTGGTCCAGAGAGAGGGGAGACGCTACAGAGCAGGGGTCGGTAAGCTGCAGCCCACAGGCCAAACCTGTCAGACCGTGGGATCCTTGGGTCAGGACCAAGGTCAAACTCGTTTTGGGGCTCCCCAAGAAGTGCTGGGCAATGCAACCTGGTGGATGGACTGAGAGCTGCCCAGCAGATGGATCTGTACCCAGGGAAGTGCACATTGGCCTTTGGTGAACAGTCCATGGTACCCTTGAACTCTATAATAATAGCAGTAATAGGCCGGGCGCGGTGACTCGCACCTGTAATCCCAGCACTTTGGGAGGCCGAGGTGGGCGGATCACCTGAGGTTAGGAGTTCGAGACCAGCCTGGCCAACACGGTGAAATCTCATGTCTACAAAAAATACAAAAATTAGCTGGACGTGGTGGCGGGTGCCTGTAATCCCAGCTAGTCGGGGGGCTGAGGCAGGAGAATCGCTTGAACCCGGGAGGCGGAGGTGGCAGTGAGCCAAGATCATGCTACTGCACTCCAGCCTGGGCAACAAGAGTGAAACACCGTCATAAAAGAAAGAAGAAAGAAAGAAGGAAAGAAGGAAAGAAAGAAAGAAAGAGAAAGAAAGAAAGAAGGAAAGAAGGAGAGATAAAGAAAGAAGGAAGGAAGGAAGGAAGGAAGGAAAGAAAGAAAGAAAGAAAGAAAGAAAGAAAGAAAGAAAGAAAGAAAGAAAGAAAGAAAGAATAATAGCAGTAATAGAAATAACTAAAACTCACTGCATAGTTATTATGTGTTTAATTATAAAATACTCTTCATATTAACTCAGAGAGTCTTCACAGAAACTCTATGAGCAGTTCATTTGGTATCAACCACGTGAACATTACCATGAGGCCCAAGAAAACTGGGCTTTCTCTCTCTTTCTTTCTTTCCTTCTTTCTTTCTTCTTTCTTTTATGACGGCGTTTCACTCTTGTTGCCCAGGCTGGAGTGCAGTAGCATGATCTTGGCTCACTGCCACCTCCGCCTCCCGGGTTCAAGCGATTCTCCTGCCTCAGCCCCCCGACTAGCTGGGATTACAGGCACCCGCCACCACGTCCAGCTAATTTTTGTATTTTTTGTAGACATGAGATTTCACCGTGTTGGCCAGGCTGGTCTCGAACTCCTAACCTCAGGTGATCCGCCCACCTCGGCCTCCCAAAGTGCTGGGATTACAGGTGCGAGTCACCGCGCCCGGCCTATTACTGCTATTATTATAGAGTTCAAGGGTACCATGGACTGTTCACCAAAGGCCAATGTGCACTTCCCTGGGTACAGATCCATCTGCTGGGCAGCTCTCAGTCCATCCACCAGGTTGCATTGCCCAGCACTTCTTGGGGAGCCCCAAAACGAGTTTGACCTTGGTCCTGACCCAAGGATCCCACGGTCTGACAGGTTTGGCCTGTGGGCTGCAGCTTACCGACCCCTGCTCTGTAGCGTCTCCCCTCTCTCTGGACCAGGAGGAAAAAATATGCTGTTTCTTCCCCCCGCTGAGGCTCAAGGAGCTCTGGGACGCTGTCTTGGACAGGACGACCAGGTGTGGTATGAGGATTCCGCACTGGGGCCGTGGTCAGCTTTCTCACGGTAAGCTTTGAATTTTCCTCCAGCAACAAAGGAGGAAGCACCCAGGCTTTCTTATCAGCTTTCCAGGTGTCAGCAAGAGGGGACAAGGGAAGGCTGAGGCTTAAAAGCCACCAGGAGTCAAACACTGAAACGTGAATTTGGACTAACTACGACGCAGCGTTAGGTTGCGTTTTGTGTTTTCTTTAATCCAATCTGAAAATCATTTTTAATTGGTGTGTTTACATCATTTTTGTGTAGTATAGTTATTGATACGGTTGGATTAAAATCTGTCACTTCTGCAGTACTTTTTCATTTGTTCCTGTGTCTTTGTTCTTCTTCTGTCTGCTTGCTCGTGTAGCGAGTATTTATGATTTCATGTTATCTCCTCTATTGTGTTATTATTCATGTCTCCTTTTAAAATTATTTATTGGTTTTCCTGGGTATACAATATACATACAATATACATTAATCACCTTATACCTTCAGACAATACCAATTACACAGAGTGTAAGAATCTTACAAAAGTGTGCTTCAAATACCTGTCTCTCATCTTTCATATTATTTTTGTTGTATATTTTATTCTTACGTATGCTCTAAATCCACAGTTCATTGGTGCTATTTTTGTTTTAAACAGTAATTAAATATAGGAAAAATAGCCTACATTACCTTTATTTTAAAGCTATATGTAGAGCTTCACTTCTTTGATAAATATCAAAGTTTTTATCCTGTATCATATACCTTTTGCGTAGAGAATTTCCTTTTACATTTTTGGTAGCACAAGTATGTAAGTATAAATTCTCTCTATTGTTCATCTGAAAACATTTTTCCCTGTATTTTTTGAACAGTGTTTTTTCTGGATATAGAATTCTGCAAAGATTTTTTTCGTTTGAATACTTTAAAGGTGTCACTCCATTATTTTTTGGCTTGCATAGTTTCCAGTGAAAAATCTGCTCTAATCCCTTTCTTTGTATGCAATGTCTTTTTCCTCTGGCTGCCTTCAATATTTTCTCAGTGTGTGTCTAAATGTGTATGTTTTTGTTGCTGTTGTTGCTGTTGTTGTTGAATCCTGCTTGGGGTTTTCCAGGCTCTTGGACGTATGCCTTGATGTTTTTCATTACTTTTGGAAAATTCTCAGCCATTATCTCTTCAAATATTTTCTTCTGCCTGCTTTGTCTTCTCTTTCTGGGATTCCAGTTATGCATATGTTGGACCATTGGATATTATCTGACAGTTCTTTGATTCCCTGTTTTGTTTTTTTTTCACTGATTTTCTTCATTTTAAGTTGGGTAATTTATATTGGCCTGTCTTCTGCTACACTCATTCATTCGTCAGCTGTGTCAGATCTACTGATGAATCCATTAGAGGCATTTCTAATTTCTGTTACTATTTTTTTTCATTTCTAACATTTCTATTTGCTTCTTTCTCATAGTTTCTACCTCTCTGCTGAAACTAGCCATCTGTTCATGGAAGTATTCCATATAGTTATTTTAAATTCCCAGTCTGTTAGTCTAACACCTAGGTTATCTCTGAATCTGGTTCTGTTGATTGATTTGTCTGTCTGTCTCTCTCTCTCTCTCTCTCACTCTAAGCGATGCTATTTCACCATAATACCATGACTAGAGTGCAGGTGGTTATTCATAGGTGCAATTACAGTGCACTACAGCCTTGAACTCACAGGTTCAAGCAATCCTCCTGCATCAGCCTCCTAAGTAGCTGGGACTACAGGCATGCACCACTGTGCCCAACTGCTTTGTCTCTTGTTCATAGGTGTTGCTTCCTTTATAAGGTTTGCAATTTTGAATTCAATACTTGACATCATGGGTAAGTGAGTTGAAACTGAAGTAAGTAGTATCCGTGACAGGAAGTGGACATATCTTTTCTTCTGCTGCTAGACTGATTTTGTGTGTACATGCATGCGTGTGTGTGTGTGTGTGCGTGTGTATTTCGAGTGTGGTGATCGGGGAATAGTTTTGTTGTTGCTATGGCTATCATCAATGCACCATCTGCTTCAAATGCTTCCAGTGCTACCTTGTGCTGGTTCTGGTGTGCTTGTGTAAAGGCCGGTTTTCTGAACGATTTTCCTAATGTCTTGTTCCACTCTCAGCTTTAGGCCTGTCCTGTGCACCTGCTTTTACAAGAGGGTTGATCTGCATGCTTTGCTGTCTCTCCCAGCAGCAGATTTCTGTTACCTGGGACTGGCTAACTCCATGGTAGCAGCCAGGAGTGCCTGCTCTTGTCGTGGTCCAGCCTCAACCTTAGGCAGGACCTTCATTTCTTGCTGTTGGAGATGGAGGTTTGTCAGAGATACTGACCATCCCCAGCAGTAAAAGACCGATAATCTGGGCCCAAGATGACTCCCTGTCCCTCTCCAAGGGGTATAGAGTTTTAAAAGGTTCCTTATCTTCAACCTCAATATGTCTCTACCAGTACCTTGAGGAGGACAAGATTTCCTGGCCATTCCGCAATGATTGAAGGATTTTGTTCTTTAGGGGTGAAGGGTGTCAGCAGGGCTCATGCCTGCATTCCTGAAGGCAGACTTTCTCCAGTCTCACTGTCTACCCCAATCTTTCTCATGGGCCCTGATAAATACCCATGGAGTAGAGTCTGTGATGGGAGTCAACTCCCCATGGGTCCATGGTTCCCAGAGGTTTTATACTCTCACAGTGGCCCACCCTTGGCCTTCAGCACTGAATAAAATTCATAGAGTATTTCTGCTCATTATGGTCACGCCGTCTCCTGCCTGCAGGTGAGAAGTAAGCCAGTGTTCACATCCCACCACTCCCCCAGGTGCTTGTCTTCCCTTCGATTTCGAGGGAACCATGTGCCTTGCAACTTCAGCTCTTTGGTGCAGGAAAAGTTATGATTTTGAGGACAATCCGGCTTCCTCTTGCTGATAAGGCGGGAATGACATGCTTTAGAGCTTTCTACGTACTAACAGAATCCAGAAATCACCCATGGGATTCTGAAAGACACAGTTTAGGATGACCCTCTGGAGAAGAATGGACCACCTCCAAGGTGGTCACTGCCCACACCAGAAGTGGTCCAGGCTACAGAAGGAGTTTCGACCAGTTGGTGGAAGAGACAACCTCATGGAGGGGTATGGGAGGCTAGTGTACATACTCAGAAAGGTGTTGCAGGCCTGTGCAACGGTCAGTAAGTGCCATGCAACAGTGCCACGGGATCACCTCAGCACGTCTCCCTCTTCCCTGATCCAGACTCATTCTCAGCCTGGGCCACTTCCATTTCCATGGGCAACTCCAAATAGAGGGTAGGGATCCTGCACTCTGGCCACCCCAACTCGTATTGTTGGAAATTGTTGGGGGCCCAGAAAGGTGCATCAGGCCCAGAGCTCCCCTGAGCACCGTCCATGACCCAGCCCTCTGGACTCTGCTCATCCTGAGACCAGGCCATCCCCAGCAAAGCCACCTTCCTTCTCACATCGCCTCTTTCATCACCGTTCTGTCTCTGAGGACAAAGTATTAATCTCCAGTACAAGACACAAGCACCAATTTGGCCTTCAAAAGATCCTTTATTCCCAAAGCTGAGGTCACAAATACAAAACTTGCTCCTTCATGGCCTCTGTCCCCTGCCCCCCACCACCAGACAATTCCCCAGCCATGGTAAGATGCCTTCTGAACCTGCAATCCCTTTCGCAAAAGACCCCAGTCTTTGCTCCTCCAGGCTCCCAAGGCCGGCTGGATCTTCATTCACAGCTCTATGTGTTCTGTCTGGGGTGGCTTCTCCACTGCCTTCTTGGCAAAGAGGTTGGTCCAGAAAGCTACTTCTTTGTCCTTCAGCTTCTGGGCCGCCTGGGTGTTGGCACCAATCTGCAGATACCCTTCCTTCTGGTTGTACTCTGGCCAGTGGGGCAGCCCTTCCCCATTGGGGTTTCTGGAAACAGAATCAATTAGAATTGCCCCAAAGCTGCTGTGTGTTCCCAACAATCTTCAGAGATGTGTGAGGATGCCCAAGTTATCTCTGTCAAGAGGCTTGTATACCTCCAGAGATGGAGAGCTCACTATCTCCAGGGGCGGCCTCTCCGTTTGCAGAGAGCTCTCATTATCAGAGTGCTATGGTCACAGGGTCAGAAGTTTGATCACTAGAACCTTAGAAGCTGCCCCTTCCCAATAGGCATGCCCCGCCCCCCACCCTCACCAGCCGTGCTCTGTCTTTGCCACCAGCCTCACCCATTGCGAGCAAAGTTGGCCCAGAATTTCATCACCATCTTGCTAAGTCTGATCTCCTCTTCTGAGGCACCCTCTGTGGGGAAGAAGAAAAAAAGCCTTTGTTACTCAAAGTGTGGTCCGTGGACTGCAGCGTCAACATCACATGCGAGTCTGCTGGAAACATAGTCTTGGCACATGCCCCACACCCACTGAGCTGAGGTCTGCACTTTTAGAAGATCGTGGTGGATTTGTGTGTACTTTACCTTTCAGCATATCTGACCTAGGGCTCAGCAATGGGCATGCGTCATTCCATTGGCTGGCTGCCTTTGTCTCCTGTGACCCTCGCCTGCCTCCTCCCCGCTCAGGGTCACAGGAAATGCCCCACCCCAGGGTTTCCTCTACAGCAACCCCACTTTCCAGGGTTGCTCTCTCTTGGGTCTTTTCTCCCTCCCCAGCACACACCCACAATTCACATTCTGAAAAACAACAGAGCCGCAAGGCGCCTAAGCATGCACAGTGAGATGCCCAGAGGCGCTGGTGCGTTCTGAGCAGCCATGGGGTGAGTCCCATCTGATCTGTAACTGCTGAGAGTTAAGACTTAGAAGACACCGTGAAAGGATTTTTTAAACTATTGTATAATGTAAACTAAAAATAAAATCCTGACACCCCCAACTGACTGAACAGACCCTCTCTGGGCTAAGGGGAGCCTCGAAAAACCTTCAACTCTGTTCCTGCCTGGGAACGGACAGGAGGTCAGACACGCCTCATAATACTCCCTCCCTTTTGTGATTTAGACACCACCGGACCAGCATCAGCAATAAAATGAAGGTCATCATTCTGACAGAACACACTCTTTGTGGCAATAAGACACCAAATTAAAAACGAGACCTAAGGCCACGTCGGGCAAGGGTTCAGGCCTGCATCTCTAAAAAGTCAGGAAACAACAGGTGCTGGAGAGGATGTGGAGAAATAGGAACACTTTTACACTGTTGGTGGGACTGTAAACTAGTTCAACCATTGTGGAAGTCAGTGTGGCGATTCCTCAGGGATCTAGAACTAGAAATACCATTTGACCCAGCCATCCCATTACTGGGTATATACCCAAATGACTATAAATCATGCTGCTATAAAGACACATGCACACGTATGTTTATTGCGGCATTATTCACAATAGCAAAGACTTGGAACCAACCCAAATGTCCAACAATGATAGACTGGATTAAGAAAATGTGGCACATATACACCGTGGAATACTATGCAGCCATAAAAAATGATGAGTTCATGTCCTTTGTAGGGACATGGATGAAATTGGAAACCATCATTCTCAGTAAACTATCGCAAGAACAAAAAACCAAACACCGCATATTCTCACTCATAGGTGGGAATTGAACAATGAGATCACATGGACACAGGAAGGGGAATATCACACTCTGGGGACTGTGGTGGGGTGGGGGGAGGGGGGAGGGATAGCACTGGGAGATATACCTAATGCTAGATGACGAGTTAGTGGGTGCAGCGCACCAGCACGGCACATGTATACATATGTAACTAACCTGCACAATGTGCACATGTACCCTAAAACTTAAAGTATAATAATAAAAAAAAAAAAGAATCCACTTTGTTCTCACTGCCACGAGGTGCTTCTCTTTCTCTAGCAGCTAAACCAGCACTGGCCTGGAGCTAAGCAAAAGGAAAACAATAACAACGGCTGCAGCTGGGATACGCAGACAAACAGAACCCTGACTTGCCAGACTTAACTACTGCTTTGATTGCATAAGAGACTGATTTCAGTAACTTTCTCCAGATAAGAACATCACCAGCCATGGACTGGACCTGGCCGGTGTACAGAAGCTCCTCACTTGCTGAGCTTCGTGTCCTGAGAAGACCTTTGGACTTACAGGCCCTAATTGTAATACATTTAAATATTAGGTCTCCACCACCAGGTGAACATGGGCCATGTTACATACGTGTTTGTTTAATACACATGTGTCAGGACTGTCTTCATGAATATCCATTGCTCCCCCTGTAACCTGTTGAACATGTATGTTTAGCCAATCCGTTCACATAAAGCTCCTACCCAACCCCTCCTCCAATGAGCCCGTTTCTGGGCTTGGCCAGAGGCACCTTCCCAGCCTGTGGGATGGCCACCTTGCTGACTATAAACCATATAAAAAATATTCTCTTCTCCTGTTCCAAATTCATACATCCTGTGAATTCTAAATCAACAATTATTAAATGTACTAAATGTAAAGGTTTATGAGTTTTTGTTAGAGACAGACAGAAAGACAAACAGGCACACATTAGACCTGACTTAGGGTTAACACCAATTCTAATCTCACCCTCACTCACTGTCTCAGCGCTCCTGGGAGAGGGAAATTGATTGGTGGCTTCTCAACCTAGAGCAGGGCCCCGCATGTGTCCCACCGCCTATCTTGTTGATGACACAGCCCAGGATTCTGAGTGTCTGTGGCAGAGGGTACATGATACACATCCTCCCTCAGGTGTGTTAGAGCGGGAGGAAGCCGGGGAACAACCCAGTGACATTCAACCCTGTCATAGTGAATCCTGCAGGAGACCCCCACCACCACCTGTCTTGATGTCACACAGCAGGATTCTGAGCGTCTGTGCAGAGGGCACATGAATACACATCCCTCCTCACATGTGTTAGAGTGGGAGGAAGCCGGCGGACAACCCAGTGACATTCAACCCTGTTATACAGAATCAGGAAACTAAGACCAGGAGAGGACAAAATTGCTGAAGGCCACCACACCAAGACTGGAACCCAAGTCTCTAACTCCTAGCTCACAGACAGGAAGGAGCATTACCTTTTAAAAATGGGGCCCCAAAGACGGAGAAGAGCTCATCCCCGTGGTCTCCTATCACCGTCTTGGGTTTCATGTCTGATGAGAAGCTTGGACGGTACTGAAACTCATACATGTAGGTGGGTGCTCCAGCATCTGAGAAGACAAGGATTCATGCACAGTTCATGTTGCCAGACACACACCTGGAGGCTACCAAGGTCTTCAGCTCTGCAGCAAACCTCTGGCTGTCAGCACAGTAGAGAAACAGAGTCTCAGGAAAGCTCAGTGATGCGCTCCGGGCTGCATAGCTGTCTGAGGTGGAAGCGGAATTAGAGCCAAATATTTGTTCAATGAACAAATGTTTAATGAATGAATGTGGAAACCCTGGGTCAATTCATTTAAAACAGCTGCCGGTGCAGGGACCCTGACTCTGCCTCGTAAACCCCTTTGCCTGCTGGTGCATTCTCACACAAGACAATCTCTCTACATCTGGTTACACCGGATATAATTCATTGATAACAGACTCGCGTTCATTCACTTGGATGCCATCTCCACCATGACAGGTGTCTTCTGTTCTGCCTCGTTTTGAGCATTTCCAGTGTTTTTCTCACCCATCCTGAGAAGACTGAAGCAAATCCAAGTTGCTTGTCTGAACATGAGGCTATTTAAATACAAACATATGCAGAGAGGGAACAATCTGCCTCTTGTGTCTCAGGAACCTGCGGCACTCACTGCTTTATAGCTCACTGTCCCCATGTGTCTTGCTGCCTGCCTGGCCTGGGAGTGTTAGGGTGTTAAGGCAGTAAAGCCCTGGCAGAGAAAAGAAGGCGCTGAGCAAGGGTGACCTTGCCTCTCCCCTGCCCTCTCTCCTTCGGCTCTGCCCTCCTCTCCCACCAACAAAGCTCTCCTGTCCCAGCCCCAGGAAGATGCCAGTTTCCCAATGATTGGCTCATTGGAGCCACAGATCGCTGCCCCTTCAGGGCTACCTCGTGGGCCGCCTGGCCCTGTGCCTCAGCACTTTGCACTGGTCATGATACCCACTGAGAAGTGACACTAAGACGGAAAGAGTCAGGGCAATGCCAGGCTGGTGGAGAAAATTTACAATGTCCTCCCCTTTGGGTACAGTAAGAAATTTGGAAAATAAAAACAATTAGGAATAATTAGAAGAAACAAAAATATGGAAACGCATAAAGCAAAACTAGATATCACTCATAATTCCACTACCTGAGGCAAGGGCCATGCATTTTTTGTATTTCCTTCTAAAATTTTTCCATATCCTATATAATTTAAAAATCAATTTTAACAATCAAATTTAAAGTATCACTCATAACTCTACCACTCAGAGAATGCTTCTTTTTTATTTTAGCATATCTCTCTTTTATGTATTTAACTGGGGATGATATTATATATGGTATTTTGTAGTACACTGTAATCACTTCCCTTTTAAATTGTTTTGTAGAGACAGGGTCTCACTATGTTGCCCAGGCTGATCTTGAAATCCTAGGCTCTCATAATCCTCCCACCTCAGCCTCCCAAAATGCTGAGAGTGTTGGCAAGAGCCACCGCCTCCAGCCATCATTTCTTAACATCATTAAAAATTCGTTCACAAAAGGATTTAACAATGGGAGCTCACGCATCCCTAACCTCATGCCCCACCCGCACATGTCATTTCAATGTGAGAATGAAGAATAATCTATTCACTCATCTTTGTCAGCCTCCTGCACTGCACCCTCGGCTCAGCAGGAAGCGCACCTGGGAAGATGCCATCCTTCTGTGGCTCTGTAATCCACCTGTTAAATGGCTGCTTCAAGGTCAAACAAAACTTGCTAAAAGGAGGGTTTGACCTTGCCTTTGCCCCTCGAACATTTTCCAAAGAAACTCAGAGCCAACCATAGAAGAAAGAGCTTTTGTGAATGATAGAACTTATTATAGGCAGCATGCTGCCCAAAACGTACTTTGTAAAACTCTTTGGCTAAAGCCATTGATATTTATACAATTCTTACAATCACAACACAAGTCTTCAGAGGAAAGTAGCGCACAGATTTGGGTAATGACAATTAGACATAATAAGAGAAGCAGAGACAATGAGAGGGCTAGTCATGGAGGACATGCAGATTAAAACAGGCTGATGTGCTTCTTGTTGGTGGGGAAGGCTTATGAAACTGGAAGTGTTATGCTAATTTTTAATCTTAGCATCCCAAATGAGAAAGAGAATTAAGAAATCCACATTCTTATGCAGTGGAATGCAATTTTACAATATTTGCCCAAAGTTCTAAAACATTTGCATTGTCCAACCTAGTTATTTACTTCTAAAAATAATCCTAAGAAAATTATTAGACATGTGTTTAGAGACTTATGAACATTAGGCTGAGCTCAATGTTATTGTAGCATCAGAATGTGAGTAGCCAGGCTAAACATCTAATAGGATATGAATATTAAAGTCTATTTAACACAGCCATTTCATGGAATAAGGAATGCTTTGATGAGTTTGTATCAACATTGAGAAAATCCTCACAACATAGTGTTCTATGAACAAAAGTAAAATATAAAATTGATTTTTAAAGTATATAGGACATGGAAAATCTTTAGACGAAAACACAAAAAATTTATAGCACTTGCCTCCAGGTAGTGGAAATGAGTGATACATAGTTTCTTCTTTTTGTGTTTCCATATTTTTGAAAGTTTCTATAATTTAACATATTAATTTTATATTCAGAAATGTTATTTTATCAAAAAGAGTGAGACAACAATAAGTGAAAGTAGATAAAATCTGTGTAGTCCTGGCAAAAAAAAAAAAAAAAAAGCCCTGAACTTAAAGTCATGGGAAACCAGATGAAAAACATAAGTTCAGTATTGCTCAAACCATCAGAAAATGGAGATGGGAACTCTATATATAGTTCAGACGCAGAGCATAGGGCAAGGGCAAGTTTAAGAAAGAACAGATTCAACTCCAGTGGTCTTGGTTAAAGGTTTTTATCAGGACCCTGTGAAGAAATGAGGGTTATGAGCACCTGCCCCTTCCTGTGCAAAGGTGTGTCAGGGCACCTGCTAGTTAAGCGTTAGCTAGTTTTTATCATGCTTATGAAGTTCTAAATTTAAAAACCCTTCCAGCATGGTTAGAGAGAGGACATTTCCTAGCTTGCAGACTAGGCGAATGAGAGCTGGAAGAAAAGGAATCCTGTGAATCTCCTCTAGCTGGCACGCAGGAACAGACACTCCTCTCTAGGTGAGCACACACATCCCTAACGTCATGCCCCACCCACACAGCCTTGGGTCAGTGGTAGCAGGTCCTGCATAGACCCTGCCCTTGCCCTGTGCTTGCATGCTACTGCACGCACTGAGATGCATAAAAACCACCCTCAGACACTGCCATTCTACAGACCACCTCTCCCACACCCGCCCTGGCTCCTCTCTCTGGCCTTCTTGGTCCTGGACAATCCTCTGGATCCCATGCAGGGCTCCCACTTTTTATCCAGCTCCAATACTTAACAAACTTGTTTGCAGCTGGCTCAGACCTTAAAACCCTTCCACGACTCATCTTTCAATATTTGTCCTACAGCAGCCCTATGTCCCACAATAACTCCAGGCATGGAGCCCTTGCAGCAGATGCTGCCAGGGTCTCACCTATATCCCCTCTTCCTGGGCATGCCAGCCTGACTTCCACCTCCAGCATCTGCAGCTCCAGGCCTGAGGCCTTTGTCTGGTCACAAGAGACTACTCTGCCCTTGTGTGCAGCAGGTCGAAGTCACAGGGAATAAACAATTCCTTGCAAGAGCCTTCAACCAATGACAAGTAGAAGCTGGTGAATAAATACCCGGCTCCCTTGCCACTCAGATGGGATGCCCCTGAGCCCTGTATTCTTGGTGTTTCCTTGAGTTTCCCCGCTCCAGTTGTCCACAGTGGATACTCCCTTGACAACGCATCTTGGATTGGATTCCATCTCTTTCCTCTCTCACTTCCCCACCTCCCTACTGCTGTTATCTGGGATCATCACCTTAAAAAAACCACTTGCCTCTGGATTTTTTTTTCTCACAGTCTTCTGCTGGCATAAACCAAAATAAGACAGCACCTCATCCCATGCCATATGGAATCAGCCTTTGAGGCCTGACCCTCAGCTGTTTCCATGTCTGTCTATGCTGGGAGGTAGGTGGGTCAGATACAGAAGCTCGTGGGGTTTGTGTCCCTCCCGTTCGACCTCTGGGACTCACCTCTGTGGTTCCGGGCCACAATCACAGATGGGACACCAAACATCACATCTGCTATCAAGTCCAGGAACAGGTCTTTCTTTTTGACAGTGTCGTCTGTTCCTCCTAAGTATTTCTCAGTGGCTTCTGGAATCAGTTCCTTAGCAATGCACTGAAATAGATCAAAAAGTGACCACCAGCCCCGGGTGAGCGATGCAGCTTCTCCAGCCCACCAGAAAGTCCTGCCTCAATGGTGAACCCCATAAGCCCTGTGCAACTCCCCGCTAGGGTGGAAAATGAAGTGGGAAAGGTGGAAAGATGGGGGAAACCCTGAGGCCCCAGTCTTCATTCTGCCATTTAATTGCTCTATGATTTGGGCAAGTCCTTGTCCCTCTCTGGGTCTCAGCCAATTCCCATGATTCCTAGACTCTTACAACAAGGGGATAGGACTTCCACAGGAGTGACATGGCTGTCTTCTGGTCCAGTTGCCCTTCGGAGAGTGGATAGCTCATCAACTGCTAAAAAAAAAAAAAAGTTCAGCATTTATGAATCATTGGGAATTAATGATAAGAAACAAACTGACCAACCAACCAAACCAATGCAGTCTGAAAGTCCTCTAATTATGGGGGCTTTTAAGGGCATGAGTCTTTACTGAAATGGGTGAAATCAATGAATCAAATGGGCTTATATCCAGAAACTCAAGCATTGCAAAGTTTACAAAAAAAAAAAACAAAAAACAAAATTTCAGAGAAGCTGTGGCAGTGTTTTGCAGTGTGTGTGTGTGCGCGCGTGTGTGTGTGTGTGTCTGTGGCTGGGATCCCTACAGTGGTCAGTGACATGGAGATGCAAGGTGTCTGCCAGGCCAGTGTGGAATAGAGGGCTCTGGGGAAGAGGATGTAGACCTCCCTAGTACCCCCACCTGTCACAGATGACACTGAAATCCTTAAATCCTGTCTTCGTGGCTTTGGTCTTTGGTATAACCTCTGAAATCCTTCTGAGGGGCGAACTGCACATCTCTACGCACATAACAACTCTTCCCAAACCTCTGCACTCAGGGACTCGACCAATCTCTAGCATTGCTTCTAGCAGCTTAAGGCTGTGTCCCTAGAATGACCCCAGTATCCTTAACATAACTGCCTGGGAAGGCTCAACCCTGCCAGGACAATTTACTCTGCTCCAGCCAAAACCTGGAGACAAGCAGCCAGGTCCCCGAACCCAACTAGAGCAGTTACTTTAGAAGCCTGCAATGATAAACACTTTCTCTGCCCTTTGGGATGTGAATCTACCACCCAACCCCATTTCCTTGAGGACCTGAGAGCCTTCTCTTTGCAATGCAAACATTCAGGGAGCTCACTCCTGATCTTCCCAGTCCCTGTCGAAAGAGTAGAGCCTGACTTCAGTGGGTTCTTCCTGCGGTCTAATGCATGGCTTCCTGTCCTAAAGATAAGAGGAGTTTGTTTCTGCCCCAGGTGAGCCAGGATGAAGACATCCAGGTGGTCTAGTCACATGAACCAAGCCTCTCCCCATAGACCACAGTGTTTCCCTTGGCACACCTGGCCTATGAAACGTCATCAGGCTTTTGTTTCAGGGATGTGAGTCCACTCCACGCTGGACTATTTCCCCTATTGCAATCATATTACTGAATAAATCTGTCCTACTGCTTTAACCAGGGTCAGTTTTGTTTATCTTCAACTGGAAGGAGAACACTTCTTTACTTTTAGAACTCAATTACTTTTTCCATTTATTTGTTTCCAACTTTTATTTTAGGTTTGGGGGTAACTGTGCAGGTTTGATCATGGGTAATTTGGGTCTCTGGAGTTTGCTGTATAGATTATTTTGTTACCAGGTATTGAGCATAGCACCCGATTAGGTAGCTTTTCCATCCTCATCTTCCTCTGACCATCCACTCTCTTAGTAGACGCTGATGTCTGCTGTTCCCTAGAAGTCAATGGTAACTCAAGAAGAAGCCACTTTCTTTGGATATTTTCAATGAGGTGATGAAGAGCATGAGTGATTTTCAGGGGAATTACGCACACCCAGCCCGAGGTGGGAAGCCAGGAAGCCCCCGACTGCTTCTCCGGACTCCTCCACTCCTTCCCCCTTCTAGGCCCCCTCCGTTTTCCCATCTGCAGAGTTATTTTCTCTACTGGCCCTCCCAGCACAGACACTTCAGGATTCTTCAATAGGAAGACAATAAGAGAGTCTGGGGAGAGGGAATCCCAGGGCCCTGATACCCCGGTGAAAACTGTGCCCTCCTGGAGAAGATTTCCGTGGAAATGTTAACTCCTGCTGAAGGGAACAGCTGCCCAGGACTCAGAGTGCAGCTCGGAGAGGGAAGCATTCCTGGGACCAGAGACAGGAGGGCTGATGGGGGTGGTTGAGTCCCTCCAACAGACATGTGCCTTCTCACCATTGGAATCAACCAGCCAAACTCCTGCTTGTTAATTCCGACCATGTAGGGGACAGTGTGGAAATTCCTTTCAGCTTGAAGCTCTTCAGGTGTTTTCAGCAGCAGCATCCCATCAATCACAGTGCCCAGAAGGGGTTGACTCTGGGGAGAGAGCAGTGCAGCACCTGTGATTCCCTCCCTAGTCACACCCATGTCCCCAACTCTGCCTGTCTGAGGGTGAGACCAGTACCATAGACCGGCATGGCCATGCGCCATGGCTGCACATGCTCAGGATCCTAACTTAGGGGGGTAGGTCTCCATGACTCAGGGGCAGAACTTCAGGCAGAGGCTGACACTGCTCAGGTGATGAGGAGAGGAAGAAATCTTCACTCATATTGAAATACATGTATTATCTATGTAAAATTACATGTCTATATATTTCAATTTGAAGTGCATGCATTTTCCTCTGTGTGTCCACAATTGATTTTCGGTAGTCCTGGCAGTTGCTTCTGATAAAGCCCCCGTGAGTACTGAATTAGAGAATACAGGGTCATCACTCAAGGGGGAAATACTGGGTTAGGTTTTTGCAAACCTCTGGCCACAACATTTTCATCAACCTTCTTTTATGTGTGGGTTTCTGTTGAAAGAGACTTCCACGGCTCCATCCCACACAATAGGTGTTACTTTAGCCCTTTCTATCACAGCCTCATGTATGAATCGGCCAATTTCCTTCTCCTTTTTCTGAATGTGCTATTATGTGGATTTTTCAACACCAAATGCACGGCCAGCAGCACTGCAGCTCCTGCCTCATCCAAGCTTGTCTCACACAGGCACCTTCCCCGTAAGGCACAGCACAGCCTGTTTAGCTCAGGAACGCCAGACAGCAGCGCTACTCTTGGGTTCGCTCTAAACAGTGACATCACTACAAAAAGCACAAAAATGCAGAACACACGGCACTAAATAGACCGCGAAGAGGACACTTGTAAACATCAGAGATGAAACAAGAAGAGAGAGGTTGCCTCGCCGGATCTCAGATGGAACATGCCCATCATGCAAATCCAGCTTCCCCTGCTCTGTACCTGCCTGTGTGTGACCATGAAAGTGCCACCAGTATTGATTTGGGGGTTATAAGGACATTTTAGCAAGCAGGTGAATTTATAAACACAGAATCCATGATTAATGAGGAAGAGATTATGCTATCTATCTGTATTTAAACAAGAGCTGTTATTGATCCACGGGTGGCTTTGAGGAGGTACCGAACCCTGGTCACTCAAGGAGCCTAGACTAGGACATGATTCCCTACTAGAGAGAAAATCATGAGTAAAAGAATCAGTGATTAACTCACAGTATATTGATCCATGTCTTAATTTTAGGTTTCACCTTTGATGAATAATTTTTATATGGTCACAGATTAGAGAGAGCCCAACTCATGTGTTGCCATCAGGGCAGCTGGTTCTGGGTACAGTTATATTTCATATTTAGTCACAATGGTGTAGTTGCTACGATAGAGCGTGGATGTTGCTAAGATAGAGCATGGACTTTGAAACCAGATTAACTGCATCTGAAGCCTGGCTCTGCTACTTACTGGCTGGGAGTTTCACCTGTTTGGGCCTCAGTTTTCTCATCTAAGAGGTGAGTTATTGTGAGGATTAAATGGCTGAACACATGTAAAATACTTAGCACAGCACCTGGTGTCTGGAAAGGCTGAATAACTGTTAGGTATTACTTGTTAGCAAGGTTGCTGTGGGTCCCTCTCATAGACACCAGTCCTCTGTGGAATCTTCCCAGTTCCACGCCCCATGGGCTGTATTTCCCTTCTGGATATCAGATGGAACTGGACAATTCCTAGCCTTTGAGACCCTATGGCTTCTGGGACCTTTGGTCTGCTCTACAAAAGCCAATGAATGACGAGCTAGTTCGGACTGCCTGGGGGAGATGTTCTGAAAAGTGGACCAGACCTAGCTGGACAAGATCAGATCCTAATCCAATATGGCTGACAATGAAGAACAGGATTGGGGTGCAAGTCCAGCCTCCTTAAGAGGCTGTGCAGTTCAGGCAGGGCTGCTGTGGGAGGCCAGCAAGAGGAGCAGCCCCTCTGGAAGGAAGATGCAGGGCAGACTACGTGGAAGAGACGCCGCCTGCCTGCGGTGGGCTCTGGGCAGTGAATGGTATTGCCAGGTGAGGAAAGGAGTGAGAATTTCTAAACAGTGGGAACCGCATGAGCAAAAGGACATAGGTGTCACTGTGCAGGGTAAATTCCAGAAACAACCAAGAGTTCTTGGCTTGGAGAAATGCTGTGGGGCAGGGTCTAGAGGGAGGGACAGGTGCAGAGCCTACCTTCTGCACAGTCTGGCACACAGTGTGCACGCAGGTGTGTTTTGAAGGACTAACTCCATGGAGGGAAGGGGATTTGTCTCATAAGGAAGGTCAGGCTTTTAAGAAGTGGGGGTGACGTGCTCTAATTCTGTTAAGGAAGGCCAGTCTGGCTGCACCATGAGACATGGAAATGGGGAGAGAAGGTGAAGTAGAAGAGGCTAAAAGTTGAGGCAAGAGACGGGAGCACCTCAGTTGGGTGACAGCCATGCTGGAAGACTGCCATCAGCAACAATGACAAGTGATTGTTCTCCACTTAGAGTTTGCAAGTGGCTGCCCTGTGTGGGCACAACCTTGTTGTGTCAGAAAACTCAGGGCGTCCTCCACTCCTCCCCGTTTCTTACCCCTTGCATCCTGTCCATCAGCAAATCCTGTCAGCTATTCCTTCAAAGATATCCAGACTCCAACTACTCCTCCCATCCCCACTGCCACAGCCCTGTCTAAGCAGCCAGGAGCCCTTGCCTGGATTATGGCAATGCAGTGGCTGCCCAGCTGGTCAACTGCATCCACTTTGCCCCTTTCCTACAGTCTATTTGAACACCAGAGACAGAGACCTTTGTGAGATCTAAGATCATGTGACTCCTCTGTTCAAAACCTCCAAAGGCTTCCCATCTTGCTCTGAATCCAAATCCAAGTACTTTAATTGATCTCTCTCCCACTGCCCATTACCTCTTTAGCCTCAAGCCAGTCTGTCCCCACACTCGGTCCTCTCCAGCCAGACTGGCCCCTTCTGTCAGGGTCTTTGCAGTGACTGTTCCCTCTGCCTGGAATAGGCTTCTCCAGGTTTCCTGACAGCTGGCTTCCTGCCTCCTCCAGAGCTTGGCTCAAATGCCACCTTCTCATTGAACCATTCCCTGATCCTGCTACTTAAATTGAAGCCACCCACAAACTCTATCCCCTAATGCTGCACACCATCAAACGGAATACATACTTGATTTGCTTTTTTATTGCACTGTCCTGGCACTGTAATGGAAGGTCCCAAGAGGGTAGGGAGTCTTTCTTTTTTCACTGTTATATCCCCAGCTCCTAAACAAGTCCTGGCACATAGGAAGTGTTTATTAAGTCTTTGCTGAATGAATCTCATGTACTCCGCCCATGACCATTTAGGAGAGTGCTGTGATCTCCAGGGAGGCAGCAGAGAGGACAGGATTGTAAGATTCGTCAGAGGTGATGTCACCAGAAACTGTCAACCCACTGGGAGGTGGGGGTGGGAGTGGGGATGAGGAGATTGGGAGAATACTGTTGGAGTTTCCTGTGTGCTGGGAGGAGACGAGTGTCCTTGGACTGAGATTTAGGCTTCCCCTCTCCTTGGCTAATCATCGCTGTTATCTCTGCCTCCTGATTGTGGAAGGTTCTGTTTCAGCCTCCTCCTACAGTGCCATTTTGGGGAGCAGAAAATGTAAAAAAGAAGGGGAGTGGGCAGAGCCCAGGGCACACAGAGGTGATGCCTGGGAGCACTGGACTGGGAGTCAGGAAAATGGGTTCCAGGCCAGCCACTAGTCTTCCTGGCTGTGTTACCCAGGTGAGTCACTACCCCTCTCTGGGCCTCAGAAACAAACACGCAGGAGTTACTATAATTACCCAAGAGATGATTCTTTCACTCACAGTTAATTGGAGCTTAAAGGTGCTAAGACTCAAAACCCGTAATCCAGAAACAAAAGGTCCTTACCTCTCTGGGGTCTCCCTGTAAGTCCAGAGATAAGAATTTCTGTGAAGACAAAGGCAGAGGATGTGGGTGAGAGGCTTACCAGGAGAACACTGAGCTGGGTGAGTGGGGCAACAGAGGTGTCAGGTTCTTCCCGCATCACTCCGTGAATTCGTATATCTATATGTGACCTGCGGTGCTCCATCTCCCTGAACATGAATATTAGTTCAGGGATGGGCATACACTCATGTCAATCCAATAGAGTTTACCCCAAAACTTTTGCAGGAATTGTTTAGAAAGAGGGTTTTTAAGCAGATAGGACATAAGTCTAGAGTGCTGTTGTCTTTAACCTTCCCAGGAGATATATCTGCCTAAGAGTGAAGCCAACACAGAGATGTGCAAAGCTGAAGGACAGAGAATGGTAGATTCTCAATAATATCCTATGATCATCTGGACCCAGCCATGCCTGAAGCCATCAACTCCTGAGATTTTCAGTTTACACGACGATGCTATTGCAACACATTTCTTTTTCTGTTCAAGGTACTTGGGAGAGTTTCCTCATCTCCCATTAGAAAGCCCTGACTCACGCAAGCTCACTGAGTCTCATCCTACCCCATGCTTCTCTTTGGTGTGTGTTCACCAAGATTGCAGTGACTGTAGTGTTGCACTGTAGTTCCCAGATCTGACCTGTGCTCAGGATGTAACCAGTGCAGGTCCCTCCATTAAGGATTGAAGTCCCACTAGCCAGGAGTGTGTGTGTGTGTGTGTATGAGTGTGTCTGTGTGTGGCTCTTTGTGTGTGGGTGTCTGTGTGTGTCTCTGTGTGTGTGTGTCTGTATGTGTTTCTCTGTGTGTGTGTCTGTGTGTGTGTGTGTTTGTCTGTGTGTCTGCATGTGTGTGTACTGGAGGCAGCGCGTAATCATGGAGGTGCTTCCACAAGATCTCAGAAAAACTCAAAAGAATGTTCTAGGATCTTAGGGATGGGTTTTCCCAAAGACTCAACTCTTCCCTTTTAAGCTGGGTCCTCTGATGCCACATGCAGAATTGCTGGAATATTTGCCTCCTTCCGGGCGTTAGAAAACAGTTGTGTTTTCATTCCTTGAACACTTTGGTCACTTAGAGCCTGAGCCAAGACCTAAGCACCAATACCACATTGGACTCAACTCATGGAAACACAAGCAGAGTCCAGTGATAGAGGCCAGCCCTGGGATCCAGGAGTAGCCTCAGGTCCAAGGAGAGAGTCCAGGCTACTCCTGAGCTTGGAATTCACACTCTTCCCCCTCAAAGGGAATAGTTCCCAATGGCCCTGGGTGCTGTGTCATCTGGGTGTTTGTCCTCCTGGTCTTCCCTGTGATGAGAGACTGCCATGGCCATCCAACAATCCTAAAGGTCCCCAAGTCCTAATATGTGAGGATGGCAGGGAGCAGGGAAGGCAGAAGATACTCTAGACCCGCAGGTGTCGGTTCTGGGTCCTACAGTGTTGCCTCTGTGACTAATTTGAACTGTGACATGGGGCAATTACAAAATTTATCTGTCTTTGTTACCTCTGTTAAAATGGGCACAATGATCTGAAAGCTGAATTTCTCAGGAAAGATAAGGTGGAGTCAGGATTAAGGGCATGAACTCCTGAATTCCACTGTCTGGTCTCAAATCTGGCTCCTCCGCCTTCTCTGTGAAGCATCCCTGATTACTACAATGAATGCTTCCCCTCTGTGCTGCCACCATACTCAACCTGCGAAGTATATGAATGTATTTCTCTTTGGATAGTTCCTTGAGAGCAGGGACTATGTCCACTTCATGTCTGTTTTGCTACCTCTAACACCCACCCCTACATATTTAGCATGGATGGATGGATGGATCAATGGAGGGATGGATGGAGTTGGTCAATACATGGAGTACAGTTGAATTGAATGGATACATGAATAGATGGGTGAAAACTAGCAGACAGGCGATAATTGGATTGTTGATTTTGGAGGAATGGGTGATGGAGTTGAGATATAAGGTGGCTGGATGATCCATGAATGGTGAATGGATTGAAAATAGATAAATACAAAGTTATGAATAGGTTGACATTAGATTGATAAAAAGATATGAGTGAATTGGATGAATTAGTGAACAGATAGATGGATAAGACAATCATAGATAGACGGATTAACGAATGGGTGGATGGATGACTATCCTAGGATGACAACTGAGTCAGTCTCAGAAAATCTAGAAAACTGGACCACCACTAGGTCTAATACAGACAATTTCTAAGTCAACCAAGATAAATTGTGACATCTTTCTGAAAATCTTTGAGCTTAATATCTCCATCCCCCAAATTCAGGATGATGGTGTCCCCTGGGAATATGTAACATTTAATTTCTTAAAAATACATCTGAAAACAAGAATGGCAAAATATTAAATTTTGGTCAGGACTGGGGATTGTTACACAATTTTTTATCATGTTATTTTTTGACTTTCTTTTTTTACATTTGTGGCATTTTACAATAAAAAAGGACAAATCAGATTCCCCATTCAGATACTGAGAGTTGAGAAATTGTCCCAGGAAACTGTCCCTGGGCAAGAGGACAGCTGAAATGAAGAAGTCTGGGACCAAGTTTACAGGGTTTGGGCTACGGGAACAGGCAACCTACCATTTTCAATGTCGTCTCCAAGAGCTCCTCTTCCGTCTTCTGTCGCAGGCAGTGAACCATGACAGCAGAGGTGGTGGTTTTGCACCCAGCAGTGATAGCAATTTGCTGCAAAGATCACAGGCAACAACAGAGTTCAAGAGCGACATCCCTTCCCTCCATCAAAGAGGAAAGTGGCATTCTATCCCAAGCCCAACTTGTACTAGTGGCAGGGAGCAGCAGAAGATACTGTAGACCCGTGGGTGTGGGTTCCAGGTCCCACGGAGCGTTGCCTCTGTTACTAATCTCAATTGTAACATGGGTCAATTATGTAATCTCTCATCTCTGCTACCTTATCTCCATTGAAATGGACATAATCATCTCAAGGTGAATGTGTCAAGAAATGTGAGGTGGAGCTGGGATAGAGAGCATGGAATCCTGAATTTCCTTGTCTGCTTTCAAATCCTGGTTGTTCCACTTACCAGCCATTAGGCAGACCCAGAGAGACACAAGACACCATCACTGCCCAACATGGCACCAGGCCCTGGCACATAGGAGGAGTGTGGTCACAGATAGGGCACTGTACTGGCTGCTAGGGCCATGAGCTGGAGTCCCAGCTCTGCCCTGATCACCTGCTGCCCTTGGCAAATCCCTTCCAAGCCCTGTGTCGGTTTGCCTGGCTGTGAAACTGGGACGCTGATCAAGGTGTCTCCTCGCCCTTCCTGCTCAGCCATTGGTGCCTCAGTGATTCTAGGAGAACATTAGCTACAACCGACCACAAGAGAGATCCCTGAGGATTCAGGAGCATAGAGCCAAGGAGGTGGGGGTGTCCAGCCGGAGACGTACCAGCCGGAGACCTACCTCAGCCAAGGGCTTGACATCACCTTTCTTCACCAGAACAGAAGTGAGGGCCACGCCACTCTCAGAAATGGCCCGGTGGAAGAGGTTCTTGGCCAATGGAGACAAAACCTGACAGCAGAGTGGAGGGGAGGAGAGTTCATGCTCAGGAGTGGGGTCAGTGACTCACTCGCTATTCCAGGCTAGATCTACTCCACTATAAAACCAACACGGGACTGAGGAATCCAGTAGTGGGCTGACCCTCTGCCCACCTCAAGGAGGTGGAAGTCTTCCTACAGCTCCCAGCACCTCTCATCTGGGTTTTCATCCCAGATCCCCCAGTGTCTCCTGAACCCAATCCCCAATCCCAGCAGGACCCCTCACACCCAAGGTTGTGTCTATGACCCACAACCCCTGCCCCATCCCTCCCTATCCGCGGCTCCATCCCTCCTTCCTCTGCCTGCCTCCCCTAGCCCACTGGACCCCACAGTCACAAAGACTGTCGCCTCCTTCTTGGGCATGGACAAGCCATCAGACCACCCCAGAGGAATTCCCAGCCTGCTCAGTGTCCATGTCCCCTCCACATGTAGGTCTGGTTTAGCCAAACAATGACCTCTGTCCACCTCTTCTCTCTGCCTGCCCTTACTCATAATTTATGCCTATTCCTACTTCCCAAGAGAAGGGATGTGAGTCCTTATGTTAAAATGAGTGTGAAGGAGAGAGAGAAAGAGAGAGAGAGAGAGAGAGCTCAACCAAGCTGGAAGAGGAGAATGCCACCATTGCAGGCTGCAACTGGAGATTCATATGGCCCCAGGACACTAAGCTGAGCTCTGAGCTTCCTGGGGGCCAAGGAGAGCTGGTCTTTAGCTTTCTACCCCCTGATGCTGGGCTGTGAGTAGGGCCAGTCCTGAATTCAGGTATTGTAATCAGAGGTATCCATAGCTGGATTGACAGGTGTCCAAGAGGTCTCATCAGCATCACATCAAGCGTGGGGTTGGGCCTGGTGACAGGAAAACTCACAAGAACAGAGACACTTTCTCCTCCCGCTGACTCTCCAAAGATGGTCACAGAGCCTGGGTTCCCTCCAAAGCTGGCAATGTTGTCCTGGACCCAGCGCAGGGCAGCCACCTGGTCCAGGTGACCCCAGTTCCCCCGGCTGTGTTCATCCCCTGTGCTGTGAGGAAGAGAACAGGTTGAGGGTGGGGAGCAGAGATGTCATGCAGGACCTTCAGGACCACAGATGGGGCTAGGGGTTCTCAGTGAACCCTTAAGAATAAGGCTGGGCTTCAGCATCTCTGAGACCCTGCTTTCATTAGTACAGCATTGTGGTGATGTATGGTTCTACATTCACACAACTGGCAACTATTTACTGAGCATCTACTGTATGCCTGACGCTGTCTTATGAGCTAGAGCACATCTGAGAGCAAAACAGGCAAAACCTGTGATGACACTGAATTCCCACTACAGATCACAAGCAGATAAACAGATACATAGAGAGAATATAATGATGTCAGGTAGTCAAAGTGCACTGAGGTAAATACAATGGAGTAAGGAAAAAAACAGGAGTGGGACAGGGGGTGCCATTTCAGATCCCAATCAGGGAAGGCTTTTTGGAGGCAGTGACATTTGAGGTTTTGGAGGCAAAGACCTTCATAAAACAAGCACAATGAGCACATGAACCTTGTAAATATCCAAAGAAAGGAATTCCAGGCAGAAGAAAAAGCAAGTGCAAAGGGCCTGGGGCCCAGTGAAAGAAAGTGTGAGTCAGGAGGTGCAGCTAGAGAGGGCCCTGGGGCCTGGCAAGAACTTCGGCTGTCATGGTAAGGAGCATGGGAAGCCCCTGCAGGGTTTTGTGCAGAGGCATCGCATGATTCAATGCATGTGTTAAGTGATCACTCTGGCTACTGTGCAACTCAGCTTTATATAAAAGTGGCAGGGATCTGAAAGTGTTAAAGATCATAATCAAGGTGACAGACAGAGAGCTTTGGCTGGGCTAGGAGCCAGGGAAGAGGTGCAAAGTAGGGGACTCTGAGTGGATTCTGAAGGCGCAGCCAAGAGGGTTGTGAGAAAAGAGACAGTCCGGGCTGTCCACAAGGCCTTCTCCTGAGCCCAAGGGAGGATGTGGCAGCAGAAGCTGAGTGGAGGCGTGGTGGGAGGAGAAGGGGGTCTCTGTTGGGGAGGGGCAGTGGGAGTCAAGGATTCAACTTGTCCCTGGGAAGAGTGGGGCACCCTTTAGACAGCCAGGGGTGGGGAGGAGGGAGTGAGTGATGCCTGTGGGCTTCAAAGGTGAGGTGGGCTGGAAACAGGGGCTCTGGCTGCTCCCTGGGATCACTGGGAATTAGTAAGGAGGGAGAGGGAGACAAGAGAGGCCTGTGGACAGGGAGGAGGGAGGACCAGGAAAGGGGCTGGGAAGGAAGCATGTCACAGAGGCTGAGTGGCCATCTGCTGCTGCTGGGAAGTCCTGAGAGGTTGGGTGGAGAGCAGGGGGAGGTCATTGATGACCGCAATGAGACCAACTGAGTGGCGTGTTCAGGAAGAAACCTGACTGGCATGGATGGAGGAGAACCTTAGAAAAGGTTCATAGCAGTTGCGCCTTGAAGGAGATCTGACTCCTGTCCCCATGGAGACCTGATGGGAAGACTCCATCCTTGCTTCCCACACTTGCCAAATTTCAAGCAGAAAATGAGCTGAGTGGGTCCCAACACTCCCACAGGAAGGGGTCAGATGCTCCCACACCCCACCATCTGCAGCCCCCATTCCTTCACCCACAACATGCCCTGAGCTCCCTCTGTGACTCTGCCCCTTCCCTCCTTTCCATGAGAAGTCAGATGTGTCAACCTTCACCTGCTGGGCTGACTGCTAAGTGTCATGACAGAGAAAAGCAATGTGCTGGAGAAACATAGGTGAAGAGGAGATGAGTCTTTCAGTGGAGGTAACTGGGGGCTGGGTCTTGCAGGATGAAGAGGTGTTCTTCGGATAGAATAAGCATTCCAGGCAGAGGGAACAGCACATGCAAAAGCTCAGAGGCAAGTGGATGAGTGGCTGGGTAGTGAGAGGGTAGGTAGTGTCCAATTACGAAGGGGCTTGGATGCCTTACTGTGGAACCTAGCTAAGCTCCCCTGAGGGCTGGCATGACAAGAGCTGGGTCCTAGCATCCTCGTTCTGGGGGCCAAAGTGCAGTGAGGAGAGTCCGATTTCTTACCTGAAGAATCCCCAGATGCCCAGGCGATATTGAATGGTCACCACCACCACGTTTTCATGGGCAGCAAGGGCCAGCCCATCATAGGTTGATGCCGCACCCACCATCAGCCCCCCTCCGTGGATCCACACCATCACCTGGGCAGAGAGGAAGCAACATACCAGTTACAGGACACAGAGCCAGGGAGCACTCAGAAGATGTCTTGTTTGGTGACCTACCTGTTGGTTACAACTGAAGGAGGATGCTATCCAAAGTTCACCAGCTCCCAGCAACTTTGCAAAAGGCAATCTCTCTCCTGCATAATTCTCCCAACTGGGACCCAAGCCACCACCCTACTGCACATACCCTGGCTGTCCCTTCCTTTCTACCCAGCCTCCAGTGCCTCCTCCCCGAAAGGCTCTTGATGCTGAGAACATCATCATGGGCATAGCAAAGGCTAAGGATGTCCTCTTCGGGAGGACACTCCCATCACCCTCAAGCCTAGACTATTCATGCACTCAGCGTACCCATGGGGCAGCCCTTGTATCTCAGCTTCATCTCAGTTAACTATCTCTTGGTGAAGTAAACTTCTCTGTGCATGAATGATTGTCTCGAGAAGCACACGTGCCTGTGATGGTGTCTCTTCCTCAAATGCCTCCTTATGCCTCTGCATCCCCAAATCCTATCCACCCTGCAGAACCCAGCCTAAAACCCACCCACTTCAGGATGCCTTCAGTCAATGGACTAACACTGTCGAGAACTTAGCATGTGCCAGGGACTCTGCTAATACTGGAGGATGAGAGTGGATACAATTCCTCATGCATGATTCTTGCATTTTAAAAGTCCACATAGTGGGGAAGAAGTGAGAGTGGCTAAAATAATGATATTGTAATAATATTATTCATGAAATATAAAAGAACTCGTAACATAAACTATGTCCCAAGTGCTGTTCTAAGCACAGTAAAATAAACTATACATTGGGTAGGTACTAATAATGTCCCATTATCCAGGTGGGAAAATGGAGGCACTTAACCTGCCCAAGGTCCTACAACTCAAAAGTGGTAGCAGCAGGACTTTAACCCAGGCAGTCTGCCTCCAGAGTCCACATGTTGAGCTGCCCAGCACACTGCAGGCGCCGGCCACAGTGCAGTGAGTCCACTGTTAGGGCAGGGGTATGAGCCTGCCTCTGCCTTTTTAGCCAGGGACTGAGATCACGCTTAGTGGTCACCCTTGACTGATCATATGTGATGATTCCCATTTTGAGGAAACAGAGGCTTAGAGAAGTTAAGAAACTCCCAAGTCTCTCAGCTAGTCAAAAGCAGAACCAGGATTTAAACCCAGACCGTGTAGTTCTAGAGCCTGTGGCCATTCCTGGAGGTTCTCCTGACTCCAGGTTCCCAGAGCCCTTGTTTCTCCCACAACTCTAATCCCTGCCTGCCTCCTGGGGAGGGATTGAGTGTGCATTCATCTTTGTGTGAAGACTGAGCCTGAGGGCTGGCCTGCAATAAAGTGCTGAAGGGAGGATATGTCTCTACAGCCCAGAAGGCAAGATCCTTGAAGGCAGGGGCTGTGTGGAGTGGATTCATGTTCCTCCTTTCCCTGAAGCCCCAGGTCTAACTGTGTATATGGGGCACTGAGTACACAATAGAAGAATGAATGAATGAATGAATGAATGAATGAATGAATGAGTAAACCTTTCTCTCACTTCCTGTGTCTCACAAAGCACATGTAGGACCAACTTCTAGTTCCACGTTCGCAGACCTGCTCCCCCACTCCTAGGCACCATGCCACGGTGCCCCTGGGAGACTGGCTAGACACAACACCCCTTGTTTTTTCACCCTGGGTGCCTCCTTTGCCAGCAGACCCTCCCCACCCTCCAACCTGCAGCTGGCGGGCTGCCCCATGTCCTGCCCTTCATTTATTTGGGAAATTCTGACTCACTGGGTCATCAGCCTTTGCCAAGACAATTAGGGAGGGAAATTAGGTACAAAAAGAAATCCCAGCTATTTGGCCAAAGGCAAAAGGAAGAGCTTCTGGGATTGTCCAGGCTCCGCCCCCAACATCCGTACCTGGACAGTGAAAGTTACCCCAGATGAATGTTGCTGTGCTGGAGAAAGGCCACATACAAGCTCAATGCCCTACTCCATGTCAAAAGCACTGATGTGAAGATCAGAAGACTTGAGCCAAAACTACCCTACTGGGTGACCTCCCCTTCCCTGTCTGGGCCTCAGTTTCTCTATTTGAAAAGGAAGAGTTGGGGTGTTGGCTTTTCTCTAAGTTCTTTCCACCACTAACATTGAAAATCATGTCTTACCCAATCTTGGTATCAGATTTTTAATCTAGTAACTAAAAGTAATCATTCTCATCCTTCTATTAGCATGAGGGAACTTGGAACAATTAAGATGTTCATTAAAGATGCAAAACAAACTCCCCCAGAGTGCCTATGTCACGAGGGTAAACTGATGTGTGGAAAACCAGTGTTTCCTGTGGAGGCCCTGGGGTCTCTGAAACAATCCTGGCCTGTGCAGCTCCCTCCCCAAGCTGCCTTCACTCCCTTCCATTCTGCCCCAGAAGATGCGGGGTACTGGCACTGACACGCCTTGACCAGGGGGTCCCACAACTTACCGGCAGCCTGTTTTTCTTGGTCAAGTCAGCAGGAGTGTAAATATTGAGGTAAAGACAGTCTTCAGAAAGCTTGAGAGGAATGTTCTCCTTTCGGTTTGTAAATAGCTCTGAGAGTAACTGCCCCGCCTTGGGATCTTGGGTGCACCTGGGGAGGGGGAAAGAAGAACCCCTGAAGTTCAGCCAGATCTAAGCGAGGTGTTTTCTACGGCAGCGCCTTGGACTGGGAGGTTTAAGCCTGGAAATGGACTTGATAGTTACAGACTCACGACATTGTAGTGGGTAGGAGGCTATCAGGGGCTTCAGGTGGGGGCGCTGGGACTCACTAAGGTCTCCTAAGACCAAGCAGAGTGAGAAGGGCTTCACACCTCTTCCCTTTCCAGAGCCTTTGGAACTCCCAGCATCAAGGAGGGGAGACCACTAATACACTGATCCTCCCTGGGAGGTGACATTTCTCACAATAGCTCAGGGGTGATATCTTTGTGGGACAACATCAGGAGAATTGTGCTCTAGTTTTGTCTCTCCCATGCATTTATGGGGTGACCTTGGGTGAATTCCTTTTACACTCTGCGTCCCAATCCGCCAGGTCTAAGTGAGCGGAGTGATTTCTACATGAGTCTTGCAGCCCTGACATGCCAAGATTCTACCACCTGCCTCTCCCAGGCAGTTGCTGTTGTGTTGCCCTGATGAAAGATCTCAAGGATGCAACATAGATGAACACTGGTAATAGTTATTTAGTTCTCCCAGTGTTCCAGGCACTGTTTTAAGTACCTTTTGTATATTAACTCATTTAAGCCTCAGACTAGTCCCATTAGGTAGGTTCTATTATCTCCATTTTACAGATGAGAAAACTGAAGCCTAGGCAGGTTAGAGAACCTGACCAAGGTTACATAGCCAGGTAGATCCATGCCATGTGGTGCTTATACACAAGTATATTATAAGCAACAGTCCCAGACCTCAATGTACCAAAAGGCAGTCATCACCGCCCCCACTAGGTACATGAGGAAACTGAGGCACTCAGACTCTGGGATGACACAGCTCTCAAGTGACAGAATCAGAGCCAGCAAAGATGACTTCTTGATTCCATCCTGGGAAATTTTCCTAAGATCACCAAGTGCAAGAGGAATAACAATAATAATAATAATAATAATAATAATAATACATTCCAATGTGAAGAAAGGAAAAAAGAACTCACTGGTCTTCAGATAAATGCAAATTAAAGAGGAAAATAATATTGCTGGTATTGTTATTATTATTTTGCCTATACAATAGCCAAAAATATTTTTAATAATCCCAAGCATTGCCAAGAGTCTGCCAAATGGAGATGTTCATACGTCAATGGGAGGAGTGTAGTTGGAATATTTTGGGAGGGAAATCAAACAAGAAATATATACTCTTTGACTCAGAAATGTCATTTCTGAGAAGTTATCCTAAACTATTCATGAATGTGCATAAATGTTTCACATTCATGATGTTATATTATTAAAAACATCATATATAACTTAATGACCCCAAATAAAAGCTTGGGGAAATTAATTATGGTTCAATACCCAATGTAATGCAGCTTTTAATACCAGGCTGTGCTATTTAATGGCATGGAATTATGCTCATGATATACTTATAAATGAGCAAAGCAGGCATCCAAATTATCTCAATATAGCATTCCCTTTTAAAGAAAGAAAGTATATCAACAGGCAAAAAAACTGGAATACAAACAATATATTACATCATAATACTTTACCATCTAAAATACTGATAGTTGTTCTCTCTGGGTGGTGGAATATTGTATGTGATCTTAATTTTCTTACTTTCCTTTCTCTGTATTTCCTAAATTTTCTGTAATAAGTATATATTACATTTGCACTCAGAAAATAAAAACAGTAAACATTATTTTTTAAAAAAGGGAAGAAAAGAAGGCGGCCACTGGTGGGCTGCTGGAAAGCCTCCGAACACCTGGCTGCTGAGATGAGCAGGGTCTGCTCTGATGTCTGTAGGGTCCTTCCTACCCTGGGGAGTGATGGTGAGGCCAATTAGAACCTTTGGGCTTTTCTTCCCAGCTTGGCCAGGGTGAATGGACACACCTTCCATTGTTCTCCTCAGGAATAGGCACACCTGAGAGTTGAGCACTTGCCGAGTGGACACCTCAGTACACTTGCCACCCACACACCTCCTGGCCCACTCCTCTCCCCGACTATGTCAAAATTCAAGACAGCAGAATTCATGGGATCCTTCCTTCTGATCTCCCTCACCTGCTTAACTGCTTCTTTGTTTCCAAGGCACTTTTCCTGTTCTATCATATCACATAATCCACGGAGTAATTTGCATATTGTTCTTATCTGTCTCCCCCTGCTAGAATGCACGCTCCAGGAACCTAGGGATCTTTGCTTTTTCACTAATGGATCCCAAGAACCCAGAACACGCCTGGCACACAGCAGGTGCTCAATAAACATGTGTTAAATAATGGACTCCAGAATGCTGTGAGAGTTCTGGAATGTTCTTAAGGATCTACAAAGATCTTAAGGAGTCCAGAGCAAAGGATCAGCCCGTCAGGGGACTGCCTTGACTCCTTCCTGCATCACTTTGAGGTAAACATCCCCAAGGACACATGCCGCAGCTTACATAGGAGGGTACGAGGTGGCATTCTTCACAAAGCTCCATGGTTCTGCAGGCTGCGGTGGAGTAAACCTCAGGGGTCCAAGAGGCGGCTTGGCAAAAGGGATTCCCAGGAAAATGGCCACAGGCTGTGCAAATCCTTCTAAGCTGACGAACTTCCCCAGCACTTTGCCATGCACGGTGTCCACCACAGGTGGCGAGGACGGATGCCCTGCTGGACATGGAGAATAAATCAGGATGCATCAGAGGCAAAAGGCTGGACCCAGATTCCAGGTGGAGTTTGCCGCTTTCTAAGTGAGTGACCTTAAATAAGTCACCTAAACCCTCTAGGCCTCAGTTTCTCTTGATGTACAATAGGGATGACGATCAATGTCCTCCCTAACCCATTGAGCTGGTTTAATGGGCAAACTAGAATTGGAGGCATAAAAACATCCAGCTAAAAATAAATGCAAGAAGGAGAGCTACTAGGAAAGAACAAGACATTTAGCTTCCCCCTTAGAAGTCTCTGGAAACATTTATCCATTAGAATCCTGGCACTGAGCCGCATGCTGGATGAGAGGATGAAAAAGGGGTGTCCCATATTCTCACAAGCACTGACCATTATAGGGAAGGGTCACATATACACCTGGGGCTACAGCTGGGAAGGAAGTGGCCATGTCCTGGGAGAGGTACCCATAAGGCAGTCTAGGAATTAGAAGAGGGGGCAAGGCCTTCTGATTGCGGGCATCATGGAGGAGCTGGGACTTGCGGCAGGGGAGGACTGAATGAGGGGAGATGAGAAGCAGAGAGTGGTACACAGCAGAGAGAAGGGAATTTGCTGAGGCTCAGAGCAGCAGAATGCAGAGCCTGCCTGGGGAAGGGGGCATGGCCCACATGCACCAGGTGGAGTCTGGGGGGAGTGGAAAATATTCCTGGAATGAGACCGCACATGTCAGGGAGGGCTTAGAATGCCAGGCTAAGCGCTTGAGTTTTCTTTAATGGACAAATAAGCAGCAGGAACCGTTCCAGATAAAGGATGTGATCAGGTCAAGGAAGATTCTTCTGGTGGCCCTGGGCAGGTCTGCTCCATTCTTGCAGCACGGACAATGTTTCCTCACTGAGCTGAAATTCATTTCCCACAGCCTCCGCATCAGTTCTGGTTCTACCTGTCATGGGACTATACTGGCCTGATCTGATCTGCAGCCTGTGGCCTTTCAGACACTTGATCTTGCTGCCCACCCCTCAGGTCCTATCTGGCTCCAGTCACCTCAGTTTCTCTGAGCTTCCCTCCTAGGAAATGATTTCCAGCCTCTTGTCCTCCCAGCTGCTCTGCTTTGGATACAGACAAGACGTCAACACCTCCCTCAAAGTGTGGGGCTAGAGCAGAACAGAACAATTCAGATTTGGTCTTAAAGGGGAATATCCAATCACAATGGAAACCCATTATGGAAAGCCCAGTTACACAACAGCATCCATGTCTCATCTTATTAATAGCCAACCCTGCAATGTCAATATTTAGCTTCTTTTCTTTTGTTGTTGTTGCTAATTACAAATAATACTGAGATGAACTTCCTTGGAAGCATGTTTATCGACATAGCAATGGGTGGTGGCATTACATGTGGCCTGTTTTCTTGGTGATTTCCACCTTTTCAGCACTGTATGGGATTTCCGGTCTTCACCTGAAATCCTCCCCCCCATCTTAATTATTTTAAAATTTTAAATAAAAAAAGAAAAAATATGTAGAAATATGATGATGTCTAAAAGGTATTTTGAAAGACTTGGAGACCAGGCACAGTGGATCACCTGTAATCCCAGCACTTTGGGAGGCCAAGGCAGGCAGATCATTTGAGGTCAGGAGTTCAAGACCAGCCTGGCCAACATGGTGAAACCCCCTCTCTACTGAAAATAGAAAAATTAGCTGGGTGTGGTAGCATGTGCCTGTAATCCTGGCTCCTCCAGAGAGAGAGAAGAAGGAAAGAAGGAAAGGAAAGATGGAAGGATGGAAGGAAGGAAGGAAAGAAGGAAGGAAGGAAAGAAGGAAGGAAGGAAGGAAGGAAGGAAGGAAGGAAGGAAGGAAGGAAGGCAGGCAGGCAGGCAGGCAGGCAGGCAAGTGGGAGTGAGGGAGGGAGGGAAAGAAAAGAAAGGAAAAGAAAAGACTTGGTCCCTGACCAGAGGTGGGGGAAATGGAAGGGAAAGAAGACCAAAGAGCTGGCTTGTAATGCTGGATCCCTGTTTACACAGGCTCGGTGGAGATGTGAGTGGGATATCCAGGCAAGATGATGCCACAGGATGAGCGCACTTCAAAGCTGGAAGGAAGCCTGGTGAGGGAGCAGGGCAGAATCTTCTCCTGGACTGTGAGGGTACATACGGTGGATGTGTATGGCTTCATTGAAGATGCCAGTGTGAGAGGGAAGAGAAAAAAAAACAAAGGTCAAACACAGGGACCACTACGGCCAAGACCAAAGATCCATCAGAATAGGGGAGAGAGAACGTTCCCATGTCTTTGAAGCCCAGGGAGCAAGAGGGCGAGGAACCAGCTAAGAGTGCTGAGGACTTCAGGGAGGTGGAGGAGAGTCAAGTCAGAGAAGAAACCACTGGGCTGGTCATGCTCAGCTCAGGGATTCCCTTCAACAGGATGAGGTGGATGGCAGCCAGATTGCCAAGGGTGAAAAAGTGGGTGAATGGGGGGAGGCAGAAACAAGTGTGAGAACAAGACCAGTTGCTGCTGATGTTATATGAAGCACGAACATGGTGGGCACCTACTATGTGCCAGGCATGCATTCCAGTTTTTTAAATTAATCTTCAAATAAGCCTTGCTGGGTAGGCATCAACATGCCCATTTTACAGAGGAGGAAACTGAGGAAGTGGAGGCAGCCTGTATGGTCTTCCTAAGGAAGGAAATGGATGGCATTGCCAGGAGTAACCAGAGGTAAAGGAACATTCAGTTCCAAATAGGCTTCCTCTCTTCTCTGCCCTTCCCCACAGTTCCAGAGCTCTCGCAGTGTCAGGCTGCCAGAAGGAAGACAGGATGCAGACGGGGCTGGGCTGTCAGGATTCAGGACCCAGAGACAGACCTAGGCGTGATTTTCGGGTTGACCCTGGGCAAGTACATTTCCCTGTGTGAGTCTCAGTTTCTCTGTCTATAAAATGGCATGGGGGTATTTCGAGGCCCCTCGCTGCACCCCTCTATGTACCATGTGTTTTGCTTTCTGTATTCTGATGCTCTGGCATCTGAGGCCTTGTTGACCTTGGAGAAACTCCCTCCCAGGGTCCAGCCACCCCAGAGCCCACACCCCAACTGCCTCTTTGATCGGGTTGCCATGCCCTGGCCACTACCCACCTGCCCTAATCATGCCAGGGCTAGGTACAAAACAATTAGGAACAGCCCCTGTGCCCCAGAGCCCCTGAAGTATCCCAACTTGCCAGTCCTCAGCCTGCCTGCCCTGCCTTTCCTCTTCTATCCTTGGAAGCCACAGTAAAAGCCCCTTGGCCTCAGATCCGCCCTGTCCCCTCCCCAGGCTCTGCTGCTTCCCCTTGTGCCCCGCGCACTGGTGTCCCCCTCCTGTTGAGAACATGAGTAAGAAACTGTCTTTTTAATGGCAAGAGGTCCTGATATAGTGGCCTGACCACAGCTCAAATTTTCTATTCATACACTACGTTTTTAAACAGCGCCTTTATTTATCCATCCCTTTTTCGTGCTTTCTACATACCAGGCGCTGCCAAGAGTGCTTTAGAAACAGCCACCCATTTCCTCCTCACCAAAGCCCAGTGAGGTAGGCAGCACTGCCACCTCTGTTTCAGAGAGGGGGTAACCCAAGCACGGAATAGCGCAGTCCCTTGCCTAAGGACACACAGCGAGGAAGCGCCCAGCGGGGACTCGAACCCACGCACTCTGGCTCCAGAGTCGATGCTCTTAATATTATGTTGAGCCGCTCTCCGTGATCCAGCCGTAAGGGGACTAATTAAGGGACAGCAAACTGAGCTGCCTAAATTTCTCGTGTGTGCGGCCTGAGGTGGGCCGGCTGTCGGCCTGCATTTGGGCGAGCAGTACAGGGCGATCTCAGGATGTTCACCCTCCCTGCGTCTCCGCGCGGGCCAGGCTGGCCGGGCTCAGCTGCTCCAAGTCCAAGTCCTAATATGGAAGTCGTGCCCCGCCGCAGAGCCGGACCTGTTGTGTCTTTGCCTTTCTACGCATCTGCGCCCACCTCGGCCCAGAACAAGGATTTCAAAAAGTGCCCCGCATTTTGATTTCAGAAGGACTCACCCCAAGCCGCGGAAGCAGAGAGAGTGGCCAGGATAAAGGCACGGAGCCACATCGTGGAAGGGCGACAGTTCTCGGGGCCTGCGAGGTCTCTGTGCAGTTCAGAGGGACTGTGCTGTCCAGCCCTGGAGCCCAGCCCCGCCCAGAGTTACCGCCCTGCGCTGCCAATTGCCTAATCCTCTAATTGGGAGAGATCAGAAAAGCCCTCCCTTTCCTCAGATCTCCCTGGGCTTCTAGTGGGGCCTCAGGCCACGCCCACCCACAGTTTACCCTCTTTCATCAAACCAGTCTGGACTCTACTGTCAGATTACAGAGAGCTGTAAACTTGCCCAACTACTTGTTACATAAGGGTTCACCCTTGCAGGACTCTAACCTCAGTGCACTGTGACGGCCCCCAAGGGCCCACACCAGCAGGCAGATGCTTTTAGGCAAAGGGAAGCTTTGATCTGAGGTCCTCAGAAACAACTGGAAAATGTTAGAGCCACTCACACCTCACAGCTCAGCTGGGTAAGTTAGGACATATCTCAGCTCCCAGGGCTTGTGTTTTCATAGCTTTCCAGGCTCTCAAGCTTGGAAGCGATCTTAAATTTCATCGAGTCCCCTTTCTGAGGCCTGAATTAGCTTCACAATATCCTGCCAACTGGTCCAGCCTCCTGTCACACACCATCGGTGTCAGAGAACTCACTACTTTCCAAAGCAGGGATTTTTGGACAGAATGTAAAAATGAACTCCGTCCCCCCATAGTCCCTGGCTGTTATCATCCATCCATCCAAGTACCCATCCATTTTGTGAACATTTACCAAAATGCTTGGCACCTGGCCATGTATAATGGATACAAAGACCAATTCAAGACATGGTTCAGCTTCTCAAGGGGCTCACCATTGTAGACAAGACAGATGGGGTGGAGGAGCAGTAGGGGTGATGTCAAGGCAATGTGAAATCACCAAATTAAGGGGATACAGAGTGCTCTGGGCACACCTGGAAAACTGTCATTTACAAGCTGCTGGGGACACAAGGAAGTCACTCAAAGCCTCTTTCATGGGATTATTAAATGTCCAACAATAGGGAATTCACTAAACACACTGTGGTACCGCTGGCTAAGGAAATACGATGTATTCACTCAAAATAGTGATGTGCACAGCTATTTATTAACAATGAAGACAGGATGCGTTGTGAAAGGAGAAAATAATAGGTTATAAACTGTTGTGCGGTGTAGGCAGTTCCTCAAAAAGTTCAACACAGAGTTTCCATATGACCCAGCAATTCCCCTCCTAGGTGTCTACCGAAGAGAACTGAAAGCATGTCCACACAAAAGCTTGTACACAAAGAGCAGTGTCATTCATCCTAGTCAAAAAGTGGGCACAACCCGCATGTCCATGACCTGATGAATGTGTAAATGAAGTGTGGTGTATGCGTGCAGAGGCATATCATCCAGCCATAAGAAGAACATGCTACAACGTGGATGAAGCTGGAAAACATCATGGTAAAGGAAAGAAGCCAGCCACAAAAGGCCACATGTCGTATGATGCTTTTTATATGTAATTTCCAAAATAGTCAAATCCATGGAGACAGAAAGTGTTTGACAGGGTCTGGGGAAGGGGAAAGAGACGGGGATGAGGAGTGACTGCTAATGGGCATGAGTTTTATCTTGGGGGTGGTAAAAATGTCCTGGGATTAAATAGTGATGATGTTAGTGCAACTTTGGGAATATACTAAACACCACTAGATTGTACACTTTAAAAAGGTAAACTTTATGACATGTGACTTATATTTCAATAAAATAATGAAATATTTTTGAAAATCTAGATAGGTATAATATGGTCCCGTTTTGGTAGTAACATATGTCTTTATTTGCATAGGAAAATACTGGAAGTCTATATATCTAATTAGAATTACAACAGCCATTTCCTGGCTGTAATCTTGTCAGTGTTTCACTTATTTGCATTTTCCACTTTTATTCCTTCATACATTCATTGACAAATATTTACTGAGAGCTTACTGTGTGGCAAACACTATGCCGAGAGTTTTGTATGCAGGATCTCAGTTCTCAAAATAACCCCGTGAGATTAATGCTGTCTCACGATCTTAAATTGATTTCTGTTGTTTAAGCCACCCAGTCTGTGATATTTTCTTCTGGCAGCCTAAGTAGACTAATACATAGGCTCAACTCAATTCCGTTATTTATTCCCAAAAGAAACTAAGGCCCAGAGATGAGGAGGGATTGCCTAAGGTCACACAGCAACTCAATGGCAAAGTCAGAACCAGAACTTGAGGCTTCTGCCTTCCAGCACAGGGTGGCTGGCAGCCATTTCTCTTGCTTTTATACATCAGGAAGATATTCTAATCAGTAGCCTTATCTAAGGCAAATTGCCTTGTCAGCTCATTGACCCAGGCTTAGCATGGTAGGGCTGAAGGGATAGAAATAGCCAGGGGAGGCTGGGCACTGTGGCAACCCTTCCCGCTCGGTAATCCTAGCACTTTGGCAAGCCAAGGTGGGAAGATTGCTTGAGAGAGGAGTTCAAGACCAACCTGGGAAACATAGTAAGACCCTATCTCTACAAGAATAAGGAGAAAGGAAGAAGAAGAAAAAGAGGAAGGAGAAGAAGGAGAAGGAGGGAAGAAAGAAGAAGAGGAAGAAGAAGAAGAAAGACAGAGAGAGACAAAGAAAGAAAGAGAGAGGAAGGAAGGAAGGAAGGAAGGAAGGAAGGAAGGAAGGAAGGGACAAAGATGGGAGCCATGTACCAGGTACCTGGGGAGCTATGTTCTATTTTCCCAATGTCACTTGGCAAGCCTGCCCTTGTCCAGGCCACACCACTATTGACATCAGGAAAGATTGGGCAACCAGCAGCCATAAATCACATGACAGTCCCAGAGCTGCTGATGGATTCTTGCCCAAGGCCATGAGTTGTAGCTGAAATGAAACTTCTGGAGACCCAAATTCAAAAAGGCATGCTCATTAGCACTCATTCTAGCCACGTGCAGGCTGGTGAGGGGCATTCTGTGATGGGAATGAGGATGCTCTGACAGCATGAGAATCAGTCCCCAGAGCTAACTGACTCTACAAAGGTTGACCTGAGCTTTAGGGTTCCTCCCTTACTTTTATCCAGGACAGAAATCTGGCTGATAAACTGCATGCTAATAAAAAGCATCCCTATCTCTATCCACAAGGGACAAATTGGGAGGTCCTCCTAAATAGAAAGCAAGGCTAGTCCCACTCACTCAGCACAACACACACACACACACACACACATGTGCACGCATGCGCGTGCCTGTTAACCATCCTGCCCTGTTGCCCTAGTCAGCTGACCTTTGCAACCTGGGAAACAGCCCTGGCTCTTGGCCTATGAAGATTTTGTGGTGCTGTGTTCACAAAATATAAAAGATAAGGATTAGTTCTTCTCCTGAACCACTGCTCAATCACATGCCCGCTTGTGACACCAGCCAATTGTGCAAACAGAATTTTTTGGCCACTCCTAGGTTTTGCCTGGGTCTGGCTGCAGCCTCTGACACCTTTTTCTGCTTCATGATGACTCTGCAGATTGTGATGGGTGAGGCTGGAGCCTACCAAGCCTTACAATAGATCTAATTTTTGCTTAATACATATAACTCCCCTGCAACACTTCAGCTGTAAGCAATACGTCTCTTGTTTAAGTGGCAGTTGGTTGGTGGGGGGCGGGGGGGATATTATTGTTTTCCCTGGGGAACACCCTCTGGTTTCCCATGTGGAACTATATGATGTGGAAAGTAAAATCCGAGGAACTGGCCTTAACTTCTAAGCAGGGGGTAGGACTTGGGAGAGTGAGCATATCTGGGGGCTTCAAATGAACTCCCCCAAACCTCTCCACCTCCATCAGTTTACTCAGCAGATATATGGAAAGCTCGTATTAGAGCAGGCATTGGGCACAGCAAGCCCATGTCCTGCTGGGCCCCTCACTCAGCTTTGTCTCTGAACCATGGGATTGATCAGGTGCAGATTTTGTGGTGGAGAACACTGAACTGGGAGACAGAAGTCTGAGAATCCACTGGGTGACATTTGGGAATTCCTTGTGGAAAGGCAGGGGGTGGCTCTGGGGGAGGGGCTCTCTCATGCACCCTTCACCGTGGCTCCACACTCTATGAATCCAGGATTCTACGACATTCTCCACTGCAGCCTGGGCATATGCAGTGTTTCTGGAACCTCACTTATTCTCACACTAATATCATGGTTTTTTGCCTCATCAGCATATCGTCTGTACTTCTATGAACAGTTTTCTTTAAATGAAGCACTCTTTTTACTTTAACATGCTCACTCAAAAAGGAGACTTTATACCATTTCCATAACTGCAAGACCTGTATAACCTGCCATAAATTAGAGGTATGCATGGAAAATGTGTGACTGCATTTTTTAAATTAAAACGATGGTAAAAATAAAAACTTACATAAAGAAAAGCCAGTAAAAACACTTCTGGTTTACAGAAGTGTATAACTGAAAAAAGTCACTCAATGGGAAAAGTGAACCATTGAAGGCCAGTTAGTTACATGAAAGCAGGGCCAGCCTTGATCGCCGTCATGACCACCAGGTAGGTGACAAGGCAAGGGTACCTACCTTTGGCAAGGATCATCGTCACCAAGGTCATTTTCTTCTGCTTCAGGGAACGTCTTCCTGTTAACATTCGGTTCAATGGGCAGAAATTGTATTATGTTTACACCTTCCCAGGACCACGATGCTGTGTTATACTTAGGGGTCAGACTCCCTGGGGTCAATCAGGTCCTAGGACTAACTGGTCAGAGCATCTGGAAGAAATTTTGGCCTGGTCGTGGGTCATAGAGGAAGGAGCTGTACTCCCATGGGCATAACTAGTCACCCTCAATGGCGCAAACAACCGGAAATCGGGCCATGTACATTCATCAGGCAATCACCCTGTGACTGCTGAGCAAGAATTATTAGTGAGAGTAGGATAAACTATGGTAGCAAATAGGCCCAGAATTTCAACGCCTTATTTTTCAATTACGTAAAGGACTAGAGTGTTGTTCAGGTCCACAAGGTGGCTGTCCTCCATATGGTCATTCAGAGATCGAAATTAGGGTATTGGCAAACTTTCTCTATAAAGGGCCAGATAGTAAGTACTTTGGGCTTTGCAGGCCATGGGCTGTCTGTGGCAACTGCTGTGGTAGTCAGGTGGCCCATAAACAATACCTATGCAAATGGGCATGGCTGTGCTTCAATAAAACTTTATTTTTAAAAAGACAGTAGGCCAGATTTGGCCCTCAGGCTGTAGTTTACTCAGTCCTGATCTAAGCTATGGTGGCTTTGCCTTCCTTCACTCATGGTTTCTAAAGTTGCCATAGGTGTCAATTGCCTGTCACCTGGAAGAGGTAGGAGCAGAAGTGTGACCATGGAGCATTTGTATGGGCCAGGCCTGGCTGTGGCACTCTCCACTCCCACTCAGAGGACATTGGTGAGAACTTATTCACATGTTCAATCTAATTGCAACGAAGGCTGGAAAATGTAATCTGGCTGTGTACCAAGGAAGGTGGGACAGATTTTAACAGACTGCCAGCAATCCTTGTCACAGGTAATATCCATTAAACCATGGACTTGATAGTAAGGGTTTTTTCCCTAATACACAGCAAAATAAATAAACAGCCATTCTATAAGTGGTTTTTAGTTTGTGTGCCATCTAAAATGATCTTGCATAACTCCAGGAATAAGTATACCACACTCTGATAAACACGAAGTTTTTGCATTTCTTTGATTCAAATCACAAAAGCCTGATTATAAACCCAGATCCTATTCATTAGCTCTACTTTATTAAGCCTTCCTTTAGCCTGTTAAGAATAAAATGGGAAAAAAGATGATTCAGAAAGCAATGTAAAAATTTAGACACAGAAAAGTGAAGATTGAATTATAATCTGGAAAGAGCCCTGTAAAGTCAAACTATAGATTACATTATAAACATCCAGGTGAATAGAGTGGCCTCCATGGAGAGGCATGTTCTGTGTGTTTTCTTGCCCTGAGAACTATCAATATTCATATATGTTAATGCCCATAACTGTGATGACTCTTGATGGTAGCGGGTATTGAGAGATGGACAAAATTTGGGGAGGCAGAGAAGAAATTAGCATTGGAACAAGGCAGATTCAGGGGCTTCTTGGGGAGGCCAGTTGCAATGGAAGGGTGAATGGAGGACAGAGAGCTTCAATGCCAAGCCAAGGACAACAGACTTCATCCCTGGACAATGAAGAGACACTGAAAGGCTTTAATTCTGAGAATTGCACAATGAAGGGCGTTTCTGAAAGTAGAGCCTGGCAGAAGCAGCCAAGCCATCTGGAGGGACCAGTGGTTACTCTCAAGGGGAACCTCCTACACACTCTTCGGGAAGGTGGAAGATAAACTTCTCCTTTTCAAAGGTGCCTAAGTCCTAGCTTGTGAAAGCTTGGCTTTGGGGCTTACATAGGACTCAGCAAGCATAAATGACATAAGCTTCTCCAAAAAGCTGGACTGCACAAAGGTCTGACCAAATCTCAGGATCTACTGCTGTTGGCCCTGTGTTCTCACTTTAGAAGGTCATGCAAGGGACAAAATCTCTAGAATCCTTCGTGGGCTGGGTCACAGCTGAGATGGGAAGGTTGCAGTCCTCTGAAACTTCCCACATAGCTGTACTTCTATGGAGGCCAGGACCACATCGGGGTGGGTACAGTCCACAATCCCCCTCCATCCCACCAATCAGGTTCCAAGGGGTCTTCACATCCACAAAATACCATTTTCCCAGATGAATAGCACACACACCAAGACACGCAAATTCAAACCAGATACCCAAATGGCACTTATTGAATTTGCAAGGAGTTTTACCACAATTCTTTTGGCGGTAGTGCCTAGTGGCAACAATATAGAAAACAAGGAACTTTCACCACTGATGTGAGAGATCATTTAGTTCAAACTTCCTTGGGGGCAATTTGGCAAAATCTATCCTAACATTTCAAAAAGGCATCCCTTTTGCCCCAGCTATTTTTTATTAACCATGTTCTTTATTTTCTCCATTCTGACACTTTGACATGCAGGGCTTTGCTCCTAGAGGGACTGCTCCTCCCATGGTTAGCCAATTGCTAGAGATATAAGCCACTTGTCTCTTAGTGTGCCTTTCATACATAAACTCACCGATCCAGAGCCCACATCCCCAACCACCTCCTTCATGGGCTCTCCCACTGTGAACTAATAGCCTCGCACCCTAATCACCCCAGAGCTAGGTACCAGATGGAACAGCCCCAATGCTGCAGAGCCCCCTGAAATTGTTCAAACTAACCACTCCTAAACCTGCTCACCCTGCCTCACCTCTTCCTTCCCGGGGAAACCACAGGAACACCTTTTGCCACATCCCCATCACCACCACCTTCTGATGGACTCCAGCGTTGTCTGTGCAGCCTCCTGCTCCCATGGCATGGAGTGCCCCCTCGTCTTGTCTTGGGATCTGTGAGTAACAAGCTACTTATCCTTTCTTTCTTTCTTTTCTTTCTTTCTTTCTTCTCTTTTTTTTTTTTTTTTTTTTTTTTTGAGACAGAGTCTCGCTCTGTTGCCCAGCCTGGAGTGCAATGGCACAATCTTGGCTCACTGCAACCTCTGTCTCCCAGGTTCAAGTGATTCTCCTTCCTCAGGCTCCCGAGTAGCTGGGATTATAGGCACCCACCACCAGCTATTTTTTTTTTTTTTTGGTATTTTTAGTAGAGACAGGGTTTCACCATGTTGGTCAGGCTGGTCTCGAACTCCTGACCTCAGGTAATCCATCCACCTTGGCCTCCCAAAGTGCTGGGATTATAGATGTGGGCCAGCATGCCCAGCCCAAATTGCTTTTTCAATGGCTGACATCTGATTGGTGGGCCTGCCATACCTAAATAATGATAAAACCTTTATTTTAAAGCACTATTCTCTAGGAATAATTCTGAATGAGCCCAAAGATATATGTATCAGGTGGTCACCTCAGTGAAGTTGACAATGGTACAAAATAGGAAATCATTCGAATGGCTAACAATAGTAGACAGTTAAATAATTTATTGAGTATTATACTATGGGATGCAATGTAGCTGTCAGAAAGGTAGAAAAAATTGTTTTTAAATGTTTGTGTAAAGGAAAAACGGTTTACCACTTCCTGTGAAAGAAGAGGGATCCAAAATTTTTTATTTCCCCCCTCCAATTATCCTAAAAAAAAACAGTGAAATAAAGTTTTTAAAGCTACAAACCCACACTGACAAACTGTGAAAGAAGAAATGACAGCATTTTGGACACTGAGAGGCCAACAGAATGACGATAACTAGTTTTAGAACAGAAAAAGGAGACGTTAACTCCTGGAAAGAAAGACACCACCATGCACCTATGCAATCAGAATAGAGACAGAAAAGACTCTCTGGGTTTAGGGGTATTGGATGCCTGTAGAAGTTGGGGTGTAGGTAACCCCCATTTATGCCCATGGGGAGTGCACCTCTCCCCTTTGAGCTCCACCCCAAGGCCAAAGTTTCCTGGAGGCTCTTTGCCTCTGCCACTCCTAGAACTGGGCTGACCCCAGGAACTCCAACCACCTAATTACAACAGAATATCGGAAGGGCCTTGCCAGATGTCAACATAAGATGATTTCTGTCCAGAGATCTGAGTGTCAAAAGGAAGAAGTTTCCCAAAGCTCATGTAATGGCTGCAGTAATGATGACTCTTGATGAAGTCAATGCCTGGCCACCAAACAAGCTCTCATGATGGTGGACAAGTTTGTCCTTGCCTTCATATTACTAATTGGCCATCAACAGTCCATTTTTCCCATTGAATAACTTATTTTCAGAAATGTGCTTCTATAACTCAATTGTTGCATGCAGTGAAACTAATGGAGGACTTATATAGTGATAAATAACAATCAAAGTGTACCAATCCTTCTAAAAATACCGAAGGTATCAGCCAGAGTTCTGTTCTCTCATATGAAAAGTTCAGGAGGTGAATAGAGCTTGAAACACAATTACATAAATAAATGTAATAAATGAAATAAATAGATTAGATAGATAATAGATAGATCATAGATAATTGATAGATGATAGATAATAGGTAGGTAGGTAGATAGGTAGATAGACAGACAGACAGACAGACAGACAGACAGACAGACAGATAGATAGATAGATATTTTATGGCATTATCTTCCGATAAAGAGAGAAGTCTGTTTCCTAAAGGTCAAGGTAGAAAAGCTGTCCTCCAGGCACCCACAGTGTGCTCCAGCAACCTTGCCAACACCAGCCCTGCTGCCCGTGGGCTGGCCCCCTTGCCACCACTGCTCAGGGTCACACTTCCGCCATGCTGTGGCTGGCCATCCCCCTTCCTACCCATCCTTTAATTTCAGACTTGAGCTCCACCCCATTCATGGAGCACAGCGAGCTCTTTGCAATGAATTTCCTTGTATTTTGAGACAATCAAGCGGCAAGGTAGGTTTTTTTCTCCCCAGCCCTTCCCGTCCTTGGGAATAATGAGGCACACTCTCAATACGAACTTTTAGCAGAGCATACGGGGCAGGACTGAGTGGGATCTGTCCCTGCTGGGGGAAGGGAGGCTCATCTTGTAGATGCGCTACCTGGGGCAGCACCAGGTGGGGCAGCTACCCAGGTGCAGGGCCTGAGCCCGCTTCCCACCCTCCCCTGCAGCTCTGCCCTGGGGGAATCTGGACTGAGTTGGTCCAAGGAGAGGAAATCCCTTATGTCCCTCTGAGGTAGGCTCCTGGAGACTTAATGGGAAAGTCCAGGAGGTGGAAAAGGGAAAAACTGCTGGCTCCAACCTCTGTTCTGCTAGTGAGTTTAGTCTTTTCAGTCAGACTTTTCAGGGAGTGGATTCTGCCTTTTCCTCTTTCCAAATGTTACAGATGGAATGGATAACACTATATTGTATTGGCTTGTATATAATTTAACTATTTGGCATGGTCTTATTGTCAGTCCAAGTTCTGCGATGTCACACCACCAGCATCTCAGGAGCCTCAGAATAGAGGGAAGCGTTTTTCCTTTGTGATAATGCTGCCCTCTACTGGACATCAGGAAATTCACAGGTGAAGACCGACGTAGTTTGTCCCTAAAGTTTTGCTTTGATTTAATTTAATGGATAGGGTTCAAGATTGTTTAAAAAAAAGGGGAGAGTGGGGAGGGGGAGGCAGTGGGTCCTGGAAAAGTAAATTGTTTATTTTACAATAAGAAAGTGGTTAAATATTTTATTTTTTTTACAATGGTGGAAAATTAGAAGTGATTGTGAAAATGATGTGTACCTGTCTTGCTGGTGAGTAGGATGTGATTTGGCGCTTTAGGAAAGTGAATTTGTAGAACTCAAAAATATTGACTTATAAAGGGCATGGCCGTTGACCCAGTCCATCTTATGCAAATCTAGATGCCATAAATAATATTTAAAAGTAAAAATACTGGGGTGGAGGTTGCAGTGGGCAGAGATCGCGCCACTACACTCCAGCCTGGGTGAAAGAGTGAGACTCTGTCTCAAAACAAAACAAAAAAAAAGAAGTCATTCCCAATGTTGCTCATCAAATTATGACCATAAATATCCAGGATAAGACTAGTGGCTAAAGAAACTGTGACACGTCAACACCAGGCAGAAAATAAAGCAGATTTTTTTGTTGTTTTGGAGAGCCTCTAGGAACTTGAAAAATACATATGCCACACTCTTAAGACCCAGTGGTTCTTAATCGGGGTGTTCATTAAAATGCCAGAAAACTGAAAATACTTCTAGGTCCCATCCAAGGAGATTTTGCTTCCGATTGACTGGCTAGTGGCCTGGCCATTGGTATTTTAGAAAAACCCTCCAAGTGATTATTTTACTTACATTCCAGATAGAAAACTCTAAATTAAAGGGGAAAAAAACAGACACAAAGTGGCATTTAAATAAATGTCAACTTTAACTCCACAAAGCATCTGATTGCATGTGGACAGAAAGAGAAGGAAAGAGGGCCCTATATCTGGATAACTTAGAAATGTGCTCCCCCTAGCAAGATATCTACCAAAATTAGAAACACATTTGAGGATGCTGGCACTGCGAGCAATATATAAATGATGCGTGTAATGTCATTTAATATGATCGTATTTTTAAAAATGAGTTGAGTGGTGTTTTCTAGCTGTTAGTTTTTCCAAATATCAATATAGAAATTAGTCTTCTGCAGCTGCAGAGGCAATTCAGTTTCCAGCTTGCTTTCACGGCCTAGAGCCATAAAGTGGCCCAGAGCATCTCTGATCCACCCCTCCCACAACCACCTAATCCAGAGACAACCGAATGCTTTGGACCATCTGATGAGAGAGGTAGCTGCATGGCAGTAAGAGTCCTGCTCTGAAGTGACAAGAGCCTTAAGGCCTGGTTTTGACTTACTGCTAACTTGCTCACACTGCATACTTGCTGAGTGATCTTGGGTGAATCGTTTCACCTCTCTGAGGTTCACTATGAAATGAGAGGTCAAGGGTCCAAACTTAAACACCTTCAGAGGTTGGGTAATATCAGTGAGTAAAATAGACCAGGCACAGCACAAAGGGGTATGGTGTGGACTGTGGCACGTTGAGAACTTAGGCCTCTGCAAAGGGGGCAGCCACCTCTCAGTTCCTGCAGATTACTCTATCTTTGCTGAGGACAGTTGCACAGGTAGTGCACTGCAGAAGGGTAACACTTTAGAGAAGGTGTCATTTGCATCATAAATGCAGATATTTATCCATGGCAGTTTCATGGAAGATGTCTGTAGAAGGTTTTGAGGAAGGGGCACCTTGTAATTTGCATAAAAGGTTGTATGGACCGCCAGAAGTGCTGGTTATCATGTGGGAATGCAGCTCGGTAACAGTATCTTCTGGGTTTTCTTGTTATTGTTGTTTCCTGAAGAAGCTGGAAATATGGCATTTAATGTGAAATTTTCCTAATTTAAAATTTGCTGGCAACAAATTCCAAAACATGTTTAACGTTGTGTGGGCCAAACAAAACACTTCAGGGGGTCTGATTCGGGCACTGAGTTGGAGATCTCTCACCCAGATGAGTTACTGGCATCTCAGAAACCCTCCTATTGTATGCATCTTATGTAATCTTGAAGCAATCACGAAGAAAAACTAATTACCCTGGTGAATTATATGGATATAATATGGATTATGTGGCTATACAAAGTAAGAGTGCATCCTTTGAATGATGGTATTTAACATTCTCCCTACCCTGTGACTAACTTTGATTTGTCCTTTCTTAATGTAAATGCTATTTCTCCAGAGAGAGCCTCCTAAGACTTTAATCTCACTTAGGTTCCCTCCGTTACACTTTCTTGAAAACACCTTATTCTCCTGAGTAACACCTATCAAAGTTACAGTATGAGATATCCACTGGCGTGAATGTTTGCTTAATGTCTGTTTGCTCACTCTTTGGTAGCAGCCATGTTTTGTTCACTGCTATATCCCTAGTGGGGATACGCCTGGTATATATCAGACGCTCAGTGTCGATTTATTTTTTATGTTTTTATTATTATTATCTTATCTTATTTTTTTTTCTGAGAAGGATTCTCGCTCTGTCACCCAGTCTGGAGTACAATGGTGTGGCCTCTGCTGCCTGCAACCTCCACCTCCCGGGTTCAAGTGATTATCCCACCTCAGCCTCCCGAGTAGCTGGGACTACAGGCACACGCCACCAAGACCGGCTAATTTTTGTATTTTTTTAGTAGAGACGGGGTTTCACCATGTTGGCCAAGCTGGTCTTGAACTCCTGACCTTAAGTGATCCACCTGCCTCAGCCTCCCAAACTGCTGGGATTACAGCCATGAGCCACCCTGCCCAGCCAGTGTAGATTTATTGAATGACAGATTCATCTCGACCCCACCAGGGAAGCTTCATTTCTTCTTGGCATTGCTGATCCGACCCTTGATGCCTAGAATTTGACTTCTAGGTTTTTTATTCTGGATGATGGCAGCTTTCCATGGCTGAGGATACCCCGTCACCCACACATCTCTCTGAGCCAGAGAAGAGACCCAGCTCAAACCCATGACATCCAAGACATCCATACTTGGCTTGCGGCTGAAGCCCCAATGGGTTGGGGTTGGGGGACTTGCATTTTGGGTAACATACACAGACACCTTCTCTGATAGAAAGTGGGTGCTGGGGGCATGGGGAGTGTTATCAGCACAGAATTAAATTCTGCCCCCGTATACCTATTTTACATTCTGATTTTATTTCATATGAGTTACAAAACCATTATTATGACAACTAATAGGCCAGCCCTCTTCCAAATTTATTGAAGAAATCTTGTTGCCTTCCAAGACAAATTGCACTTTTTGATGTTGAAAAGAATTCTGTAAGGATCATTCCTAAGTCCATAAAATATCAGCGAAAGCAGCTTGTTTTGCAAGGATCCCCATAGAAAGCAGCTGAGCTCAGAAAGAAGCTAATGATTGCGGGAGAAATTATGGGAGGAGAAGGGAAACCAAAATCACAGAAAGATAACTTCTCAAGGAGCACAAAAGAAAAAGAAAGGCTGGAGGAGAGAGAGGAAAGTTAAGGAAGAAAGAGGACTGTGGAGCATGTCGGAGGCAGACAGGATCAGGGGGATGGTGCTGGTCCAAAAATCCACCCGCGGTTCTTTGAGTCTCTGTCCGAGGCTCATGTTCAAGTCCAGCTGGAGGTACTGCTCAGTCAGATTATAAGCTGGCCACAGAGACAGGTCGTTCCCATTAGGATTCCTAGAAGGGAGAGCAGAAACAGGGGTGAGATTTTCCTCCTCACACCCCAGGCCTTGGCATGGGGGAGACCGGGAGGTTTACTTACCCGGTTCGAGCAAAGGTAGCCCAGTATTTCATCATCTTCCGGCTCAGTAACTTCTCCTCCTCCGTGGCTCCTTCTGAAGGAGATAATCACAAAATGCTGCTGCTCTGGGTGAGGCTCGGGAAGCCCCGGGTGCCTTGTATTTGATTAATCCTTTTCACACCCCTCCTCCCACTGTAAACTTACAAGCCTACCAAGTCACTGTACCCATTTTATACATGCAGATACTGAGGCTCAGAGCAACCGGGACCTGTCCAAGGAACTGTGGCTTCCGAATGGTGGAAGCTGAACACACATCTTCCCTGTCCACCCCGTGTTCCTGCAGCCAGTCCCATGAGGCTGCAGGTTCCCTGGGGACACAGACCAGCTTGCTCCCTCTCTCTGTCTCTGTTTTCTCCTCTGTCTCTCTTCCTTCTCTCCATCCTCTCTTCCTTCTCTCTCCCTATCTCTCCCTTCCATCTCTCTTCCCTCTTTTTCTTCTCTCTCTCCCTCTCTCTCCCCTCTCTCTTCCTTCCCTCTCTCTCTTCCTTCTTTCTCCCTCTCTCTCTCCCTTCTCTCTTTCTTCCCTCTCTCTGTTCCTTCTCTCCCTGTCTTCCCTCTCTCTTGCTTCTCTCTCTTTTCCTTCTCTCTCTCCCTCTGCCTCTCTCCTCCCACACACATTTTTACAATTAATTTTTGTATTTCTTTAATAAAAAGTAGAAAATCCAAAATGCAGAAAGAGATCTAATATCCAATGAAAATGTTTCCCTTTCATCTCTTCCCTGCAGATGCCCAGTGACGAGCCTCAGAGGCACTTTCCCAAAGACAGGCTCTGCAGGTACCAGGGTATAAGCGGACACCTTTCTACACATCTGGCAGGAGACTGGACACGTATTCTACATATTGCTCTTTTTATTAAAATTGATCTCATATATAGGACTTGTCACTTATCAAACTGCCATTTGTTGTTCTATGAGCATGTAATATACAAAAACATTTATATGCAATCATATATAAATATATAATGTATATGTCATATTTCCGATCTTTTGCTGGTAAAAGTAATATTTTAGTGTGCATATATACTTTTGCACATGTGGAAGTATAATTACACAAAAACACTAGAAGTAGAATTGCCAGGCTAAAAACTACATGCATTTTAATCTATGTTATTTATTTTTATAAAGATGGGGTCTCACTCTGTCACCCAGGCTGGAGTGCAGTGGCATGATCATAGCTCACCGCAGCTTCCAACTCCTGGGCTCAAGCAATTCTTCCTGCCTCAGCCTCCCAAAGTGATGGCATTATAGGCATGAGCCACCACACCTGGCTAAGACTACACACATTTTTTTTTATTTTGTAAAAATAAAAACAATTTTTGAGACGGGAGTCTCACTCTGTTGCCCAGACTGGAGTTTAGGGCCATGATCACAGCTCACTGCAGCCTCGAACTCGGGCTCAAGTGATCCTCCCACCTCAGCCTCCTGAGTAGCTGGGACTACAGGTGTGTGCCACCATGCTTGGCTAATTTTGTTTGTTATTATTATTATTATTTTGTAGAGAGGGGGTCTTACTATGTTTCCCAAACTGGTCTGGAACTCCTGGACTCAAGCAATCCTCCCGCCTCAGACTCCCAAAGTGCTGGGATTACAGGTGTGAGCCACCATGCCCGGCCTTACATGCATTTTAAATGTTGATAGACTTCTCTATTAATGTATAAAATTGTTTCTCACACCTGCTTGAATACATTATTTTAAGTGTTTTGTTTTTTTCAACCTTGATTGATGAAAAATAATTCCTTGCTAAGGATGGTCTGCAGTTTTCTTGTTATGAGGGAGGTTGAGTGGATGTTCGTATGTTTAGAAGCCACTTGTGTTTTCTTTTCCGTGAACTATCTGTTTCTATCTGTTACCCAGTTTTCAATTAGGTTATTCTTTTCTTATTAATTTTAGGAGCTCTTCAGACATCAAGGAATTTAACCTTTTGATACATATGTTGTTGACTTTTTCCAGTTTAGGGAGTCCATGTGCCATTACATAGTATGGGCTCAGGAATGGTTGCTGAGAAATAACAGTGACGTTTATTAGGTATTCACTCTTACTTTATGGGGCTTATTTTATTTAATCCTTATGACAACCTAGGAGGAAGTTCTTTATTATCTGTGTTGTGAGGATGAAAAACTGAAATAATGAATAACCCACAGTGCACAAATACACTCTATATGGAACGTTCTGTCCTCTTTGTCAAGAGGCCAGTGTGAATAAGTTAAGAGCCTGCATTGTGTAATGTTTCTAACTAAATATTTTAGTGATAACTCCTGTGTGTAATCTTCCCTGTAATTTTTTTCTATTGATAACCTCATCTGATTGGTTTATTTTAGGCACCAAATATGTCATAAACTTAAGAATAAATGAGCTAACATCACAAGTAACATTTCACAAGCATTTACAAAGCTCTTCTGGGTGCAGACCACTTTGAGCTGGAATTATGAAAAACATGGTCCTTGCCTCTTAAAGCCTCAGGTTGTGGCCTCATGGGATTTCTGGGAAGGGGAGGGAGGGTAAGACCAGTGGTCAAAGAAAAGGAAGAAAATGGTTCTAGTATATTAAAAAAAAAAATATTTAGATTGCTTGAGTGCCCTGAAGTGGCCAAACCTGTAGGTTTCAGTACAAAGAGAAGCCCTCATCAAGCAACTGTCATGGCACTTTTTCATCCTGGCTTCTAAAAATGGAAGGGAGGGCATTTTCCAGAGAAAGGTTGTGTCCGCCTATAAACCACAGAGGTAATTAAATGCCAACCCCGAAGTCCTCCAGGCGCTTGCATCGTGGTGGGGTAAGCAAGGGGCTTCATGTGAACTGTGGGAAGTGGCCAGTCCCTTACCGAACATAACAATGTCCCCCTTCAGGAAGGCACCACCGAACACAAAGCGGACTTCATCAGCGTGGTCGGCTTTGACAAAAGCTGGCTTCGTGTCTTCAAAGCACTGAGGCCGGTGCCGAAACTCATAGAAGTAGACAGGTGCACCAGCATCTGACAAAAGGTCAGGGAAGGTCAGGCATGCATGCAGCGCGGAGCAGGGGGCTGGCTCTGTGTCCCCACCTATCAAGTCTTGGATGTATAGACCCAGGGGTGGGACAGCTCAGAGACAGCTCACTTCCCCCTTCCTCATTTGAGGCTGGAATTTCCTGCTACAGCAGTGCTCATATCCCTAGTGATGAAGAGCTCACGTCTGAGAAGGCAGTAGTTCTGCTTCTCAAAAGAAGTCCTCTATATTCAGCCAAGATCTACTTTGTTGGGACTTTCTCTCAAAGTTCAAGTCTTTTACCCATTATTGGAAAATACTTTCTTTTCATTACTGAACTGTAAGGGTTCTTCTATTCTGGATATGATTATTTTGTCAAATAATTGTACTATGAATATTTTCTTCCAGTCTGTGGTCTGCCTTCTCATTTTCTTAACAATATTTTTAAAGCAAAATGTACATAAGTGAAATCTGCCCCTTGAACCATTTTAAAGTATATAATTCAGCGGTTTTTAGTACATTTAGGATGTTGTGCAACTATCACCACTATTTAGGTCCAGAACCTTTTCATCACCCCAAACAGAAACCTCAGACCCATTTAGCAGACACTCCCCATTGGCCCCACTTCTCAGCTTCTGGAAAACACAATTCTACTTTCTGTGTCTATGGCTTTGCCTAATCTGAACATTTCGTATAAATGGGATCATACAACATGTGGCCCTTTGTGCCTGACTTCTTTCACTTAGCAAAATGTTTACAAGGCTCATCTGTGTTGTAGCATCCGTCCGTATTTCATTTCTTTTTATGGCAAAATGATAATCCATTGTAAGTATATACTGAATTTTGTTTATCGATTCATCAGTTGATGAACATTTGGGTTTTAACCATTTTGACCTATAATGAACAAGAGTGCTATGAACATTCATATACAATTTTTGTTTGAACGTCAGTTTTCAATTATCTTGAGTATATCCCTAGGACTGGATTTGCTAGGTTATATGGAAACTCTACGTTTACCTTTTTGAGGAACGGCCACAACTTTTTTCCACAGTGGCTGCACTGTTTTATGTCCCCAGCAGCAGTGTATGAGAGTTTTGGTTTCTCTATGTCCTTCACACTTGTTCTTACTCCTTTTCTTTTTAAAAAAATTATAGCCACCCTAGTATATGACACATGCAAAAGAATAAAGGTAGATTCTTCCCTCATAGTATATAGAAAAACTAACTCAAAATGGATCAAAGACCTAAATGTAAAACTAAAACTGTAAACCTCTTATAAGAAAATATAGTGGTAAATTTCCATACCCTTGAATTTGGCAGTGGATTCTTATATATGACACCAAAACCACAACCAACAAAAAAGTGAATGAATTCTATTTCATCAAAATTAAAAACTACTGTGCAACTTTTGTACATTATCAACAGAGTAAGAAGGCAACCCGGCAACCCACAGAATGGGAGAAAATATTTGCAAGTCATATATCTCATAAGGGATTAATTTCCACAATATATAAGGAACTCTTAAAACTCAGCAACAAAAAACAACTCAATTCAAAAATGGGCAAGGGTCTTAAACGTTTCTCCAAAAACATATATACAAATGTCCAATAAGCACATGAAAAGATGCTCAACATCTCTAATAATTAGGAAAATGGAAATGAAAACCATAATGAGATACTACTTCAAACCCATTAGAATAGTCATTATTTAAAAAACAACAACAGAAGAAAATAACAAATGTTGGTCAAGATGTCGAGAAATTGCACCCCTTGTGCATTGCTGGTAGTAATGTAAAATGGTGCAGACACAGTGGAGAACAACATGACAGTTCTTCAAAGAAATTAAACATAGCATTACAGATGATCCAGAAATTCTACCTCTGGCATATACCTCAAATAACTGAAAACAGGGACTTGAACAGATATTTCTACAACTATGTTCATTGCAGCATTATAGCCAATAGGCAAATGTAGCCAATAGCCAATTGTTCCTTGCACAATAGCTGAATGGTGGAAACAACGCAAATGTCCATTAATGAATAAATGGATACACAAAATGTGATATATACATACAATGGAACATTAGTCAGCCTTAAAAAAGGAGGAAATTCTGATGTATAGTACAGCATATAGGAATCCTGAGACCTTATGCTACGTGAAATAAGCCAGACAAAAGGACAAATATTGAATGATTCAACTTACATTGAGTAACTAAAGTCACTAAAGTAACTAAAAAGTCAGTCATAGAGACAGAAAGTAGAATGGTGGTTATTGGGGTCTGGGGGAAGGAAGGGTGGGGAGTTATTTTTAATAGGTACTGATTTTCAGTTTGGGATGATAAAAACGTTCTGAAGATGTATAGCGGTGATGGTTGTACAACAATATGAATGTACTTGATACCATTGAACTATACACTTAAAATGGTTAAAATGGTAAATTTTTTATTAAGCATATTTAACTACAATTTTTAAAATGTAAAAAAGAGTATGCCATTTCATTTATAAATATTTGTGAATTTTCCAGATTTCCTTTTGTTATTGATTTCTAATTTCATTGCCTTGTGGTCGAAGAAGATACTCTGCATGATTTCCATCCTTTTACATTCATTGGGATTTGTTTGGTGATCTAACATATGGTTTATTCTGGAAGATGTTGCATGTGCACTTGAGAAGAATGTGGAATCTAATGTTATGGGGTGGAGTATTTGGCTGCATTTAAAATAGTTGATTTAAAGTCGATTACTTTAGGAGTTCCATTACTCCTTATAGCTGTAATGTTTGTTCCATTACTACGTATGGCTAAGATGTTGGGGAAGACATTTCTAGAAAGAAAAAATCCTTGGGGATGGCGCCCAGAAAATTATAGGGAGATGAGAATTTTATACATGGTCCTGAAGAAGGGGAAGAAACAGAAACAACTGATCAACATCCCCAAACTCTGAAAGGCAGGTGAATGACGCAGGTCCCCATGGCATGTTTCCATCCAGGCACACCTGGAAATGCACTTTCCATGATAGAACAGAGGCAGAGAAGGCAGCCGCTCAGTAGACAATATGGATTTCCGTGGCCACCAGCCTCACTGGGCTATGGTCCTGGAGCGGGATGCTCAGATACTCACCTCTGTGATATCGAGCTGTGATCAGTGCAGGGACCACAAAGAACACATCTCCAAGCAAGTCCAGAAGACTGTCTCGGATTTCAGTCAGGGAGTGCTTGTCATGGAAGTATTCATTAGCCACAAGGTGCAAATACTGAGGCGGGATGTGCTGTAAAAATATCGTAGTCCTAGGAGATCCAGGTCAACCACAATGGCCAACACGTTAAACACTCACCTGTGCAGGTATGATTCTGAATGCTTTACCCACATTGCTTCATTTAACCCACACAGCAACCCTATGATGCAAGTATCAAAACTAGCCCTGTTTCACAGATTAAGAAACTGAGGCTTAGAGAGGTGAAGTGGTTGGGTCCAACTGGAAGAACCATGATTCTTTCACAAGTCTATTTGCATCCAAATCCCATGCTCCTGACCACAGGCTTCTCTCTCATGTCTCAGAATGAGTCACTTCTGGGCAGAACTGGCTGCATCATCGTGGAGCTCAGTGCAAAGTAAAAACATAAACTGCTTGTTCAAAAAATCATTAAGAATTTCAAGATGGTAACAGCGGAGCACTAAACCAAATGTAGGACCCTTCTGAGCAACAAGGTCCTCTGTGACTACACGGGCAGAACATCCATGAAACCAGCCCTGTTCCTGGTACCAGTGCTGCCTCCAGCCCTTAGCTATTATCTTACCTAAGCTAGTTGGTCTCTTGGAGCCTCAGTTTCCTCCTCTGTAGGGATGTGGAGGATTATATGAGATGTGAAGAGAAAAGTATGCTGCTTGCCCCAGAGCAGTTCTTTAGTCCTGTTGTTTCCCCTGGGCCCCATTGCTGAGCGCCTTAATAGGACATTCGATGCTTCTCTGACCTGGCACCAGCCTGCCTCCCAGGCTTCTCCCTCTCAACTTTCCCTAGGCACTAATGGCAGAGAGTGCATGGTAAATTCCATGAAGATTCAGGGATCCGGTGCTCTAGGAAATGCTGGAAAGGTGTTGCAGCTCAAACCCCTACCACTAAGACAGCAGCCCTTGATGGGTTTCTTTGGAATTTGGAGGCAAGGAAGTGTACACCACATTGGGGAATGCTGCTCAGACTCGTTTATTGGGTCCTCAGGAGGCTGGTGGTTTTTAATCAGGCCAGAGCAAGGGAGGCCTCTGCAGTAGGTCCAGTCTATGGTATAAGGGCCTGGCCTCTTTGGCCATATAGCCAGCAGACTCCATGGTGCTGGTGATGTCCAAGGTGGGTATAGATGCTATGTGGAGTCTCAGGTGAGTCCTCATAGGACAGTCAGCGTGCAAAATCCTAGGGTTCTGGGGTAAGACTATGACTTCTGCATCAGAGAACTACTTACTGTTTAAAAAGCAGCCCCTAGCATGCTACTGTGCCTAGGAGAAACACATGCCCTTCCATTCCTCTTGCACTTTCCCGCACAGCCTACTTCCCACTCTACTTGAAATGTCCTTCTGCTCAGTTGTTCCCCTCACCTATGGCTTAGATCAATGAGCATCTTCTCCATGAGGCCATCTCCAATCCACCTGAGAATTCCACTGTATAACTTATATCATCAATATCTCTCAAACCTTAGTCCCAATTCATCATCAGACAGCTGCAACTCGTCAAACATCCCTCCACCAAGGGGGCCTGAGGGATATCTGCCTGTAGTGTTTCTTTTTTTTTTTTCTTTTTTTTTTTTTGAGACAGAGTCTCTCGCTCTGTTGCCCAGGCTAGAGTACAGTGGCGAGATCCTGCAGCTTCAAATTCCCAGGCTCAACAATCCTCCTGCTTGGCCTCCCAAGTAGCTGGCACCACAAATGCACACCACCAGGCCTGGCTAATTTTTTTATTTTTTGTAGAGACAAGGTCTCCCTGTGTTGCCCAGGCTTTTCTTGAACTTCTGGGCTCAAGCAATCCTCCTGCCTTGGCCTCCCAAAGTGCTGGAACTGCAGATGTGAGCCACCATGCCCAGTTTCAGAGGGCTTTTTCTAAAATAGAAATCAAATGTCCTTCTTCCTTCTGTTCTCAGTCTTTAGGATGAAGTCTATGTTCATTACATAGCTTACAACAGCTGAAAGCATTCTCTCCTGCTGCAGCCAACCCTCAGCTGATCTCTTCACACCCCTCTGCTCCCAGTTGGTCCTCTTGGTTCTTCCCAGTTTCTCCACCCACCCCTTCCATCACCAGACAAGCTCCATTAATCCTCCAAATCCTTCTCCCCAAGAGAGCTGCCTGTCCCCTCCTGTGGGCACCACAGAGCCTTGGACATCCCTGTGCTTCCTGTGTACTGTATTGAAGTGTCTTGTCATCTCTGTCCACCCCACATTGCACCCCAGTGCCCAGGGAAGTGCAGGGGCATGTGGACTCTCACTACACATGTGTTCCATGGACAAGTGAACAAAATGAACATCGGCACTGAGTCCATACTGAATAAACGTTTATGGAAAAAGAGGAAGATGGAAAAAGGAGAAAAGAAAGGAAGGAAAACAATCCATCTCTATATCCTAGTGTCTAGAGTAAGATCAGATACTGCTAAGTTTGTGCAGTGAATGAATGAATTAGTGATGGAACAATAAATGAGTGAATGAACGAGTAAATGACTGGTCTTGCAGAACCTGGCCTGATGCCTGGCTGGTGTGTAGTGAATACAGATCCCCAGTCCCATGTGTGTTTCAGCATTCAGAGCTTTTCAGACTGTAGGTAGATAATGCAGCACCTATGCTGCGTGTTATGACACAGGCTCAGGGTGGGGGAAACACCCCAACACCCACATTAATGCATCCACAGAGAAACATCTGAATAGTGGGATAAATAAAATGAATAAATGTGTGGGAACAAAAATGACTGATAGCCACAAATCAGTCAAGGTCTGGTTCGGCTGCTGGGTGGGTTACAAAAAGCCTCTGGGTTTTTGGAGCTCTTCCAGGTCGGGGATTGTGGATTGGGTTTGTGGGACTATTGATATAGTTTCGACCTGTGTCCCCCACCAAATCTCATGTTGAATTGTAATCTCTAATGTTGGAGGTGGGGCCTGATGGGAGGTGATTGGATCGTAGGGGCAGTTTCTCATGAATGGTTAGCACCACCCCTTTGGTGCTGTTCTCATGATAGAGTTCTCATGAGATTTGGTTGTTTAAAAGTGTGTGGCACCTCCTCCCTCTCTCTCTTCCTCCTGCTCTGGCCATGTAAGACATGACTTCTTCCCCTGCACCTTCCACCATGATTGTAAGTTTCCTGAGGCCTCCCGAGAAGCTGAGCAGATGCCAGCATCAAGCTTCCTGTACAGCCTGCAGCATCATGAGCCAATTAAGCCCCTTTTCTTTATAAATTACCCAGTCTCAGGTATTTCTTAATAGCAGTGCAAGAGTGGACTAATACACCTATGCTTAGTAAAGGTCTATTGAATGACTGAGTGAGTGAGGAGTGTCTGTGCCCTTGGCTTCTCCTGCTGAGTGTGACCTAGGGCTATCTGTTAAGTGCATGTGTCTCTGGAGTACTGCAGCCTCCCAAGCTACTCACCAGGATGTTTTGTATCAGATGGAGGGCAAGGGACTTGTTGGAGCCACTGAGGATCTCAGGAGCCTCCTTCTGTGGAGAGAAGCGTGCCCTCTGTAAGCCATCTGGTCATGAGAAGGTAAACCCATCTCCCCAAGGGCCTGGGCAGCTGACTTTCACAGGGGAAGTTGGATAAGGAGCCCTCAAGCCCAAGCAGCCACATGTGGAAGTGGCCTCAGTGTGCTTGTCAGATAGTTAATTTCTTCTCACTTTTGATAAAAGGCAGCTGTTCCTTGTCATTCCACCTGCAGCCTTGTGGGGCCCAAGTGGCCACCTTGTGGGAAGGCTCCCATTATGGGCTTAATTGTGGCCCCCTCAAAATTTACACGTTGAAGCCTTAACCCCCTGCAATTCAGAATGTGACTATTTGGAGTTAGTACTTTTAGAGGGGTGATTACATTAAAATGTGGCTGTTAGAGTGGGTCCTAATCCAATCTGGCTGATGTCCTTATGAGAAAAGAAAGTTTACACACACAAAGCGGTATCAGCACCTTGACCTCGGACTTCCAGTCCCTAGAACTGTGAGAACATGAATGTCTGTGGTGTAAGCCTCCCAGTCTATGGTATTTTATTATGGCAGCACTGACTGCCTGAGAGGCCCCAACTTGGCTTTGACACCAAGTTCAAAGAGAAGCCAGAAAATTTCCAAACTGGTGTTTGTTGTTCTCCTTCTAAAGACCTTTGTGGGTGGGGCCACAAAGAAGAGAAGCCACAGTGGGAGGTCAGGCAGTGGCTGAAAACACAGGCTCCCTGAGCTGCCCTCAACAGCTGAGAACTTGGCAAGGGACTCAACTCTTCCTGCCTCAGGCTCCTCATCTGTAAGATGGAGTTTGCAACAAGTACCTCCCGCGAGGGTGGTGATGAGAACTGAGCGAGTTGATATTTGTAAAGCTCTTACAATGGTACTTGGTATGTAGTAAGTGCTTCCTGTGATTATTTGTTAAATTACCACTTTCTGGCAAAATTACCGCTTTAAAATGTGAGGCAGCAGAAACGCTATCCACTTGACAAATGAATTTTCTTGGTATGTTTTCTGCTGAAAATCTTGGGGTAATGATTCACTAGGGCTGATACCTAAATGAATACTAGGGCAGTACCTGCCTCCTGGAATCTCAGGGAATCCTCAGAGTCATTTAAATTATCCACAAGCATATTTTAACTACTAAAAACCTTATCTGTACATTAAGGAGCTGGGATTTGTTTCTTGGGGATTTCCTGTGGCCTCTAACAGCTAGCAAGGGGTTTAACTGCAAATTCACATGGAATTTCAGCACCCACACAGGCTTTTGAACTCTGCAAATTCTGTCACTTGAATAACTCCAATATCTAGCATTTACTGAGCACTGACTATATGCCAGGCTTTTTGATGTATACCTGTGAGGCAGGTGCTAAGATTAGCCCTATTTCACAGATGAAGGAATGGAAGCTCAGAGAGGGTGGGCAACTCCCCTAATATCACACAGCAGGTAAACAGAGAACTCGATATTTAAAGGGAGAGCCTAGGCTGGGTACCAGCCCATGCCTGTAATTCCAGCACTTTGGGAGGCCAAAGCAGGTGGATCACTTGAGGTCAGGAGTTGGAAACCAGCCTGGCCAACATGGTGAAACACTGTCTCCACTAAAAATACAAAAAAAAATTAGCTGGGCATGGTGGTGGGTGCCTGTAATCCCAGCTACTCGATAGGCTGAGCCAGGAGAATCACTTGGACCCAGGAGGTGGAGGTTGCAGTGAGCCAAGATCCACCACTGCACTCCAGCCTCAGCAACAGAGAGAGACTCTGACTCAAAAATTAAATTAGATTAAATTAAATTAAAAAGGCAGAGCCTAAATGCATAAAAATTATACACCCCTGTCTCCTTACTAGCCAGGAGATGTTAGAAAGCCACTTTAGCTGCTCTGAGCCTCAGTTTCTTTAAAATAGGGAAAATCATGCCTGTTTTCAAGTTGTTGCTTGGACAGCCTGTGCTTGGCACTGGAAGGCACTGGGGAACTGGTTACAGTAGTTACAGTGGTGATTGTCATCACTAGCACCTGCCTTCTTCTTTCTAACACACACCCAGAAATCACTGAAAGGCCTTACTTAAGCCATGAACTGCGATTCAGTGGCCTCGTCTGCAACATGAGGACAAAAATCCCTAGTCCCACTTCAAAACATTGCCCTGGAGGTCAAATTAATAATGGCAGAACATGCTTTCACAACTCAATGAACTTGAGACTGGTTCTAGACAGCCAACAACTAGCTTTGTAATTTGACAAACCTCTTTATTTCTTAACCCTATTTCCTCCAGCTTAAAATAAGGAGGCCAATCTATATAAATGAGCTTCAACAGTATTAGGAATTTGAAGTCTCCACTCCTCTGAGGACAGATGAAAAGTTTATTTCCAATGAAGAGAGTCTTCCTATGCCACGGAATCAAAAAATCATGGGTCTTTCCCAGCACCTGGGCCTCAGCTCAACAATCACTCCCTAGAAGAGCGTTTCCTGACCACCTGTTATCCTCCCTAAAGATACCTTCTCTCCTCACTTGTGTCCTTCATATATCTATCACTCTCTGAAATCATCTTCTCAATCTCGTGTCTTATCTGTCTCTCCCCACCAGAGTGTAAGCTCCCAGAAAGCTCATATGCTCAGTTTTTGTAAGCCTCTAATAAATGCTCAGTACATACTTGTTGAAAAAATAAAATGATTTAACAATTTTGCAGCTTATGCAACCTTAGCATTCAGGGATGTCAAAATGCCAGAACCAAGGCTGGATGTGAAAAATTTGAAGGACTGAAGTTTTTCAAACCTATCTGAATGTCAGCTCTGAAGTGGTAACTGCATTTTTTGGAAACAATCATTTATAATACTGTTTGAACAAAGACCAAATGGACCGATCCCCTCTTTCCTTTTTATACAGTTGTTTCTTCCGCCCTAAACCTCATTACATGAGAAGCAAGGCAGACACTTGCTGTGACTGTCCCGGTCCTCACTTGCCCTCTTTCAGAGAGAGTAAAGGTGATCACTGTGTGCTTGGCTGGTGGGCTCCAGCACTTACAATACCTGATGTCTTCTGTGGAAATGCCCAGCTGTTGAAGCCAAAGCTGCATCACGGTTTGAGGGAGTGGCAGTATGGACAGCCAGAATTCTTACCATAGGCAGCAGGAAGCCACACTCGTGGTTATTGACTCCGATGATGGAAGGAATTGCTTTAAATGCTTTCTGAGACAATAGATCTAGAGGCTCATTAGGAAAGAAAGCACCATCAACCACTCGAGTGAAAGACTTTGTTTTCTGTAATAAGGAAGAAAAAAAAATCATCAGCTATCATCAGCTATTTCTGTTCACAAAATCTGCTGTCCCAAATCCTGGCCAAGAAAAGCCAACCCAGTCTAGCACTGGCTTAAATGCACTTAAAAAGTAAAAACAAACACTATGGGCCCAGCTCAATATATCAGTCCCTGGAAGCTCTGCCATGTACTTGGGTGAGGGGGCTAAACTTGTCTGTGCCTTATTTTCTCATCTGCTAAATGGGAATAATAATAATATCTACCAAGAAAAACAGTGGCCTGTTATATGGTTTGGCTGTGTCCCCACCCAAATCTCAAATTATAGCTCCCATAATTCCCACATGTTGTGGCAGGGACCTGGTGAGAGGTAATTGAATCATGGGGGCAGGTCTTTCCCATGCTATTTGCATGATAGTGAATAAATCTCATGAGATCTGATGGTTTTATAAAGGGGAGCTCCCCTGAACAAGCTTTTTTTTTGCCCACCACCATGTAAGATGTGCCTTTGCTCTTCCTTCACCCTCTACCATGATTGTGAGACCTCCCCAGCCATGTGGAACTGTGAGTTTATTAAACCTCTTTCCTTTATAAATTACCCAGTCTCAGGTATGTCTTTATTAGCAGCATGAGAAGAGACTAATATAGCCTAGCCCAGAGATTCTCAAAGTGTGGTTCCTAGACCAGCAGCATCAGCATCATCTGGGAACTTGTTATAAATGCACATTCCAGGCCCACTTCAGGCTCCTCAATAAGAAACTCTGGGGTTGGGGTGTATAGCCCAGGAACCTTCTTGTAGCTGGTCCTCCAGGTGATCCTGATGCATGTTTAAGTTTGAGAACCACTGGCCAAATGCAAAGGGAAAAATGGTGGTAGATGAAGTGGTCAGGACTGTAGGGGTTGTAGGAGACTGTAGGTGTCTCCCTGAGACACAGTGCCTTGGACATGCCTGGATATTTTTTGGGTCTCAGAAAGCAACACTCAGCCCTAGTCATGGTTTCTTTAGGTTTCTGTTTTGAGATTTGGGTAGAAAGGAGCACATGGAAGAGTTCGACACATCAGGTCCAGGACTTATTATCCATTTCACTGAGTCTAGCATGGCTCAGAGTGGACATTCAGTACACACCACATAACTAGCAAATATTGAAATCTGAAAGATAATGATCTTGTCCATTCAAAGACTGTCATCAAAGGCTCTCAAGATTGGAAGGGACATAAAAGATCACCCGGTCCAATTAACTGTCACTGATTGAAAGTTTGTCAGCAGTCAGCTAGATTTTGCTTGAATACCTGGAGAGGTGGGCATCTCACTACCTTCTAAAGGAGCCCAGTCCTTTTCCAGACAACTGAGGTCTTGGAAGGTTTTCAGTTACACAAAACTAAAATGACTTCCTAATAGAACTTCCAGCTCCTGATTTTGACTTCAGCTTCTGGAAGCATGCATAACAAGTGTGGTCCTTCTCTCCAGTGAGATGCTTTCAGGGACTTAGAGACAAGCCTTGTACTTTGCTGAATCTTCTCCAGGCTAAGTTGAACCCCTGCCCCAACAATTTTCTTAAATTACCTACAAGGGTTCTATATCCCTACTTATTTTTTTACAGCTGTTACCAAGTACCTCAATCCTCCTCTTTTCTATGTTCCAAATTCAAATAAATAACAGAGGGGTAGGATTTGTTCATCTCTCCGTTCGAAGGGCAAGCCTGCCCCCAAAACTGCCCCCTCTGTCCTCACCTGGCTGAGGGTCAGCAGCTCCTTGGAGGGTTTTGTCCTCAGGCACCTCAGCAGGGCCTCAGAGTCTGACGCATTGTTACCACAGAAATGTGCAACCACCTGCAGCTATTTTGTAGAGAAGGACCGGGTTAGAGCATGATATTGAAAGCATCTAGGAAAATGAAAGCTTGAAAATGCCCTCCAATCAGCCACAGGCTGGCCCTCCATATATGAGTCCATCCTGCTAACACTGCCTAGACCCACACCCCTATAATTGAAGGTGCACATGGTGGACAGTTTCCCACTGCATCACCCTCAGTCTCTTGCCTGGCTCTCCTTGTCATCTTTAGTAAACACCACAGCTGGAGATGGGAGTTTGTCAGTCTGTGGCTGTGGAATGGAATCAAGATTCCTGGTCACAAAGAGATCAGTCCTGTGAGCTTGGCTGCATTGGTATTTTGCCCCTCTGGAGTCTAGAAGCCCAACCTTGAGGTGCTGAATGAAGACAAACACCAAGAGTGAGGAGCAGCTTTGGAAGCTCCTTCATTGTCAGTACAGGCAGGACTCCAGATCAGATTCTCAGCTTGTCAGCCCTGCCCAAGCCCCAGGCCCACTCACAGCCTGGAATGTCCTACCTGTCTTTTTCCCTGCCTCTATACCAATCCTTTTCATTCTTTAAGGCCCAACTCCTTCCCTCCACGATGTCCTTTCAGGGCATTGCAGCCCCCAGAAACCCCTTCCTCATCCAATCTCCTATAAGCTCGATGTTCCCCACCTTCCATGCCTGGCCCATTGCTGAACATCTGCTTTCCTTGTCACTGAACCTCCATATTTGTAGAACTCACTCCCTGAAAGTGGTGGTTCTTAATCTTCTGGGAGTCATGGATACTCTGAGAATCCAGTCAAAGTTACAGACCCTCTCCCTGGGAAAACGTGCAAGCATGTGGAGTCTGGTACAGTTGTGGAACCGCTTCCCAAACCTATCCATGGATTGCAGGATTTAATCCTATCCATGGATAGGTGATAAAAAGATTATATTGCCCTCAAATTTAGGATGTGCTTTCTCCACTGATAAATCCCAAAGTTCTAACAGAGCAGGGAAAATAGTGGGCACTCAGTGATGTGTGTCAAATGAATAAATATATGCCCAAACTGAAAATAGCTTTATGGAGAATGTTACCAAAATCAATATTTCTGTGTATTGAGGGAATTTTTTTAAATTGCATAACTCTATGTTTCTGCTCTTGGTATATACTGTTATTTTCTGTAAGATGTTTAAGAAAATTTACCACAAAAATGATTTATACTCAAGAGATGGCTGCACAGCCCAGTGCTTAATTAATATGCATTGAATGAAACAGCTCATTCATTAACTCATTCATCCGGAACACTTATGGCTGCCTGATATATACCAGGTATTATGCTGGGGGCCTGAAGGACAGAGAGATCCTGGTCTCTAGGGCATCACTATCTAGTAGATAATTAAGACAAGAGACAGATGACAAATATCGTGGGATAGATGCCCCTTATAATCCCATGCCAGACAACGTGAATCAGTCACAGCATTATTTCCCACTGAGCTGGAAACAGCCTCTGAATCTTTCTTAACATAATGCCCTGGGTATTCATTCCCAGTAGAGTAGCGTAGGCACAGAAGAACTGTATAGAATACAGGGGACTGACTTATCTATCACAAGCAAAGAATAACGGGTAAGACATAAGAACCATAACGCACATACACACACACTTGTGCACACCAGTGGTGTGGCATTGTGTAGCTAGACCCATTTCCTGTTGAACCAGACCTTTCACGGAGGAACAAGGTTCACCTTGGGCCAGCATGAGGTGCCTTGGGCATGGTCACTAAGGAAAGCCAAACACATGGTGAGAAGGTGCCTGACCACATTCTCTGCTAACTGAGGAGAGGAAGGTGGCAAGGTGTTAACAGTATACGTACGTCCTCACTCTTCTCATAATCATGGGCCTCCAGGTAAGGGATGATGGCCACCCCACTCTCCATGATGGCTTTGTGGAATAAGCCTTTGGCCATGGGAGACAGTATCTGGAGAGAGAACACAGAAGACCCAGGAAAGGTTACTCCCCACCAACACACATACCATTCATCCCTCTTCAAAGAAACCTTCCCAGGAAGCCTCCTTAAAAGCTCTAAGCTTAGAGGGGAAAAAAGCCCTGGTTTAGGGGTTAAAGGACTAGCTGTGAAGGTTTGGGCAAGTTACTCAACCTCTCTGAGCCCCTGGTTCTTCATGGACTTTGATGTCAAATGTTCAGGCATGTGATTTCTAGCTCCTTCACTTTCTACCTAGGTAACCTCGGACAAGTTGCTTAATATTTTTTTATTTCTTTTTATTTCTTTTTTTTTTTTTTGAGATGGAGTCTCGCTCTGTGGCCAGGCTGGAGTGCACTGGCGTGATCTCACCTCACTGCAACCTCCGACTCCCAGGTTCAAGTGATTCTCCTGCCTCAGCCTCCAGAGTAGCTGAGATTACAGGTGCGCACCACCACGCCCAGCTAATTTTTGTATTTTTAGCAGAGACGGGATTTCACCATGTTGGCCAGGATAGTCTCAATCTCCTGACCACTCACCTCAGCCTCCCAAAGTGCTGGGATGACAGGCGTGAGCCACCGCACCCAGCCAAGTTGCTTAATATTTCTAAGTATCGGTTCACTCCCCTGTAAAACTGGAGTAAAAATTTAGCCCGTATCACAAAACTGTTGTGAGGAGCAGGGGAGGTAATAAACATAGAACTCTTCACAGAGGTTCTGGTCAAATTTTGCTCATGAAATAATGGTTGTTATAATATATGAAAAGTTAGGTTAATATAATCCACCTTAGAAGGTAATTTTGAAGATGTAAAAAGACCACATATATTGTCAAGTGCTATTCAGCAGAAGCTCTCTTAACTCACCACCATGTTACTGATTTCTGCAATTAACCTGCCAACTGATGCCAAGGAAATGCTGACCATTCTGAGCCAGTGGACCATTTTCTAACACCTCTGTACATTTCTCTTCTCACCAGTTTCTTGCCAAGAATCAGGTGTGTTTGCTTCCAAACCTGTTTTGTCAATTTCACTTGTTATTGTAATTACACAATCAATGAAATATCATGAGAACAAATGAACTGTATGTGTACAAAGAAAATCAAATTATGTCTGGAAAAAAAATTCTTGATAAAGGATGGCTAAAAAAATATTGCTGTCAGGCCAGGCATAGTGGCTCACGCCTGTAATCCCAGCACTTTGGGAAGCCAAAGCAAGAGGATCACTTGAGCCCAGAAGTTCAAGACCATCCTGGGCAATATAGCTAGACCCCATCTCTAAAAAAATTTTAAAAAATAAAAAAAAAGAATTAGCTGGGCATGGTGGCGCATGCCTGTAGTCCTAGCTCCTTGGGAGGCTAAGGCAGGATGATTGCCTATGACCAGGAGTTTGGGCTGCAATGAACTATGATCGCCCCACTGCTTGCCAGCCTGGGCAACAGAGTGAGAACTTGTCTCAAAAAAAATATTGCTGTCACCGGACACGGTGGCTCACGCCTGTAATCCCAGCACTTTGGGAACCCAAGGTGGGCGGATCACCTGAAGTCGGGAGTTTGAGACCAGCCTGACCAACATGGAGAAACCCCATCTCTACTAAAAATACAAAATTAGCTGGGCATGGTGGCACATGCCTGTAATCCCAGCTACTCAGGAGGCTGAGGCAAGAGAATTGGTTGAACCCAGGAGGCGGAGGTTCTGGTGAGCCTAGATTGCACCATTGCACTCCAGCCTGGGCAACAAAAGCGAAACTCCATCTCAAAACAAAACAAAACAAAAAAACCATATATGTGTGTGTATGTATATATATAAAATACACTATACAAATATATAGATATAGATATAGATATATAGATAAACATCTCTCTATTTATATTGCTGTCAAATTGTGTGTGGACAAGAAAGGAGTAAAATATTTGCAGGAAAAGTATACAAATCCCAAATGCGCTAAAGTCAGACTGCTTTGCAGGCATCTTTAAGTTTGCGCCCACTGTAAAGAAACTGAAACTGCAATTTGAGGACAGTGAATTTTGCAGGTGGTTTATGCAAGACAATCCATGTTGGAAATCGAGTCAGCAGACCAACTCTGCAAACATAAGGCCCTGTATCAAACTGTTGGTGAGGGAATATACATTTTATGGTTTAAATTAAAATAAAATATTTACATGTATCTTTTGGCATTTCATGTCTTAGCTGAGTTTCCTATTAAACAAGTGATTACCATTCTGGCAATTGAATACTAGGGTTTCTCCTCTACAAATATAAGGGATTTTTCCTCAAATTATTACTCACTATGTGACCTTAGGTGATTTATTTAAACTTTCCCAGTGACAGCTGTCCTGTATGTGAAATGAGACTGAGCCCCTAACTCATAATGTGTTGTGAGGCTTGAAAAAGACAATGTGTATTAAAGGGTTTGTTCAACATGAAGGCAACAATCAAATGTTAGTGACTCATCATCATTTTTGGAACCTCCGGCACTGAGATTCATTCAAACCACAAAGCAGAGAACTCACAAGACTAGAAACACTTATGGCTCCCGCGGACTCGCCAAAGATGGTCACAGAGCTGGGGTCCCCACCGAAGAACTCGATGTTCTTCTGGACCCAGGACAGAGCAGCCACCTGGTCCTTGAAGGCCCAGTTCCCCGGAGCATGCTGATCCCATGTGCTGAGGACAAGAGGCAGGGTGAGAATTCTTGGTCAGCCATGGTGTGTTTCCCACAGCCCTGGAAGTTCTCAGCAGAGGCTGTGGGCAGGGGTCAGTGGGGAGGGGGCGGAGAGTCAGAGGCCTGGAGGAGCTGGGGAAACCGGACTCAGTTCTCACACTTTGCTGAGATTTGGATTTCTTTGAGAATTTGATGAAAGCTATGCACCTAAGAAAAATGCACATTCAATATTGTAGCTGCAATTTCAAGTATTCACAGGTTCCTCAGAATCCATGAATCCCAATCCATGAATCCTGTGTTGCCCAGGCTTGTCTGGAATCCATGAATCCATTCCTGAGAGGTGATCTGTACTAGAAAGCAAGAAGTTTCCTGGGCACAGAATTTTCCATGAAACTAAATTAATAGTAGTCACAATAACAATTAACAGGCCAGGCACGGTGGCTCATGCCTGTAATCCCAGCACTTTGGGAGGCCGAGGCGGGCAGATCATGATGTCAGGAGATCGAGACCATCCTGACTAATATAGTGAAACTCTGTCTCTGCTAAAAAAAAAAAAAAAAAAAATACAAAAAAATTAGCTGGACACGGTGGCAGGCGCCTGTAGTCCCAGTTATTCGGGAGGCTGAGGCAGGAGAATGGCTTGACCCCGGGAGGCGGAGCTTGCAGTGAGCTGAGATCATGCCACTGCACTCCAGCCTGGGCAATAGAGTGAGGCTCTGTCTCAAAAAAAATAAAAATAAAAAAATAAACAAACAAACAAAAAACAATAACAGCAGCTGCAGCATGTACCAGACACTGTTCTAAGGGCTTTAAGGCTAATACTCCTACAACCCTCACACCTATGAGGTAGGTGGTGCTGGGTTTTCTCCCTTTGCTTTTTTGGGTCTTCTCCACCCTTCTCTGCTCTGCCCCTCAAAAGCTGACCTCTAGGAATGACATCACCCAGGCCTCAGCTGTGTGCCATGAGGGTGGGCTAGAGAGAGACTGCGATGTTTATCCCCCAACCCCGTGCTCCCTCTCTGCTGGGAAGTGTTTGGGCAGAGGCTGCTTTTCTCCACAGCAGCAGCTCATGCCAGCTCCCTTCCACTAAACCTGTGAGCCTGCTGTCAGGAAACCAACGGATACATCAACTCTTTAATTCAGGCACAGAGAGGTTAAACCCTCTTGCCCAAGAGCTAGAAAGCTGCAGTTTTGGGATCCCACACCCCCATGCTGCTGCCCCTGCACAATTGCATGTTTCCCGGGATGGGATTAATGAGAGAACAAATGAAACAAGTGGAAATGCCATAGAACCAAAGAAATGTCTAGACCGAAAGCATGCATGCAGTGCACGTCACCCTGGGGCACATTCTACTCCCCTCCATTTTCCAGTTCTCCAGACTGCTCCTTCCCCTGGGTCCCCTCCACTGTCTATGACCACTGAGCTGGCTCTCACTCCACCTTCTCTCTCCCAGGCCCCTGCTCAAGAGTCAAGCCCTGCCAATTTTACCTCCATTCTACTGTGGCTCCCACCCTGGTCCCCATTTCTCCATCTCTGTTTATCCTGAGAAGCATTATACCTTAGTGGTTACTATCTCAGCCTCGAGCACAGGATTCACAGCCTGGCCACTTATTATCTGGGTGACCTTGGGCAAATCACTTAACCTGCTTTGCCTCAATGCTTCTCATGTCTAAAATGGGGATAATGATAGTGCCCACTCCACATGGTTGTGAAGATTGACAGTGCCAGGCAGAAAATAAGCATGTCATATTCACGTTATATACATGTTAGCTATTGCTTTTGTGGTTGAATGACCCCATGGCCTGCATCAAGACAGTGCCTCCCAGTGGGGCTCCCTATCTGCAGCTGGGCACCCCTGGCTCAGCCTCCACTCTGCTCCAGAGTGAGGTTCCTGGTACACTACTCTGTGAAAGGTACTCCTGGTCCTCAATCTGTGTTGGATAAAGCCAAAACTCCATGTATGGCCTGGCATTCAAGGCCTTTCCCTATCAGGCCTGTCCTTGCCTTCCCGCATCCATCTCCTGCTGTAGCTTCATCTACCTATGATCAAAACCAGATACGATAAGCAATTATTGAAAGCTCTTCTACCAAAGGAATCTTATGCAGAATCCTAATATATAGAGCAGCTAGAAGTGTAATTACTCTGGTCAGGGCACCCCGTCAGCCTCTCCTGCCTGCAAAGCACTCCCAGAGCTACATTCCAGGGCTACAGGCCCAGTGCAGTCTGCAAAAGTATTGCTTCATCCCCATGTGTTGCTACCTCCCTCCCAACTTCCTAGTTTTTGCACAGGTAGCACCCTTTGCCAAGCACATGTTCTCTGAACCCCTTCTCCTCAAGCCCAACCACATCCTTCTGGTGCAACTCCAATGTCACCCCTCTCTGAAGCCTCCCTGATCCCTTGCAACTCCCTCCTCTGTTTCCACAGCTCCATGGCCTCTCACTCTTGGAGAATTAACCATGTCCTTCTTGGTAATGTGGATATTTTTGTCCCTGCATTATCTCTCCCATAGTCAGGAGCCTCTGTAAGGCAGGATTCATATTTGAATCATTGCTGCCTTTACCATAGTATGTGACAGTGACCCGCAAGCATAATCCTGGCCCCACCTCTCACTTCTCCTCTTTGTTTACATTGGACCCTCATCAGGACTTCTCCTGCCATGTCTTAGACAGGATAATAGAAGCAGTCAAGAGACCTAGCTCTGTTTTGTGACCCCTGGGAAGTTGTTTGGCCTCTCTGGGCCTCCATTTTCCAGCTGTGAAATGAGAATAACAACAGAGAACCTTCCTTGAAGGATTATTTTGAGGGTGAGTTGAAATAATGCATGGCAAGTGCACAGCCCCATGGCTGGTTCAGTGAAAGCCCAGTACATGTTAGGCCTGATTGGAGGAGGGAAGCCACTGTGATAGAGTGATGATTCTCAGGTGAGCATTCGAGAAGACCTGGGGTGAGGCTCAGGTAGACACCACCGACTGCTCACACAAACAGTGTCCTGTTCTTCCAGGGCACACAGTGGGGCTACATGGCCCCAGCTCGCTTGCAGCTGGATGTGGCCATGTGACTGAGTTCTGCCAATGGCGAGTGAACAGAAGTGACAAGTGCCACCTGCAGGCTGGGCCAGGAGACCCTCCATTGCATGATCCTCCATGCTGTCTCGGTCCACCCACCAAATGCAGAAGATCGAGGCCCTAAAGAATCCACATCAGAGCTCAAGATGTGATGAGCCAGATCCCTGGTTGACCATGAGGAAGAATGTCTGCCGATCAGGGATGCTCAATTAAACTTTACCCAAGTGAGAAAGAGATTTTTATTGTTTCAAGCCACCAACATTTTGGGATTTATCTGCTACAGCTGCAAAAATTACCTAAGTAATTAGGGCCAGTTTTGTTCATTGTCCCGGAAGGCTCGCTCCTTCTTAGGTTGCTGGGCACTGTCTATGGCTACTGCACTGCTGCCCTTTGGGGATCTGGGATGTCCATCATTTGGAGAGACTCACGTGAAGAAACCAAATATTCCTAGCCGGTACTGGACGACCACAACCAGCACGTCCTCATAGGCAGCCAGGGCGGACCCATCAAAGATGGAGGCTGAGCCAGTCTTGAAGGCACCTCCTGGGAACCACACCAAGACCTGAGGAGGGGAGAAGAGCATCCAGTCAGCCCACCAGGCACCACCTCCCCTCCCCATGCAGTTTGAGGCACACGTTCTTAAGGTGAAATATAAATGTCCCACTTGCTAAGCAGGGTGCGAGGTTTTGTCATTTGAAGAAGGCCCAGGGTTAAGCATGTGGGCTCTGGCACCTGAGTGCCTCGATTTGACTCCCAGCTCTGCCACTGACTAGCTGTGTGACCTTGGAAAGATTACTTAGCCTAAGGCTCATTTTTCTCATCTGTAAAATGTGAAGAAGGAAAGTATCTCACTTATGAAGTTATCATGAGGTTTAAACAAAATTCTGCATCTAAAGCTCATAGAACAATGAGCAATAGCACATTTCAAGTTTCAAGTGCTCAGAAATTGTTCACTAAATACCAGTGAGCCTGTGACCCACGGGAAGATGGAAACCATTGTAAGCCATGTATAAGAGCAAAAGCAGCCCAAGGTGTTTCAGAGAAAAGCTCTCTACCTTCAGAAAGAAGAGAGGAGGGGAGGGGAGAAAAGAGGAATGGAGGAGGTGAGAGGAGGAGGGGGAAGAAAAAGAGGAGAAGGAGAAGAAGAAAGAGGAAGAGGAAGGGAGAAGGAGGAAGGAGGAAGAGGAGGAGGAGAAAGGATGAAAAATGAAGAAAGAAGGAAGAGAAAGAGGAAGGGTCAGGCACAGTGGCTCACGCCTGTAATCCCAACACTTTTGGGAGGTTGACGTGGGTGGATTGCCTGAGCTCAGGAGTTCAAGACCACCCTGGGCAATATGGTGAAAGCCTGTCTCTACTAAACAAAAAATTAGCCAGGTATGGTGGCAGGCACCTGTAATCCCAGCTACTTGGGAGGCTGAGGCACAGGAATCCCTTGAGCCCGGATGGCAAAGGTCGCAGTGAGCCAAGTTTGCACAACTGCACTCCAGCCTGGGCAACAGAGCAAGACTCTGTCCCAAAAAAAAGAGGGAAGAGTAAAATTTTTATTGATTAGAAAAATTGGGATCAGGGAACATAAAACATTCAAATGGCATTATCTTTATTTATATATTTAATAACAAATCCCTTCCATTCTCTTTCTTAAGGTCATATTAGAGATTACAGCCTTCGGGGCAGGTAAAGAGAAGAAAGCCACTGAGGAAAGGGGAGGTGGACAAACCTCTGGCTTTGGTGCCAGAATCTAGTGCCTACTGTGTGTACAACATGGAGCAAGTCACTTATGCCCTTCCTGTGCCTCGTCTTCTCCATCTGTGGAATGGGTCCAAATCGTCCTTACCCACTGGGTTAGCATGGGAGTTAAATCAGATCATGTACTGTGCCTGGCACACAGCAAGCATTTAATAGACATTACTGTTATGATACAAGACAGCCAGTTTCCCCTGGCAGAGGCATGAGGAAGAGAAGAGGATGAGAGGGTGTGGCTAAAACATAGAACATGCCTTTCCCCCACTTACTGACACGGGGATATTTTATATTCTTAAATGAAACACTTAACATGATTACCTGACTGTCTTCATTATAAACAGAAAAGTTGGAGGATAAAATTATTCTTTTTGAAAAAAGATACCTCAAATTTAAGAAAAAAGTCAGATTCCTTTTAAGCAGTGTCTTTTCTGAAAGCTTTCAGGTCACTAAATACGCAACAGAGGGGAAAACAAAACAAAATAAAAATTAAAAGTTAAGGCACTGCCAATAAAGAATCAATCAGAAAAACTGATCATGTGAATCTATCATTCAAATGATTTTTAAAAATTGTTGATGTGATTACATTTCCCTTTTACCCAACAGGGGGTAGTTCCAATTCCAGACATGTAGCTGCACTGCCTGGATCCCAGGCCAAGGTCCTGCTAGCTAGAGCCCGAAGCACACAGCAGGCAGCCTTACGGGGAGCTTGGAGCCTGTATCGGCGTGGGCAGGCGCATAGATGTTCAGGTAGAGGCAGTCTTCTGACACTCCGAATTTCGGGTAATGCACCTTGAGCATATGTTGATCTAAGAGCAGCCACTCTGAGTTCTGGAGGCACCTTGGAGAAGGAGAGGAGAAAACCCTCAGAAAAAGTTATCAGCAAACTTGCCTGGGAAGGGCCAGTTCTTCTGACAGCGGGGAGGCCTGGCCGTCTCCTCTGCCTGAGCAGAAGAGGCAGCTACCGGTACAAAGTCCAATCATGCCCAAACCCCCATGGTTTCCAAAACAAACAAGCAAGCAAATTATAATTCTCATTGATCTGGTTCCTGGGTAGGAAAGCACATGGTGTAGAATAATTGCACCATTACCCCCACCACCCTCCCATGCCTACACCACCCTCCTATGCCACCACCATAATATAGACACACATAACGACCCAAGCTGGCCCAACAATTCCCCAAACTGTAGAGGGCAGGACATAGTCGAATAACAAGGGCTTTGCCCCTGCGGCTCCCTATTCTGTCCCCAGATGCGCAAAGGAACATTTCCAGGCCTCTCTACCTGGAACCACCCAGGATAGACTGGCAGGGAGACTCCTGCACCCAGGCTTTGCTCAAGCCGGGCCCTTGCCTCGACTGCTCTCTCCCTGTATCTGCGTGCTCACATTCTTCCCTTTGTTTTAGAGTCACTCCAACTTGCCACCTCCTCCCAGAAGCCTTCTGAGATTTCTCCAGTTCTACCATACCTCTTCTTCGGAAACACCCACCTACTTTGCATTCTTTTCCAGAACTTGTCCTGAGGTTGTGCGTGTGCATTATCATCATCCCCAGCTCAACTGTGAGCAGCTAAAAGCCTAAGACTCTGTTTTAGTCACCTCTGTACCTCAGAGCACCAGCACAGAGCATGATACACCGTAAGATTAAGCAAGGCTGTAAATGTGAATGCTTCTACCATACTGTGTACGCAATCAATTCTTAATAGAATAGTGTGCAATATTGCTGCACGTCTTCTCCTGACAGGTGTTTATGCCTCCTTGCCCCTTTGTATGTTGTTGATCAGGCCTCAGCGCTTTCAGCAAAGCCGTCTCTGACCTCCCATCAAAGCTAGTCCAGGTGGGTCTTTGTTTCCCCTCAGCACCCTTCCCTGACACCCTAATGGTTGCCCTTGCCATCTTATATTTTAGCTGTCAATTACTGTTTACGTTCCTGCCACCATCACCCCTCTCCATGCTCCATGATGACAGCTGTGACTCAACCCCTGCGGCGTCCCCAAGCTTAATGGAGAGCCAGTTATCAAGTTGGTTCGCAATGAATATTAGTTGGATGAATGAATGAACGCACAAACAAATGAGTTTCAGCTTGATGTCCTCAGTCCTTGGACCACATGGGGTCATCTTCTGTGGCTTAGGGAATATCCTGGCACCAGAATTTCTTCTGCCAGGAACCCATGTGGCCCAACCTGAGAGCTTGACAGAATCTAAAGAGTTGGAAGATTCTAGGGGATTTTCAAGTCTCACTGCCCACCCAGTAAGTCTCACCTCACCCCTCCACAATTAACCTGGTAACTGGTTACCTAACCGAGCTTGGAAATCTGCAGTGACCAGGAGCTCCTTACCTCCCAGAGTCCCTGCGTCACAGAGACACATCCACATGTTCATTCCACGGGTATTTATGGAGTTCACCATGGACTAGGTATTGCATCAGGCACCGTTTTGACAGCTGGAGCTAACACCCTTCTAGTGTGGTTCTTCTCAATAAAACCCTCACCCAGTCTGACCATAGAGCCAGGCTTGGGTGAGAGGTCACAAGAAGATACCTAGACAGTCCCTTCTGACCAAAGGACTCAGTACGCCCATTTCAGCACTTCTAAAAAAAACTGGCTGGTGATCAGAGTCTCTAAAAAGCGTTCAGATAATAGTTTCCTGGGCTCAGCTCGGGATATTCTGATTCAGAAAGTTCAGAAGGGAGCTTGGAGAATCTGTATATTTTTAAAGATGCCTCCAGTGACCTGGCCATCAGCCAGTTTAGGAGTCAGGGGATTACCAAACCACTCGCCCGAGTCTCAAGCCCTCTCTCTCCCTCCTCCCCCATCCATGCCAATCCCTCTTCTTTCACACTGGGCTGCATGACCTGAATTCCTGCCACTCCCAGAGTCACAAACCACCCGTGGGCCCGAACCTGGTCTTACAAATTAGGGTAGGAGGTGGCTTCTCGCAAGTTATCCCAGGGCGATGCAGGCTGCGGGTTCGTAAATCGCAGGGATCCCAGCGGGGGAGCAGCAAAGGGGACTCCGAGGAACACGTTCACAGGCACAGGGCTTCCCAGCACAGTGACTTGCTTGCCCTGAATCCATCCCAGCCTGGTGTTCCTCTGTGGCCCTTCAGCAGAAGGCCCTGCGGGAACACATGGGAGGAATCAGGAGCAGGCTGGGGACAGGCAGGGCAATGGCCCACCCAGTCTGGAGCTCCCCAGTGGGGATGTGCTTCCTTCACTCAGAAGTTGTGCAGCTGGTGGTATCCAGGTTCCCTCTCCATGAATCCAGTTCCATGGCTTTTTCCAAGATTGCTGTAGAAGTCACCCCCATGAAACCACTGACTTAGTTTCTCCTAGGAGCCCAGCAGTACCTAGCAACAAAATTTTCCCCCATTCACTCAGAAACCCATCTCCCTTCTGCTGAGAGCGCTTTCTTTCTACAGGATTGACATATACCGAACTCTGTAGATCCTGGGATGCCACAAACTCATCTTCCCAGGGGTTCCTACACTTCTGTCACTCCACACCCTCCAGCACCACTGCTGGCATATCTGTGCAGCACCTGCATGATTGCTGGCTTCTTTTTTTTTTTTCTTAAAATTTAATTCCAATAAACTCCTTTTAAAATTTTACCTAGAAGAATTCCAAGTAATGACATTTATGGAATTGTGATTTTGGTGAGTTAGGTATATGCTTTTGAATACACATGAATATTCATGGGTGAAAATTTAAAATTCTCATGCAGATACTTCCTGAAATCAACTCGTCTACTTCCAGGAGCATAAAGATGGCACTTTGGGAGACTGGGCATGCAGGGGTCTCAGTCACCACACAGAACGTGGAGCCTTGGGAAGGAAACTGCCCAGCTACTTACTTAGCAAAACCCGGGTGTCTTAGCACTGTTTCTAATGTCATTTCATTACTGAAAGTCCTGTCGCCGCAGCCAGGAGTGCAGAAGCACAGGCTCTGTTCCTCACGCTTCTCCAGTGCTCAGGATGGAGCCCCTCTAAACCCCTTGCAGGGTGTGAGCAACCCAAAGGCAGAACCAGGATCTTCTGTGCGCTACCCACTCCCAAGAAGGAAGCTCTGGTCCTAGGTTCTCGGCAACAGCAGAATACTGATGCCATCAAAGTACTACATAGCTCTCCACTGGCCCTCAGAGACCTCTGAAGAATAACTTCATTTCTACCAGTGGAAAATCCTCACCCACCCCATCTTCTGAGAGCCCTCCTTTCCCATTGGATATCTCACCTTTGGTGGGGGCTGCAAGGACCCAGATAGCCCAAATTAGGATCTGGCCTGGGTGCACCCAATTCCCACTCATTTGGCTGCCTGCCTGCACTCTGTGAACATTGACGGCGGCTGCTGGCCTCAGAGAGCTTCAGTTGGGAGCCAGAAAGAGCTTCCTGTTAACAGGCAAATGCTGAATAGGCAGGCAGAGGCAGCAGAGTTACTGAAGATCAGCATCAGAACAATATTCTCAAAGGAATTGACTAAGCAAGACTTTCCTGTTCTGATTTACATAAGAAGCTGATGATTAACTATTGAGCTGGGGAAAGATAATTTGATAGGCTTTGGACTTCCGGGATGGGGGAAACAGAAAAGACATTCCAGACCAGGCAAGACATTTTAAGATTATGAGTTCTAGAGACCCAAGGATGAATGAGGTTTCCAGACCTGCCTGTGATGCCAGAAAGACACAGTGCAGGTCAGAGAAGCTGAGAAGTTTCTGAGAAGAGGAAGAAGGTTGCTGCTGGGACAAGCGAGTGGCTCTGAAGGCACAAGCACTGCCAGCTCAGACAAGCAGCCCGGCTGGCCCTGCCAACAAGAGTCTTCAATGGCCATTTGGTCTACAGCCTCCTTGGCAACCTTGAGGCTTCTTCGATTATATTATTTCCCCTCTGGCCCTTCATAGTTGCCACCGAAAAGATTCTCCCTGGCCTTCAAATCTGTCCCTTCATCTGACCAGAAATATTATCAAGTCTGTACACCACTGCTCACCCAACTGTTTTAAAGCACTTCACACAAACTAGCTTGTTGCCAACACCACCACCCCCATTTTGGATGTCTTTCTTCTCCAGCTTCTTCTTTAAAATCCAATTTAACTGCCACCTCTTCCGAGAACCTTCCCCTGATTCTCCTGAACTTTTTAGTGCTTTGCTTTTCCAACCTCTCTTATTTTCTAACAAATTGTAGCCATGACTGTCTTCCTCCTTGGAGTACACCTAGGACTTTTCCATGTACATATTCATCACAGCTTCTTACTTGTGCCCTGTGGCTTCCCAAAGCTCAGCCCTAGACCTTCTGTCTTCACAATTTGTACCATTCCCACTACCAAATTGACTATCAATTTACTTGATTTTTTTTCTTTAAATTGACATTTTTTAAAAGCTGTTATTAAAGAAAATTGTATCTACCTAGTGCAATAAGAAAGAGCTTTTGGGAAGAGCAAGCCAATATATGTTGCATTTCTATACCACAAAACATTCCCTTTGCCTCTAGCAACCATTACAACGAAAGGGTGGTGTATGGTGGAGAAGATCCCCAAAGTAAGACAAACAGGAAAATCCGGCCTTTCTGTACAGTGGATTTTGGAAAGGAGAAGGGAACAGAGGTAGGGAAAGCATGTGTGATGCAAAGTGCCCTGACTCCCCCTCTTAGACATAGGTCCTAAAGGGATACAGCGATGAGGTAAAGTGATGGGGTGCAGTGATGGGCTGAAATGTGTGCTAAGGATGAAAAGTGTGCTAAGTAGTGAAGGGTTCTCCAGGAGGATAGTGACAGAAGGGTTCCACATCTCAACCAACCTGGGGCAGCCACAGCAGAGCAGAAGTGGTTGGGCTAAGAGAGATCTCAGGGGGTGGTCCTATTTCCCTTGGATCCCAAATTCCTTGAAATTGATCCAGACATCACCGTGTGGCTTCGAAGAAAACTTGGAGGTGACTACCAACCTGGCTGGGAGCTAGAGGAGGAGGAAGGCAGGGGGCTACAGAGATGCTTCATGGACTCGAGAACAGAGTGAAACCACAACCTGGCCTGTGCTGGAGCACAGTGTTGAGCACTGGGCAGGGTGAGGTAGGGCACTGAGTCAGTCAGGGGGAATCAGTGGGCTTTGATCAAGATGAGAGGACAGACCATGAGCTCACCACTTAAGAATTCATCCTCCTCCCAGGAACCCCGGCAGTGGGACATTGCTGTGGAGACCACAACAACGCAAGGACTTCTGCAAGTGGGTCCAAGCTCCCTCTGCCCTCCCACTCATGTGGTCCTATTAGCATCCCATAACTCACACAGCCAGACACCATCTTGGCAAGGAGTGCGGGTGGGGTGGGGAGCAAATATGAGAGGCTATGGATTTATTTGAAGTGATTATGCTATCTAAAGAAACTGTTTAAATTACTGAATAGGACTTTACCAGATTGAGTTAGATGTAATTGTCTATCATTAACCAGAGAGGCGAAGAATTCTCCTTGCTAAAAATGGAAATTAACAAGCATTACATGTATACATATGTGTGTGTGTGTATATATATATATGTGTGTGTGTATATATATGTATGTGTGTGTGTGTATATATATATATATATATGACATGCTATAATACCACCAAAGTCTTACTCTTCCACAAAATCAGAATGCAAAGAGAACTATAGAGGAAATGGTTTCCTAATGAAATGTCTTCTATTTGCTGTTCTCTCTAGGTACCACTTCTGTCGCAGGCCCCTAATGCACAGGACCTACTCTGTGAGGAACACTGATAATGTAAGGAATCAATGCCTCTAGACTTCATTTATAGGATGCCTTACAGGTACCAGACCCTGGGCTAAATGCTTTATTTGCATCTATTACCTAATTTAATGTGATTAGTCTCATTTTGTAGATGAGGAAACTGATATTTTGCAAGGTAGGATTACTGGTCCAATATCACAAAGCTGAGAAGCAGAACAGCTGGAACTAAAGCCCAGGTTTCCTGCCCTCGAGCTGCAGGCTTTGCAATTCGGGGAGGAGGGAGTAGGAAAGGAGCGGCAATAGAAAGATCTGGGAGGATGTGCTGGCTTCTGCAGTTATTGGGCCATGAAAAATTACTCAATCTTCTAGAAAGCTGAATAACCACTTGACATCACCTCCTTGGACCTTGATGTCCCCATTAGTAGCACAGGCCAGTGGCCTGGATGGCCCCTGGGAGACACAGACCTTTGATAGGCTCTCCCTGTTCTCCCAGATTGCTCTGCTGAAACCCTGAGGGAGAAAACCAAGATGAGGGCTAAGGGCTTGTTCTTTAAGCAGCTTGGCTTAAAACATAGGTTAATCTACCCCTGCTGATAGGTGGTAAAAATCAAAGCCCACTTTTGAATTCTCATAAAGGGAGGCTAAAGGAACCTTGAAGGTACAAGAGCAATGGCAGCTGCCTCAGGGTGGAAACCAGCCTGTAGGTGGACAAAACAAAGGAGTGGTGCTCTGGTGCTGGAATCAGGTCACCGGGCAATGCCCCACAGACCACACATGGACCCACAGCTGGGAAGCCTTAGAGCTTCCATCTCATAACCTGTTTCTCCAAACACCTCTCACATTCATATTAAACCCAAACATTTTAACTTGACCTTCAAATCTTTTCTCATCTGGCTCCATTCTACAATTCCAAACTAATGCCTCATTGCAACCCCACTGCTACCCCATCACTGTACCCCCACCACTACCCCCACCACTGCACCCCATCACTGCACCCCACCACTGCACCCCATTTCTACAGCCCATTGCTGCACCTCATCTCTGCATCCCACCACTGCACCCATCACTACACCCCATTGCAGCACCCCATGACTGCACCCCCACCACTGCACACCACCACTGCATCTCACCACTGAACCCCATCACTGCACCTCCACCATTAACCCATCGCTGTACCCTACCACTGCACTCCATCACTACACCCATCACTGCACCCCCACCACTACCTCCATCACTGCATCCCACCACTGCACCCCCACCATTTAACCACCATCACTGCACCCTACCACTGCACCCCATCACTGCACCTCCCACTGCACCCCATCACTGCACCCCATTTCTACAGCCCATTGCTGCACCCCATCACTGTATCCCACCACTTCACCCCATCACTGCACCCCATTGCTGCACCCCATCACTGCACCCACATCACTGCACCCCATCACTGCACCTCCATCATTATCCCATCGCTGTACCCTACCACTGCACCCCACCACTGCACCCCACCATTGCACCTCCACTGCTACCCCATCACTGCACCCCACCACTGCACTCCACCAATGCTCCCCATTTCTATAGTCCATTGCTGCACTCCATCACTGCACCCCATCACTGCACCCTACCACTGTACCCCTAACAGTGTACCTCACCACTGCACCTCCACCACTGCACCCCACCACTGCACTGCATCACTGCATTCCATCACTGCAACCCCACCATTGTACTACATCACTGTACCCCCATTACTGCGCCCTACCACTGAACTCTCACCAATATACTTCATCACTGTACCCCACCTCTGCAGGCCACTATCTCCCATCCCTGCAAGCCCATGACTGCACCCTATCACTGCATCCCATCTCTGTATCTCATCACTGCACCCCATCACTGTACCTCCACTCCTGCATCTCATCACTGCACCCCCATCACTATATCCAGTGTTTATTATGTTTTCCTCCCCTGGAGTGTTTTGCCTTGAATTCTTTTCTTTTCTTTTTTCTTTTTGAGACAGTGTCTCTCTGTCACCCAGGCTTGAGCACAGTGGCATGACAAACTCCTGGGCTCAAGCGATCCTCCCACTTCAGTCTCCCAAGTAGCTAGGACTACAGGTGCACACCACCACACCTGGCTAATTTTTTTTAAATTTTTGTAGAGATGGAGTCTCACTATGTTTCCCAGGCTGGTCTCCAACTCCTGGTCTCAAGTGATCCACCAGCTTCTGCCTCCCAAAGCTCTGGGATTACAGGGGTGTGGCCAGGCATGGGCCACCACACTTAGGTGACTTCTTTACCCAATGAAATCCTAAAGATTGTCTTAAAGATTCCATGAAAAACCACTTCTTCCATGCAGGCCTCCTCTCTAGAATCATTCTCCTCTTCCTGCCCATGCACTTTTTGATGACTCTATTATTTACAATACCCTGCCCTTGTTCTATAGGTGGTATACCCAATGATAATGATGACGATGACTAAGACAAGGACCATGTGATCTCTCATGCAGGTCACAAAACTTCAGCCCACCTCGGATTTAAGCCATGGCTGCAGTGGACAGTAGTGTGCAGGCCCAGCCTCCCCTTGCACTGACAGCATACCACCTGAAGCATGGTTGGGCCCTGGCTTTCTATTTTCTGCCCCAGGGCAGAAATGTCCCTTCTGTCTTTGCTCAAGTGAGACCAGAATTACAGGACAGATGGAGTCCCCCAGGAGGAACCCTCAACAGAAGGGTCATGAGAGCTGAGGGAGCTCTGAGGTATTCTGTGTGCTGCATGAAAGTCCTAGGAAGTGGGGCTCCCATTGCTCACAGCATCAGTCTCAGGAACACCCCCTCGTCTCACCTTCCCTCCTCCCCTCCACCCTTGCTCCTGAGTAATCTACCTTTTTACCCAAATCCCTGCCTCAGGCTCTGCTTTCAGGCACACAAACCAAGTCAGTCGGTATGAGAAGGAGACCTAGACAGCAGACCCTCAGTGAGATTCTGAAACTGGATCTCCCCCCTAGTCAGACAGCATCCTGTTACTAAGACTGTCAGTGGTGGACTGGGATGTGGTTCAGAGGAGTGGGCTGCACTGAGGCGTGCATTAACACTAGCACCTCTAGGTATAGAGGCAAGGGTAATTACAAGTATTGTGGTGATGGCTGCCTTTTGTTAACTGCCTTGGAAACCTTGAAGAAAATGGCAGTCTCTGTTAATCAGCTATCAATACAGAGTACACTGTGAAAATCAGAAGGCCTCCTAGCAGCTTTTAAAGATAGCTGTGTCTCCTGGAACCATAGTTTGACTATGCTGAAAATTAGACCCAGAGTCTAAGGTTCTCTGAGACTATAGGAGTAAAGGTAAGGTTGAGCCTATAGCCTTGAAAAATCTCCTAAGTTAAAGTTAGGTCACCAACAGGGAATGATTGAGACCCTGAGACGTGGAATTGGGACATCTGGATGGATGCATTTGAGAACTATGAATACCTGGCTTCTCCTAAACTCTCCAGCCTGGCAGAAGGAAGCCTCTCCTTACTAGGAGACACAAGACACTTGTACTCTGGTAACAATGCATAGACTTGACCTGTGATAGATGCTTCCCAAGATAAAGCTTTTCCTCATCAAGATCACCCAATCCACTCATTCTCCCAAGCCAGTAACCAGGGCCAGGCTTAAGCACAGCTTAAACAAGAACATGAGTCCCTTCCCCAGGAGAAAAGGGATTTCCTAGTGAATGAATCGCGTGATGTGGCTATTATGTCCTGATAGGAACAGAGAAAAACATGCATGGAGGTTGGTCTTGAGGGTGGTAAGCCTGAGGGGTGGAGCAGAAGGTAATACTGGGTAGGAGAGAATTTATTAGCACAAGAGCACATTCTCATGATGCAGGACTTACTGTATTCAAGAATGCCTCGGGCAGATGCTAATATGCTATGAGAGTGGACCCATGAAGCAGGGACATGATGACAGCCTACAGCAAATGCAATGGAGATGTTAGAATTAGCCAATTCGAATGGCCAAGTATTGATGAAGAGATGAGAAGGTTCAGGGATGTGGAACTGTTAAAATAAATACATCTCCTAGAATGAGGGACTCACTACCTGATAATGTTTCCTGAGAGTGACAGAGGATCCCTTCACTAAGGCAGTAAAGAATTTGCTAGGCAGGAAGGAATTATTTGAGAAGCTCAGTGGTGATAATCCTTGTTAGCTACCATAGAAATGGGATCCCTAGTATCGGTGTGAATGAGTCTGGAATAGCAGAGGCCAGGTTGTGCTGCATAACCAGAGGTAAGGTGGAAATAATTACCTTAATGGGCAAAAAAACCAGAGTGGCAACCAGGATGCCTTGTCCCACAGAGATCTATGACAATGGCTAATAGGTCATGGTAATCCTAGAAGTAAAGTAGACAGGCAGCCAACTTGAATGTTGTTTAACTTGTAAAATCAGAGAAAGTCAAGAGGTGATGATTAGAAGTTTATGTCGGCCATAACAATGAAAAATCCCTTACTAGATCTTTCCAGATCTGAACCACTTGTCAAACCTACTGAGCTCATTGTTTTAAGGAGTCTGGGTCCTTCAAGAGAGGACTATGCAATGTCACTATAAATATATAACTATAAACATACCCCCAGTCCTTCCTAAAAGAGATTTATAGCCAGGACTTATCTCCTAATGGAAAGTTCTGGATGCATGGTCACTTGGTGTCCATGGTCCAGCATTTTTTTGATACCAGGACCCACTAATGCACAGAGGCGATTCTCAAAGGGGTTTAATTCCCTAATGTAGTAGGCATGGCCTTACACCAGAATTGCAGGGACCACATCATGATCTTCCCACTGGAGCTTGCCATGAGCTCCACCTGCACCTTCTCCTATCCCTGACGTTTCCACCGTCACAGGCCTGCCAAATCATATCACCTAGGCAACAGGACTGATTGATCCACAGCCTGGACTTGCCAGTGCCATTTCTTCTTCAGACCCTACCCCACTCAAACCTGGTGGTCTTTCATGTGATCTGGAATTTGGGCTAGAGCCACATGTCTAGGTGTGGAATGTGCTGCCTTCACATACCAAGGAGACTTTGCCTCCTTCTTTTTAGCAAGAGTTGCAAGACAGTTAGATTTTTCTTCTACTTTAGTGGAGAAATCCTAGCATGTTCTGCCCATGGGATTCCTAAAACCTTCACTGAAATGTCCCTTCCTTGAGTTTCCAAAGGGCTTATCTCCCACCCTCTGGAGCACAAAGCCTCCAGAGGGCTGGCCACCTCTTGCTCATCCTGTCCATTGAGCATGAAGTTGTAAATGTAACATGTGAGCGTGATGTTCTTGGGACATCCAGGCAGTGAAATGGACTATATTGTGAGAGGCAGCTAACCCTGTAACTGAATATTTTTCATCCCATGTAGATGCGAATTGTTCTAGTTGGAATGGATAAGATTGAGTTCACCAAATCTACAGCTGCAGCATACGTTATAGCAGAAGCCTTATTCACCTGCTCAAGCAGGGATGCCACACCTAGCACAGCAGCTATGATCAGAGTTACCGCTTGGTTGAGTGTGTGGTAGTCTACAGTCATTCTCCAGGGGCTGTTCAACTTCTGCAGCAGCCAGACTGATGAATCGAATGGAATTGTGAAAGGCACCACCACCATTGCATCTTTTTTTTGTTTTTTGTTTTGTTTTGTTTTGTTTCGTTTTAGATGGAGTCTCGCTCTGTCACCAGGCTGGAGTGCAGTGGCAGGATGGCTCACTGCAACCTCCACCTCCTGGGTTCAAGTGATTCTCCTGCCTCAGCCTCCCAAGTAGCTGGGATTACAGGCATGCACCACCACACCCAGCTAATTTTTGTATTTTTTTTAACAGAGACAAGGTTTCACCATGTTGGCCAGGATGGTCTCGATGTCTTGACCTCATGATCCTCCCATCTCGGCCTCACAGAGTGCTGGGATTACAGGTGTGAGCCACTGCACCCGGGCCACCGTTGCATCTTTTAGGTCTTTAACAGTGGTGCTAATCTCTGCTATATCCCTCTCTGAGGATACAATATTGTTTTTTCTTTACTAACTTGGCCATGAAGTGGGAGCCTATTGGCTTCTGGCAGTTTCAGAGGTTTCTATTTCCGCTTCCCCAATGTGATAGCTCTTACCTCACAGACCATGGATTCCTTATTCATTCTCCAGGGAATCCTGGGAATCCTTGGAGGATTACTCCAAATATATCACTCCCAACTGATGCACCTGGGCACTAGAGAAATGACCACTATTGGTGGGGTCTATTGACACAGTGAGCCCACTGTAAGCCAGTCTTTAGCTAAAGTTCCATTCACTACCTGGCTCTCGTAGGTCCCCACTCTAACAGGGGGGTCATGGTGACACTTTAGGTCTCTACATAGCAATGTCACTTCAGAATCTGTGTCCATTAGTCCTGAAAATATTTGCTCAGTACACAGTCACCCAAATAAACAACCATACATCCCTTCGGAAAAGAACTAGGAAAATTATCATGGTATATACTTGCTGCAATTGTGCGAAGTCCTTCTTTCTAAGGATCTGGCCACCTTTTCATTCAGCGGTTTCAAGATCTGACAATTGCCACAGATCTGGGAACTGAGCAAAGATTTGTGGCATTTTACTGGGACAGCTTCCCTCAGCCTTGTGCTACTCCTCCATGCTTGCTTTATCCTTTATCATGCATGTGAAGCAGCACCTCTGTCGACAGTCTGTCTGTGTTCCCCTATAGATATCACACTCCCTTAACCATCTCCACCACTCCTTACAGGTCAAACCCTCTTGTCTGATCCTCTGGCCTTGGTGATCATTAAAGTAATTGCAGCCTCCTGCCTTCTGGCACTTAAGTGCCACTACCCAGCCTCAGGATGAGTGACTCTGAGACTCCCCCTCTTCTTCATCAATGTTAATGAACCCAGTTCTACGGCCACCTCTCCTGCCATGTCCCCTGGCCTGCAGAAGAGGGCCACCCCACAACCACCACTAAACTTCTTCCTTTTTTTTTTGAGACAGGGTCTCGCTGTGTTGCCCAGACTGGAGTGCAATAGCATGATCACAGTTCACATCAGCCTCAACCTCCTGTGCTCAAGTGATTCTCCTTCCTCAGCCTCCCAAGTAGCTTTGACTACAGGCATGTGCTACCATGCCTGGCTAATTTTTAAATTTTGTGTAGAGACAGTGCCTCCTTATGTTGCCCAGGTTGGTCTTGAACTCCTTGGCTTAAGTGATCCGCCCACCTAGGCCTTCCAAAGTGCTGGGATTACAGGAGGGAGCCACTGTGCCCGGCCTTACCACTAAACTTCTTAGTGATACTCGTGCTCCTTTCGCCAGCACATTTGTGGTGAAGTCTTCAGACTATAGTCCAACTGTGTCTGCCCTCCTACTACTGCTGAGAAGGGCCTTTTCTTAATCTTTCCCCAAGGCTGCCTTGATCTCACACTTAGCCATTATCTGCTCATTAACAGCTCTCTGTCTCTCATTATCCTTCTGCAGTGTGCAGCTTAGCCATACCTGGCCTACTCTACTGCCTTTGTAGGCTTTGTTCTCCATGTATTTTTCAAATACTTACATCATTGCACCTCCTACAGCATTCCCCCTAATGTGGGACATTTTTTTCAGTTCACCACCAGCAAAATCTAGCAATTGAGCCATCACCTTGTGCCTCGTCAATCACCCAAGATGATATCCTCCACTCCTGCTAGGAGATCCAGTCCCAGACCCCCATCTTACCACCTGTCTTCCGAGACCACTTTCGTTGGTCTGAGAAGGATTAAACGTGCAAAGGAGCTGACATCAAAACAGGATTAAACATGCAAAGATTTTATTAGGGGAGATGCCTATGGATGGGAATTGGGGAGGGAGCCGGGAAAGTCCAGGAGAGCTGCCAGACTGTGATAGAATCTGCAAAGGAGAGATAACAAGAAGGTTGGGTAAAAGCATCCTAGGCTACCATGAAGACTAAAGAAGGTCCAGCAAGTGTGTCAGGGAGCCGGGAAGCCTATGTCAATCACTAGAGGAGTCTTGAGTCTCCCAGAAATGGGTCTGCCCTTGTATCCCTGCTACACTCGTTTGTTAGCTAGGAGCAGCCTGTGGGAAGCATGGCCTTGATGTAAATGTTGTGACAGACTTCAGCAGCAAGGAGCTGGTGCCCTGGTTCAATGATTGGAAGCCATAGTTGGAAGCCCGCAAAGTTCATTCTCATGGCCACTACCTACTATGGGATATCAAGTGAATAGGCAACCAGAGCCGCCCATTATGAGCTGAGTATTTTCAGATCCAGCAACAAGATGAGGCAAGCACATTTGGTACATTAGAAATAGTGACTGAGCAAGTCTGGCTAGCACAAGAAAGTTACACACACATGGCTGACCCCACGTTGTCTCCCTCTACTGCACCAATGCTTCCCCTCAATCACATCCGTCCACTGCCTCATGGCAGGTTCCCCACGGCTAGCTGGTGGAAGAGGCAAACAGGCCTGGTTTACATATGGACTGCCCTAAGAAGATGAGCTAAAATTCAACTGTTACATACCAGCCACTCTCAGGAGTGACCTCAAAAGATAGTGATGAGAAAAACATCCTCCTGGTGTCCAATTTTAAGCAATATACTTGGTTGCCACTTTAAATAGTCACAAAAGTGAGCTGAGGTAAAGACATACATGATGACTTCTGAACAGTGGTGAATGGCTTGGCCAATTACTCAGGGGCCTGGGAAGTGACAGATAGGATCCTAAATCAGTGACAAAGAGATGTGAGAAAGAATCATGAGGATTCATCTATGGGAGTGGGACAGTGTGTAGATCTTTGTGTTTTATGTTAATGCCCAATAAGAAACTCTACAAACAGAGGGACAAAACTCATCCAAGTCATGTCAACCAGCCTCCCTCCTCAGCCATGCAGTTCTTGCACAACGAACCCATGAACAGAATAGCTATGGTGGCTAAGCATGGGCTCTGATTCACCAAGGCTGATCTTGGCAATACTGCTCCGAATGCCCACTGGCCAGCAGCAGAAACTAATATGAGCCCTCACCATAGCACTATCCTAAGTGGGAATCAAACTCTCTTTGGTAACAAGTTGGTTATGTCAGACTCCTAACTCTGGGACATGGGGAGACATGGTGACTCATCCTTACCAGAATTGACACCTACTCAGGATATGGATTTATGGGTTTGCCTTCCCTGCTCACAGCATCCTTTGTCAACAATACCACCTGAGGGCTCTTGCCTAATCTGTATCATGGGATCCTATGTAATCCCATGATTACATAGGATGTAATCACATCAACAAAATGGAGCTATTTTGTGGTTAAGGATGGGTCTGTGAACAAATGGCCCCAGGACCCACTGGTCCTACCATATGCTGCATCCACTGGAAACAGCATAATAGAACAATGGAAGGTCTATTAGGAGATGTGCTAAGGAATGAACTTGGTATCAACACGCTGCAGGGTTGGAATGTTGTACTACAGGATGCAGTATATGCTCTATAATACTTGAAATGTGATGCTGTGCCTCAAAGGCTAGAACAGACCAGTCTGAGAATCAAGAGGTGAAAGAAATATTGACCCCTGTCACCATCACTCTGCATCACTTGCAGAATTTGTGTTTCATGTTCCCCAGAGCCTAGGCTCTGTGGAATATCAGGTCGTTTTCTGGGGGTGGAGGGATGCTTCCACGGGTCAACAGTTGACCGGTTGACCCAACAAAGAGTCCACTGAACTTGAAACTAGATCTGCTGCCTGATGACTTCAGACTCTTGTTACCAGTGGACCAGAGGCAAAAAAAAAAAAAAAAAAGTTACTACACTGATTATCATTAAAAACTAGGGCTGCTGCTATATATAAGGGTGCTTCTATGTTCAGTTAAAGAAAATTCAATGTGGCAAGCCAAGTCATCCAAGGTCTCAGATCCATCAGGGGTAAGAGTCTGGAGCATCTCACCAGGTAGACTTGGACTCAGGCCCTGTTGCAGCAATGGATACTGAACTTGTTCTTCTAACTCTGCTGCCTTAGGTCTTTTATGGAGATTGAAGCTGCAACCAGCATGAAGACTATGTGACAGTGTAAACTTAATGTGGGTATGAGCAGATCTAAGTGGAGCAAGGAGTGGACGGTAAAAGACATTGTCATGGGTGAAAGGTGACTATCTGAGGCAGTGACTATCTGAGGCCAAATTTACCAGTTGTGGGTTAAAAAAGGCAGATTTATTAGAGAAAGTATGAAAATATGTTGCAAGGGAGCAATGGGCAGAATCAGCAAGAAAGGAGCTGACTCCAGGGAAGCAAAGGCTTGCTGGAAATTTTATAGGATGGTTCTTGAGCGGCCGAGTACTGCATGCAGTACTGATTATGGCAAGGTTACAGGGCACTAACTTGCAATTTTTCTATCAGCCAAGGGTCTGGTGATACCTGGACATAGGAATATTGTGAGTTATTTGCACAGAAGGGCTGTGTCCTGGACCGTGAAGAAAGACAAACTTGTAGCTTACCTGCTTTTTCTTTTTGCTTGCTTTCAGTCCTGCCAGCCCAACTCCTTTTTTCTAATTAGGACTCCACAGGTATCTCTGGTGTTCCACATCTCGTCCTCTCTGCCCACCACTGATTTCAGCTGCAGTTGTTGTAGACTGTACCATGGGAGTACAGATTCCCTTCATGTTGACAAATTTCACCTCAATTACGGGCCATGCAGCTTTCCGTTTACTGTCCCCAGGCTCCTTCTGATGTTGGAAAGTCTACCTGGCCCATGCACAAGTTAGCACAGAAGGAGCAACCTTTAACCAATGGGGCAAGAACCAGTGGATAAAGGCTCCAGCTTCCTGTTATTCAAGCGAACAATTCTAGTAGATATTCTGTTAATTGTCCAGTAGGTCTCTGGAACTAAGACCCAAGTTGACAATAGCAAAAATCTCAACTAAAGACCCTTACATTCACTTTTCATCCACTACCCTGTCTCATGTTCCCTTATTCCCTTATTCCTGGGATTGTCTGCTAAATAAACTACCTGAACCTTAGTCTTTGTCTCAGGCTCTGCTTTTCGGGGAATCCAGACTAAGATTTCCATTTTCATTTATTGGTTGTGTCAGTCACTGTGCTAAGCACTTTGCAAGCATGTCACATTGAATCTTCACAAAATGCTATGGAGTTGATTCTATTGTTATTCTAATTATAGATGACAAGGCTAAGACACAGAAAGGTTAAGTGAAGGTCACAGAGCTGGTCTTCAAATCTAGATCTCTGTCTGACTCTAGCTTTAACCATCATGCTATTCGGCCTTTCCCACCAAGGTATGAACTGCATGAGGGCAGGGACATTTTGGGTTCACTTTGCACCCTCAGTGACCAGCTCAGAACCTGAGAGAAGCACTTTAACAAATGTTACATTTAAAATTATAATGTGCTTCTCTCTTTAATTTGACAGTTAAAGGGGAGCTTTACTCAAAAGTAGCCTAGAATGACCTAAACCCAGGAAAATATTCAACCCTGAAACCTGCTAGGACTCAAAATGGGCCAAACTGGATACGGGCCTAAGACATAGAAAAAAAAAAAAAGGTATTTTTTCCTCTCCATTCTCATACACCATTCAACGCAATGCTTCTGACACCAAATGTGTGTATTTCCCCATACACCAAGACATTCTCCAAGAAATGCCAGCTGGGTATCTTCTAATGCAATTCAGTTCTGACACTATCTACCTGGAGACAGCAGCAAATCCCACAGGTTGGGGGCTCAGTCCCATAAGCCTGCTCCCCACTTCAGATGCCAGTTGCAAGTAGTAGGTTGTGACTCTTACCAGCTATAAATTGGGATTCCCATGACCCCTCCTTAGATTCAATTAATTTGCTAGAATGGCTCACAGAACTCAAGTCAACACTTTACTCACTTATTGGAAAGGATATTACAAAGGATACAAGTGAACAGCCAGATGAAAGAGATGCACAGAGCAAGGTATCTGGGAAGGGGCATAGAGCGTCTATGCCCTCTCTGGTAGGCCACCTGCCCCACCCCTGACCCTAAACCTCCACATGTTCAGCTATCCAGAAGCTCTCCCAACCCAGTCCTTTTTTTTTTTAATGGAGGCTTTATTTTGTAGGCATGATTGATTACGTCATTGGCCATTGATAATTAACCCAACTTTCAATGTCTCTCCCTTACCCTCTAATCACATGGTTGGTTCCCTTGGTGACCAGCTCCCATCCTCTGGCTATCTGGGAGCCCCCAGCCATCAGTCATCTCATTAGAATACAAAAGACACTCTTATTGCTCTAAGTATTTAAGAGGTTTTAGGAGCTTTAGGTTAGGAAATGAAGGATGAAGATCACTTATATATTTCACAATATCACAGTGGGCTAGTCTTAAAATAGAAGCTTCTTAGAGCCTCTCACTCAGCTGGATTTCAGAACCAAGTCATAGTGACCTTCCAGCCAGGAAAGCATCAGAGTCACACTCACTAAAAGAAATTTTGAATGCCCTTGATAATAGCATAAGCTGAGTCTGTAGGAGTCTTGCAAGCACCCAAGAAGGATGGACTCCATATTTTCCATCAGGCTGAGAATGGAGAAAAGGTATGGGAAGGTAGAGAAAGGCAAAAGAAAGGCAGAAAGCTTAAGAAGAATTCCAAGACAACTTGAAAAAAAAAATGAAAGAACCTGAAATTTTTGAGTGTAAGAAATACCCAGTTAAGAAAAAGAAAATCACATTACTTAATCTCAAACTTCAATGAATATTCAGACATGATTGAGGGAGCTTAATGTTCCAGATGTGGGCTTGAATTTTTTTTTTTTAATTTTACTGTTTTGTTTGTGAAATTGTGGAGGTAAATATAGAAGAGAATTCTGTGCAAGCATTTTAGGTTCAATCAATGAAAATCTTGCAGGAACTCTTCCAGAGAATAAAAAAGTAGGGAATACTTCCAAACTACTTTAATGAGACCTGCATAACCTTGATTCCAAAACCCACAAAGGACCTTATGAAAAAATAAAAATTAAATAGTGATATATCTTATAAACCTATGTGAAAAAAAATCCTTTAAAATACTAGCAATTCAAATCTAGTGATATATAAAAACATGTATTACAACAAACTGAGGCTTATTCCTGGTGAGGACTAAGCTCTGTTTTTTTCTTATCTTGCCCAAATATCCAAGGGGTCTGGGGAGTCATGCTCTTGTGAACTCCAAAAATCTGAGACAAGTCTTAGTTAATTTAGAGAGTTTATTTCGCCAAGGTTGAGGATGGACACCTGTAACACAGCCTCAGGAGGTCCTTGTTAGACATGAGTTCTAAATTTCTCTTCAAAGAATCAATATGTCAATATGTTCAATTCTTTGCCTTCTACTTTTAAACTTAACTTCCTCCTAAAGCAACCTTTTTCAATCACCTGCTCCACCCTGACTCATTCCGATTACCTGCTCCACCCTGACTCATTCCGATTATCTGCTCCACCCTGACTCATTCCAATTACCTGCTCATTCTCCACCCTGACTCATTCCAATTTCCTGCTATGCCATAACCATTTTTCCCACCAAACCACTCACCTCGTCACTCTCTTTAAATTAGCCAATCAGAAATGGTTTAGCCTGTGTGGTCTAACCCTAGCCAATAGGGGAATGACACAGCTGCAGGAGCCACATGTCCGGAATAAGAACCCCTTCCCCTCCCTTGTCCAGGTGTGTGCTCACCATTGCTCCATCTGTGAGGGCACACCCTTCTATAGAAATAAATTGCCTTGCTGAGAAGAAATAAGAAAGAAAATCTTACATTCGAGTGCTATTTCTTTTGCAGCACCAAAACTTTATTTCTAACATCCTGGTGACATGTGCCCAAGGTGGTTAGAACACAGCTTGGTTTTATACATTTTAGGGAGACAAGAGATGTCAATTAACATATGTAAAATGAACATTGGTTCATTCCAGAAAGGCAGAACAACTCGAAGCAAAGGCAGGACAACTCAAAGTGGGGAAGGGGCTTCCAGGTCACAGGTAGGTGACAGACAAACAGTTGCATTCTTTTGAGTTTCTGATTAGCCTTTCCAAAGAAGGCAATCATATATGCATTTATCTCAGTGAGCAGAGGGATGACTTTGAATAGAATGGGAGGCAGGTTTGCCTAAACAGTTCCCAGCTTGAATTTCTCTTTAGCTTAGTGGTTTTGGGGGTCCATGATATTTCCCTTTCACACCCTACAAACCATAAATTCTCATCAGATGGGTTTTATTTAACCCTCTATATCATGACTTCCTTTCTAATCTGACTCTAGCGTAACATACGTGACAAAGAAGAAAACAAAATATTTTACCCCAAAACATGTTTCTTTGCCATATTTTGAAATGGCCCTGCAAAGCCATCCTTTGTGGGGGGAAATTTACGTCTGTAAAGAATCTCTATTAACATAGCTAGATTTTTTTCTTCCAGGAACTCCCCATCCTGAAGAGATTAACTGAAAGTCTAGCACCTTTTAAAGGCTTGAATAGAAAACATTTGCCATCTATTGTCTCTAAGGGCAGCCACTATGAGACTTCAAAAGAAACTTGGTCTCCACAATCTTTTATCTTAACCTGAACATTTCCATTCTATTGATCCCAGGTCTTTAGACAGACTCAACCAATTGTGAACCAGAAAATGTTTAAATTTACCTATAGCCTGGAAGCCCCCACACACCCCCACACCACCATCCCTGCTTCAAATTGTCCCACCTTTCTGGACCAAACCAATCTATTTCTCAAATGTGTTTGATCAGTGTCTCATGCCTCCCTAAAATGCATAAAACCAAGCTGCACCCCAACCACCTTGGGCACATGTTCTCTTGACCTCCTGAGGGCTGTGTCACAGGCCATGGTCACTCATTTTTGGCTCAAAATAAATCTCTTTGAATATTTTACAGAGTTTGACTCTTTTTGTCAACACTGGTATGCAAGGTTTGTTTAATATTTGAAAATCAATCAGTGTGGTTTACCACATAAAAAATGCCTAGCTTAATACAAAAAACTCAAGCAATTATAATTTTGGCTTTTTTTAATTAAATTTTTTTCAAAATATAAGTGCTTATAAGAGCACTAATGGAATTTTGCTTCCAGTTAGGACATAGAAGCTTTTAAAAGCTCACACTCTAACAACAACAACAACAACAAAAAAAAATAGTGGATAGACTTCTAAAAATTATATATATATAAAGCTATCAAAGAACTATGGACACAGAGAAACCTAACTGAGCTAAATTCCACAGAGGGAACAAGTTATTCCTAAATGAGTACAGATAAATATATATGAGTGCAGTTATATCTTTGGGAGAAGTTGCCAAGTTAAGGTCAAAAATAGGTAAAAGGATTAGCCTATCAGAGGCAGAGGAGTTGTGCAGGGACAAGGAAAAATCACCTAAACTTCTAAAGTCAAATGTGGTTTAGCCTGGCAGGTCGAAATCCGGAAAAATGCCAAATACAGCCTTCTGGTCCCTGCCTGCCAATTCTCTTCCACAGGAGTTTTTCTGAGTAAGTAGTAGCACTGAGAAGCTGAGGGAAGGGCTAGAAAACAGAAAGAAATTTTGTATATTCACAATGCTCATCTATCAAAGCCCCAGAGAAGTGAGGGACTTGTTTCTACACCTTTGAGACATTTGAAACCAGAGGTCAATCATAACTAACCAAAGGCTCAACCCTTCCTCAGCTTAATTTCTGCTTAAATTGATCAGATCAGACCTGTTTTCAATATCGGTATGAAATAGAAAAAAAAAATTGGAATCATAAAGAAACAAGAAAATGTGACCCATAATCAAAAGACAAGTAAGGTCAATAGAATCAGTTCCCATAAATGACAAAAATATTGGTATAACAGACAAGAACTTTAAGGTGATTACTATGAGCACATTTAAAAATTTAGAGGGGAAATTGGACAAAATAAATGGAAATATGAAGAATTTCAGTAGAGAAATGAAAACTCTACAAGAAACCAAATAAAAATTCTAAAGCTAAAAAATACAACACATGAAATAAAAAATTATTTAAATGTGCTTAACAGCAAACTAGACAAAGTCGAAAATAATTATTAGTGAACTTGAAAACAAGGTAATATCAAATAGTCAATCAGAAGCACAAAGTGAAAAGAAGAAAATAAGAAAAATAAAAGCATCAACAACCTAAAGTATAATATAAAATGATCTAACATATGTGTAATTGAAATCCAAAAGAGCAAAGAAAGAGAACAATGTTGCACAACTATTTGAGGAGGTATTGGCTGAAAAACTGATAAAAGACATCAAACTGCATATCTGAGAATCTCAACATATCTCAAGCAAGATGAATACCAATTTAAATACAAATTTAAAAATCACTCCTTAGTATATTATAATAAAATGCTAAAACTAAGGCTTAAAAAACTTTGCCAAAAGCCAAAGAATAAAAGACACATTGGATTGTAGAAAAAAAGCAATAAGAATGGTGTCTATTTTTGTTAGAAAAAATAGAAACCAAAAGATGAAAAACTGATGAAAGAAAAATAAGTGTTTTTCAAAATGTTAGAGAAAGAATATTTTTAGAAAATATTATTCAAAAATGAAGACAAAAATAATAAAATATGCAGAGAAAAGAAAGCTGGGAGAATGTTTTACCAGCAGACCCACACTGTAAGGAATAATAGGCTGGGCGTGGTGGCTCACACCTGTAATCCCAGCACTTTGGGAGGCCAAGGCAGGCGGATCATGAGGTCAGGAGTTCAAGACCAGCCTGGCCAACATAGTGAAACCCCATCTCTACTAAAAGTACAAAAAATCAGCCAGGCGTGGTGGCAGGTGCCTGTAGTCCCAGCTACTTGGGAGGCTGAGGCATGAGAATCGCTTGAACCTGGGAAGCAGAGGTTGCAGATTCCACTACTGCACTCCAGCCTGGGAGACAGTGCAAAACTCTGTCTCAAAAAAAAAAAAAAAAAGAAAAGAAAAGAAAAGAAATAATAAATGATGTTTTTAGAGGATGTGGGTGACATCGAAGAAAATGATGGAGTAGGGAACTCCAAGGCCCCATTTCTCCACAAAAACAGTAAATATACTAGCAAAAATGTCAGAATAAACTTTATCTGAACACTGGAAAGTAATAAAATCTTTACAATAATCAAACATTTACTGCAGAAAAAAGTTGCCGAACCTCAACAGAGGAGTTTAGTGGCATTTTTGGCACCCTCTTCCACTCTTTAGTTCCATGGCAGTTTTGAAGGTGGTAGCCTACAATGCAAGACAAATGCATTAGCTACTGCCTCCTGGGACAAAGAATAGATCCCAGTGGAAAAAAGAGTCCCTTGTTGTGAATCCTTGGGGGAAACAATAAACTTACCAAAAAGCTTGGGAGGAAAGATGGGAAGTGAGTTACTTTAAGGGATAAGAGCTTTGAAAGTTCTCACATATTCCTGGGAATCTAGAAGACCACGTGCTTGCCAAAAGTAGAGAGCACATTCAGAAAAAACCTGTAAGAGCCCTAAGCTCTCACATCTGGCTGACCTTCAGACTCTGCCCAAACAGAAAGTTAAGGCTAAGGCAGAGATGTAAATTGTCCAGCTCAGTGTTGAAGGCTTGCCTTAAGACACACACAGAGTACATTTGCAAAGATTGGACTAATTTGGTTGTTTTTTTTTCCCCCAGGAATTCAAAGAAATCTCTGTCAAATTACTACGTGACTACTAAGCTAACCAAAGACTTAAATGTCCACAATAACAAATAACAAAGTTTCAAAAAGTGTGTTTATGAACTCCAACCTATGAGAGGAGCTGCATGGGCTGTGTCCAGCAAATCCACGGGGGGCAGTACTGCCCAAAGCGTGGGAGCCCAGCCCTCACACCAGTGTGTTTTGGATTTGGCACACGGAGTCAAAGGAGATTATTCCGGAGCTTTCAGATGTAACATCTCCCCTGACAGACTTTTGACTTGTATGGAGCCTGTTACTACTTTATTTTCTCAGTCTTTTGCAGTGAAAATGTCTACCATTATATCTTGGAAGTGCCTGTGCTACCATTGTTATCTTGGAAGCAAATAACCTGTTGCTTTTTTTGTTTGTTTGTTATTTTACAAGCTCATAGCTGGACTTTGGATTTAAAAATTTGCGCTAGAACAAGTTAAGATATTTAGCACTATTTGGATAGAATGATTGTATTTTACACGTGAGAAGAACATGAGTTTGGGGGATCCAGAAGTGGAATGCTATGGTTTGGATGTAGTTTGCTTCCACCAAAACTCATGTTGAAATTTGATCCCCAATATGGCAGCATTTGAAGGGGGGCCTGGTGGGAGATGTTTAGGTCATGGGTCCCTTATGAACAAATTAATGCCCTCCTGAGAGGATGAGTGAGACCTCACTCTCATGGGAATGGATTAGTTCCTGAGAGAGAGGAGAACCTGATGTTCAAGACGAGTTTAGCTTCCTCAGTTTCTGTATTAGTCTGTTCTCATGCTGCTAATAAAGACATATCTGAGACTAGGTAATTTATAAAGGAAAGAGGTTTAATTGACTCACAGCTCCACATAGCTTAGGAGGCCTCACAATCATGGTAAAAGGTGAATGAGGAGCAAAGTCACATCTTACATGGTGGCAGGCAAGAGAGAGAGCATGTGCAGGGGAACTCTCCTTTATATAACCATCAGCTCTCTGAGACTTGTTCACTATCATGAGAACAGCCTGGGAAAGACCTACCCTCATGATTCAGTTACTTCCCACTGGGTCCTTCCCATGACATGTGGGTAGTATGGGAGCTACAGTTCAAGATTTGGGTAGGGACACAGCCAAACCATATCATTTCTCTCTTGCTTCCTCTCACCATGTCTTCTCTTTGTACATGCCTGCTCCTTTTCCACCTTCTCCATGAGTGGAAGCAGCCAGAGGTCCTCATCAGATGCAGCTGCTCAATCTTGAACCTTCAAGCCAGCAGAATCATGAGCCAAATAAACTTCTTTTCTTTATAAATTGTGCAGTATTAAGTATTCTGTTACAGCAACACTAAATGGACTAAGACATCATCAGAGGGATGGGGACACTGAGTGTTAGGGTGGGGTAAGGCTGGGGCCAGAACCCAGGTTCCTGACTCTTGGCCAGTGTCTTTCTCCATATAAATGGTAGAGGTTTCTCACTTTCCTCTGCCAGGGTGGAGAGCTTCACAATCTGACAGGCACTGTAGACTAAAGGGTACATCCATTATCTCATTTAATCCTCATGACAACACTGCAAGGAGGGTTTAGCCTCATTTTAAATATCACAAAACTGCTTTAGAAAAGTTATTATCTTGTGTAAGGCCCTGAATACTGAATGGCAGAGTCAGCATTTGAAAGTAAAACTTTATAAGGAAGTCCATGCCTTTAACTCTTACTTTACCTACCTGAGGAGAGTAGTGTTTGTCCTAAGGAATGGATTCACAAATGTAGATTTTCTGTCATTTGGGAACCACAGGAGTATTTCTGCACCCCTAAACTAACCCTCATTCCCCCATCCCCGCATCCCCCCCATCCTCTACCTCAGGGCCTTCTCACTGCTGTGGAAAGAGCTTGCCTTCTGCTCCTCTCCAGCTTGTGTCTCCAGGGATGGCTAAGTATTCTACTTGTTACATCCAAGCCAAGAGCATCCAACCCCAGGGTACCACTCCCTGCTGTCCTGACAGAGAACCATTCCCTGCTGTCCTATGTAGGAAACAAAGCACTTTGCCTAGGGTTAGTGGGAGAGCCAGCAGGAAGCCAGGGGCAGGGGGAGTGATCTATTCATTAGTCTCACCAAAATGCCAAGATGCTCCCAGGGGTAGAAGACAAGAGTACTTACAGAAGGGGGAAAAAGGGTTCTAGGGCCTTCTAAGTGGCCCAGGCTCCAGGAAGGGGACCAAGATGAAGGTTTGCCTTGCTTTTCTTGAGGAATACTTGGCCTTTCTTGTCAGTCAACACCCAAACCAAAGGGATCAGTCCTATGGAAGCCAGCCTTGTACTAGAGATGACCAGGCAAGAGCCTGGATCAGAGACACACCCCCAGAATACCCAAATTTTCTGGATGGAAGGACTTTGAGACAGCATCTCCTCCAAAGCTCTCAATGTACAATGGGGAAACTAAGATCCCACATGGGACAGATAGTTTCATGTTTCCATTTTCCTTAAGAAATACTGACAGTGGACACATGTCTTTACCATCAGATTTTAAAAGTTAATTTGCCATCCATAACACATTATTTGTAATAGTAAAAAACTGGAGCCAACTCAAATATCCAGCATTGGTAGAATAAAGAAATGTAGTAGTAGGATAAATAAATTGTGGTATATACATATAGTGGAACGCTATACAGCAATGAAAAAGAATGAACTGCTACTTTATGCCATGAAATGAATGAATTTCCCAGATAAAGTCAAACTAAAAAAGCCAAGCATGAAAAGCATATATACTGAATAAGTCCCAGAATGTAAAGTTGAAAAACAGTCAAGCTAATCTATAGGGAGAGAAGTCAGAATAGTGCTTGCCCTGGTGGTATGGACAATGACCATGAGGATCAGGAATGCTCTCAGTTTTGATCTGTGTCATGTGGCTACAAGAGTAAAAATTGGTAAAAATTGATTTATGCACTAAGGATTTGTGTGCTTTCCTATATGCATGCTACACATTATACTTCAATTAAAAAGTAAAAGCAATAGTGGGTAATTCTCTAGTTCATACATGTAAAATCACATGTAGATGCATCAAGAAACTCTGAAACGTGGCCATGAGGTGTCTAGGGTGGGTAGATCTGCAAGATAGGAGTTTGAGTGATTTTTATTTTTTTCATAATTTTCTGCATTGTTTGAAACTTTGCTTATAAGAAGTAAGCACTATATTTAAAATCAGGAAAAAAAGCTAGTTCTGCTTATTTTCAGGAAAAACATAATTGAAGTAAAATAAAAGCAAATAACCCCTGAAGAGACCTTTAAAAAGGAAGACTCCAAGTGAAGTATAATGGCACATCATAGACAATCAATAAATATCTGTGGAATGAATGAACAGCCCCATGAAGTCATTCCAACAGACCAGGAAACTGAGACTCAGGGAGAAATGCTTTAAAGTCTCATCTCCAATTACGGAAAAAAGGTTTCATCCTCATAAAGGGATGCATCCCTAGGAGGCATATGGGGCCCAGGGGCCACTGCCTTAGTCAATCCAGATCTCCAGCACCATGGGAGAGGCTGAGGGCCTTCTTGGAAGATCATCTGACCAGGAAGACCAGGGCATGGTGGTCCCAACCCTGAGATCATCACAGGCATGGTCACCCTCATGACCACTTTCCCAGAGACCACTGTGTGTCTGGCACTGGGTTGGCAGCCAAATTGACTCTCTCAACCACCTCATAATGGAAGTCTTGGTGGTTACATTCTGTAGATGAGGAAGGAGAGGTTTTCTTAAGTTCCTACTGCTGGTGTAGCAGTACCTGGGGGAGGCTGAGACAGAGGTGCTAAGGTAAGCATTAAAAACCCCATACAACATAACTCAGAATGAATCCAAATACACCACAGGTTTGTTTACCACCAGCAAAGCATGCACCTGGCCTACCTATCTGGAGACCTTTCTGTTTAAGTGCCTGCCCTAGGTCCTGATGCTAACATCTCAAAGGTCCTGAATGTCCGAGCCTGCAGAGGAATGGGGAGAGCAGCTCTGATTGGTAGCACAGAATGGACAGGTCCCTTTCAGGATAGATACAGGAGTCAAGAGCTTGCACTCTCATTGCCATTATAATGGGAGGCTTCCTGGATAAGGTTTCCAAATGAGAATGGCTAGAAAAGCACCTTGCCCTGCTGCATATCCTTCTGAGCTGGGAGCCAGCAACACTGAGGAAGCTGCTGAAATTCCCTCAAGAGGCCCCATGAAAAATCCAACTTGGAAAGAGGATCCTGGATTCACATGGTAGTGTTGAGCTGAGAAGCTTCAGGATTCTGGGTCTATCTGTTTTCAAACTGTCTCCTGCAACACTGGTTCATCAGAAGAGCCTCTGGTGCCACAGAGAGTGGATCTAGGTAACATTCCTTCCATGGACCTTCAAAGGAGAATCTCACCTTCTAAGTTTTACTAGGTTAAAGCAGTCGTTCCCAACCAAGGTGCTTTTGTCCCCCAGGGGACATTTGGCAATGTCTGAAGATATTCGATAGTCACAGCTAGTGGAGAGGTACTGATATCTACTGGGTGGAGGCCAGGAATGCCACCAAACATCCCACAGGGCAGCCTCCCACTATTAACTGGCCCACAAGCTCAATAGTGCTAAGGCTGAGAAACCCTTGGCTAAACATATGATATTGTCTATATTTGAAAATTTTGACCTATAAAAACACCCAGTGATTTCCCATGACTCATATTGAGTTTCAATAGATTTCAACTAAAGAGAGGGTTCTGAAGAATTTTTAAAATTTGCAAGCTATTAATCAAATCCAAACCCCTCCTTGCACAGATGGCAGCCACGTGGCCCAGAGAGGGTAAGGGGATTTCCCAAGGTCACAGGGCAGCAGTGCAGATCCAGACCTGAATGCAGACCCCCCTTCATCCCTAGGGACCCTCTCTGTCAACACAGAAGCCTGACCTCCATCGCAGGCTCATTTCTCCAACCACGGGAAATGGCTTCTTTCTCACTTACTGCTGTCATGCCCTGCCCCAGGAGAAGTTTCCCAGAGAGTTGTTTCCCATCACAAGCTTGGGATGATATTCATTCAGACTCAAAAGAAAATCTGTTTGCTTGAAAAGAAAGAAAATGGGAACAAAAGAACCTTATCTTCAAACAGCCATGCAAAGTAAGGCCAGCTGTAGGGAACTAAGACACACAACATTGATCAAGACAGAAGAGGCATGTGAGGAGTACATTGGGAAAGACAAGGCTTTCCTCTCGAGGAATAATAGCTCTGCCCCAATGGATAAGGAGCCTTTCACTCTAAAAGAATGAGCCCAGGGAATCCCATAATAAAGCTTGTGCAGGGACCTGAAAGAAAGGAGGGGAACTTGTCTTCCAGGAAAAATGAAATTGCAATGCCACAGCCACTTCCAGGGGCTGAAGACCCACAGCCTGCAGCAAAATTCTGCTTGTCAGGGCTGAGAAGGCCCCTGGTGATTGTCCAGAGGGAAAAAAGCAAGTGTGCCAAGCAGATTTGGGGTGAGGAACAAGAGTCGAGCTTGCTCTCACTCTGCAGCCAAAAGCCAGGGAAAGGTAGGCAGTTGGACCTGCCAACTTATACAGTATTCAACTCACTCACACTCCTTTTAGTATCAGGACACTTAAATCTCATCCACTCAGTACCTTGCCCAAGTTTCGTTCAAACACTTGTCTTTAAAGTGCACGTGGGAAGTGCTTATCCCATCCCACATCCTCACTGTGTGATAGGGAAACTGAAGCACAAAGAGGAAGGGGTTTGTGTGAGTCAGGGGGAGAGCTGCCCACCTCTCTCATACCTAGGCCAGGGGCCTCATATGGTTTGGCTGTGTCCCCACCCAAATCTCATCTTGAATTGTAGCCTCCCATAATTCCCACGTGTCATGGGAGGGGCCTGGGGGAAGGCAATTGAATCATGTGGGTGGGTCTTTCCCATGCTGTTCTCATGATAGTGACTAAGTCTCACAAGATCTGATGGTTTTATAAAGGGGAGTTCCCCTGCACACTCTCTCACCTGCTGCCATGTAAGACATGACTTTGCCATTTATTCGCCTTCTATCATGATTGTGAGGCCTCCCCAGCCATGCAGAACTGTGAGTCAATTAAACCTCTTTCCTTTATAATTACCCAGGCTTGGGTATGTCTTCATTAGCAGTGTGAAAACAGACTAATACAGGCCCTTTCCCAGAAAGGAAGGGAAATAAAGCCAGCAAGCACATACCTTGGAGGCATCTTATTAAAAGATGTTTGTTTTGTTTTTAAAGCTTCACACTATAAAGTTAAAATAAAGCCCCTCAGCAAAAAATACACAAGGCTGCCCAACCATACAGTTTGGGAAGCAAATTCCCCATCCTGGCAAGAAAGCCTTCCCCTTACAAAATGTATCCAATCCTTGGCTCGGGCCTCTCCAGATTTTCTATTTATCGAGGGCGGCATTTATATTCCCTGGTGCACTGAGCACCAGCCATAGTGGAGGACTGGAATCACCTGCCAAGGCCTGAATTTCCCCAGCTTCCCCCTGACGGTTTCCATGGCAAACACTTACACCTCTCATTTTATATGTAGGATTTAGGCCAACCCAAGGGCTCTTGCAAATGTTTTTTCTGACCCCACTGGTGTTGTTCCTCTTTTCCTCTTATATATCAGTGGGTTTTATTTTAATTTCGAGGCTTACAATTACATTGCAGCTGTGCTGGGATTGTCTGTCTGTTAGCACGTGGTTTAGCAGCCAGCAGCAGCCAAAATTCCTCATCCTTGTTCCTTTCAACAGGGAAGGATCGCAGCCTTGGTGAGGACTGTAATGAGGCACAGGAGAATTTACCCTCAAACTAAATCCTTCCTCTTTGATCTCAGCCTTTTTGACTGTGCATTTGGCTGCTGAATACTGCTTTGATCCTTCTGCCGAAAGCCACCAAAGATTTTCCATGTCCTCTCCTCTGTTTATAGAATGAAACAAACTTCATCCTCTGGCAGGCCAGGGCAGCCGGCAGCAGGGGATGAGAAATGCGAACATTTACTCTAATGATGACTGCATTTGAGGAGGCTGTGATCCATGGAGCATGGAATGGGTAGCAGAAATTTTCTTATGTGACAACTTCTGTCCAGTTTGGTCAAGTCCCAAGGATGGCCATCCCCACTCTCCCCCCACAAGTTATTACAATCCCCACAAGTTATTACTCATCCCCACAAGTTATTACAATCATTAACTTGTAGGCACCTAATAACATAGCTCCAGTGGGAAGAGATGGTGCAGTGTCTTCACTGTTTACCACTTCCTAACCATCAGGACTGACATCCTAAGGACCTGCCCGTGGGAGGGATGTGGGAGAGGAGACCACTTTGGATTCTTCTCCATGTCCTGACCTACATCCTGTGAAATCATTGTTTATTTAAATTCTTCCCCAGAAGATACTCAGGATGGAGTAGTTATTCACGGCATCATTTGCAGCTGTCAGAGTCCTGAACCCAGGGAATTTTGAAGGAAACTCAGAAGACACAAAAGTGCAGTCCCTGTCAGATATAATCTTATGCCTCTTGATTTATATATAGGAAGACATGGGGGGCATCATCCGAATTTCTGTCTCACAGCTGTTGCTTGAGATGCCACCATTGGTGACTCCTTCCTTACAACACATGTGCCTGGAGAAGGATGTGGGGTAGTGAAGCTCAAGACCCTTAGATGAGGGGATGAGTTTGCCAGACTGGAGAAGCCAGGTCAATATGGAAATAGGAGAGATCAGAAGAAAGATAGGAGAGAGAGAGGAAAGAAAGACAGACAGTATAACGAAGAAGGGCAACAAAAACAAACTGCACACTTTATAATTCTGATGGGGGAATGGCCATTTCACCTCTACTAGGCATCAGTCTGAAATGAGATCCTTTTGGTTACAGAGTTCTAGACCAGGACTCGTTAGTCTAAAGGGATGCAGAGAAAAAAAAAAAGACACAGCTCATACATCCAAAGATACTGCCTTTGAGTTGGTGAGAAACAGGGCACTCCTGGTATGATGCTCACCAGTGCACCTGTGTGCAGGTGTCAACACGCTTTCTACACCAGACTATGAGATCCAAGGGGGCAGGAGCCATAACTGCCTCATAAAAGGACATGCCTAGCACAGTGCATGAAACCAGAAAGAGGTTCAAACAATATTTGTTTTTAACAAACTAGTTAATGAAGAAAAAAAGAAACAAAGGAATTGAGTACAGAATATTGTCACTGTGCAGTGATTTGGGGCAAGATATATGAGTTCTGGTCTTGTTTCTGCCATTATGAGTATTTTTGAGTGAGGAGACCTAGGCAAGTCACACCAACCTCTCTGGTCTTCAGTTTTCTCACTTGTAAAAAGGGGATTATCATTTTCCCAATCCACAGGGATATAATGGCAGTCCAACTGCTTAGTAAGCTCTCAGAGACTAATAAGGAAGAAATAAGAGAAATAGTAAAAATAAAAGACAGTGAGGGAGAAGCACTGCTGAGCAGTGTTATCAGGTGGGCTTCTCTGCAATTTTACTCTCTCAGCAGTTTGAGATCTTACTGGAGTCTTTCTAGCTCAGATCCTCTTTACAGACCTTTTACATCAGAAATTGCAAGACCTGGAAAATTAACTGGCTTAAAGCCATCAAAGAAATTGTCTAGTTGAGAGGGATTTAGATTGCAACTCTTCCCCTATGGTACAAAGCCCTGTGTTGTAAGGGGGGAAAAGGGAAATATTTACAACCAGATGGGGAAAACGTTGCAAGAAGTTATTACAATCATTAACTTGTAGGCACCTAATAACATAGCTTCAAAATACATAAAGCAAAGACTAACAGAAAAATAAGGAGAAATAGAAAACCGTATACTCACAGTGAGATGATTTTAACAACACAGCCCCTGCTAAATAGGGAAATCAGACTACACTTGGATGCTCCAGAGAAAGATTTTTCACGTCTGGGACTGAGGAAAATAAAAATAAAATGAGGAAAAGGAGATTCCTGGAATTTAATTTATCTGTAGAGATGAAGAATTGGCATGATCACGAAAGAGACCCAGTTCAACTCACTGTGGTTTCACCGGGATTTGGGGCCAAAGCCAAGGCTAGAAATGAAATATAATTGTGCTTGTGTTCTTTCTCTGTGAATCTCTTTCTACCTGCCCCTGTCAGGAAGGAGTACCAGGATGGGGGCAGAACTGAACTTAAGTGTAGAAATAGCCAGGATTTGATAGCAGAGGGAAAGAGAATTTGTGACTTCATAGAAAGTCTGAGAAGGCCAAAGGAAGGCAGATCATAAGCCACCAACTATAGATTCACTCCGAGATCCTAATTCCTCCACTCCTGGACCCCTCAGGGTCAAATCTCTACTACTATTACCACCACCTGACCAGTGATTACACAGGCACTGCATAAATATGTTATACTCGTTGTCTCTCTTAATCTTCACAAAACCTATTTCAAATGGGAAGTTTTTAATACTAGTTCCATTATAGAAAAAAGGAAACAAGCTCAGAAAAATTCAGTGATTTACCTATAGTAGCACAGCTAATAAGTGACAAAGTAAATCGTAAGTGGAGGAAATAGACCCACCTGGCACAGCATAATGGCACCAGACACTCATCTTTCTAGTCTCAGGTCGGGCCTCCCCTTACCACAAGCCAGGGGTCAGCACCCCATGTTTCTAATCCATACCTCCCCCTACATCAGTCTAGAAGACTGCAAGCAACACAGAGTGTCAACTTCTCTTGTTCTGTCCTGGATGCCCAACTCCTAGTGCTATGTCTCACCCAAAGAGAGTATCAGGATATTTTTATTAAATTGAATTGAATAGATTGACAAAAATCATCCAAAATCTACCACACCCAAGCTCTATCCATGCAAGTGGAGGCACATGGCTACTTGAGTCTCAAGTTTTATAAATTTTCTTTCCAAACAGGTTGCTAAATGTGCCAGCAGCCCAGGGCAAGAAGTTCTTCTCCCCAGACTTCTTACAGCAGCAAAGTCCTGCCCTCCCCATCCATTATGTTTCCCAGGCTCTGCATCCAGGCTTTATCACACAGACAACTTCCTATGCAGACTAAGCATGGATGGTTTCCACAGTGAGGGGAGTTTCATGGCTAGGGGTCCTCTGCTTCCCAGTTGCTTTTCTCCTTTTATCCACGTTATCCTGGCACTCCCCAGAATATCTTTAAATCTGACTTTTTTTTTTTTTGAGATGGAGTCTCGCTCTGTCACCCAGGCTGGAGTTCAGTGGCTCAATCTCGGCTCACTGCAACCTCCGCCCCCCAAGTTCAAACAATTCTCCTGCCTCAGCCTCCTGAGTAGCTGGGATTACAGGCATGTACCACCATGCCCGGCTAACTTTTGTATTTTTAGGAGAAATGGGGTTTTACCATGTTGGTCAGGCTCGAACTCCTGACCTCGTGATCCGCCTGCCTCAGCCTCCCAAAGTGCTAGGATTACAGGCATGAGCCACCGTGCCTGGCCCTAAATCTGATTTTTAACGTGACTCTTCCTCCCACGCCCAGAGCAAGCCCCAGTTTCCCCAGGAAAACACTGTCCTGGTTCCTCTGAGCTCTGCAAAGCACACAGATAAAGTTGGGCCTTAGCATCAAGTTGCTGACGCAAAGTCCTCGTGATTACAAAACTATACGCGCAATGGAGAACAAAGAATACAATGATTAATTGAGAAGTGGGAGGAAAAGGATGCTTTTATTTTTTTAATCGCCTAGGAAATCTTTGGACACTTTAGACAAGCCATGTCATTTGATCATCACAACAACACTCCCAGGAAGTATTACTGTCCCCACATCACCTATAAGAACAATAAGACTCAGAGAAGTTAAGCTCCTTGTGCAAATCCACAGAGAGAGAAAGTGACAGACAGGATTTGAATTCAGGTCTGTCCATCCCCAGGGACCTGCAGCCTCAAACTGGACAAGCAGTACATCCTAAGGAGTCTGTTACAGACGATCAACTCTGGTGTCCCTCCAAGGTGCACACATTCCCTGGTAACCAGAAAGACACTTAGGCTTAAACAAGACAACGTCTGACTGAGATTGTCCCTGTTTCCTGGTGAGAGCATTTGAGGAGACGGGTGTTGATTGATGCGGTTTGTAATAATACTCATTTTTCTGCAATTACTCCTTGAATTCCAGCCAAAGTGGGCCACACGGAGCTGCAGCTGTACGAGATGTCTGGATTCTCCCAGTCAGCAAAGAGTTGGGAACAGGGTGGTCACAGAGGAGCCAAGCCAGGGCAGAAAGATGTCTCCATTCAGTGAATACTTATTGAATCCTTGCTCTGCACCAGATCTTGAAGGGAGGGAGGAAAAAGCCTTGAAGCTGACAATGTAGTTCCTTCATGTCAATTAAATGTTTATTTAAAAGAGTGCAAAAATAGAAAAAGGGTGGTTTCTTCCTTTGAGGGAAGCCACGGGCACGTGAATGAACACCAGCATTATGATGTGCTGGGTACCAGAATTGGAGTGTGCTGGGGAGTCCCAAGAGAGGGGCTTCCCAGGGGAGCTGGAGAAGACTTTTCAGAAGAGATATTTTTAAGACAGACCTTGCAGGCAGGTCTTATGCACCTGCTCAGAAGGTAGGTAAGAAGCTGAGAGGTAGACAGGAGGACCACCTTGGCTAAAAGCTGCGAGTCCTGAGCCAGCATGGTGTGCTTGAGGCACAGCAAGAAGTTCTGGGTCAGATGAATCGACAGTCCCACCTCATGCTAGCTGAGAGACCTCAGGCAAGTTTGTTTCTCTGTGCCTCAGTTTCCTCTTTCATGAAATGGAGAGGAATAGTCTCTGCCCATAGGGTTGTTGTAAAGATTAAAAAGTTATTACACATCTTATGCTCAAAACAGTTCCTGGCATAGATAGGTGCTCAATTAAGCTAGTTAATTTTATTTGGTGATGATGATGATGACGATGATAAGATACTAATGAGAAATAAGAACAGGACTTTAGGCCAAGGCCAAGTGATTGAGAGCTTCAGGTGCTATGGGAAGGAATGAGAAACTTCATCCCATGGGCAATAAGGGACTCTCTGTTTCTGAACGAAACTCCAGCAGACAGAAGGGCACTGGACTTGATGCAAAGGAGTCAGCTCCTCAGCATCAGCCATGTTTTGTCAGAAGGGACAAAGGATCCAGCTCCTGCATCATCAGCCATGCTTTGTCAGAAAGGGAAATAGACTTCCACGTTCATGAAGCCACTGTATAGTGAGGATTCTCTGCAGCTTAGCTTTCTCCCTAACTAATTTAATTGCCAAGTGCTATGCATATGAAAGGTTTTGGGTTTATTCGGTGCCTCCAAGCTCCCAGACTCCGTGTGATACTCATAGAGGTTATGTTGTGGTTGAGGAGACAAAGTTAATGCTAAGAAACAGAAATGTCTCAAAAAAGCATGCAATCAAATGGTTCATCGTGGTTCTGGGGCTCAGGGAGCACGTGACATAGGCCCTCAGGGAAGGGGCAGATAAGTGTGGACCAGCATAGTCAGAGAGGGCACCCTCATTATTCTCAGGTGAGCCCCCCACAGCAGGTGGCAAGGCCAACTCATTCATCTCAGGCTTCTTGGGGGAGGGTGCGAAGAGATGAGCTCGACCTGACAGGACAAGTCTCCTCACCACCAAGCCCCTGTCACTGTCCCTTCTTGTGACTGATGAGCGGGTCTGTGGAATTAATGAGGAAATCTCCAGGGCTCCTGGGAATTGAGATGCATGGCAGGTCTGCTCCACAGGAAACTGCCCATCTTCCCTCTTTCTGTCCCACTCACTGGATCCCTCCATTCCTACTCATCCCTCTCAAAACTGTTAGAAAATGGATATGGATATGCCACTGTCCCCAGAAGCCCTCCTAAGCTATCAGAGTATGCTCTGACTTACTATTCTCTTGTCTGGCCTCGGTATTGAAGAACCATCTCCTCCTTCCCCTGCCCTGTCTGATTCTTTATCAATTTGCTCCCCTCTAGCCCCCATCCATGCAGCCCTTAAATCAGCCTAACTCTCCAGCTTCATTTCTACTCCTTCACATCTTGGGGCCTCTGATTTCTTCACTCTTCCCCCTTGAACACCAGAGCCTCCTCTTCCTGTTCCTCTTATCCTGCCCAGTCCCATCTGTCAGCATCCCACTGCAGGCTTCTTGTCCTATAGTGTCTTCTCAGTTTTGTTGTTGTTTGTTTGTTTGTTTGTTTGTTTGTTTTTGAGATGGAGTTTCGCTCTTGTTGCCCAGGCTGGAGTGCAATGGTTGCAATCTTGGCTCACCGCAACCTCCACTTCCTGGGTTCAAGGGATTCTCCTGCCTCAGCCTCCCAAGTAGCTGGGATTAGAGGCATGAGCCACCATGCCCGGCTAATTTTGTATTTTTCGTAGAGACAGGGTTTCTCCATGTTGGTCAAACTGGTCTCGAACTCCTGACCTCACGTGATCCGCCCACCTTGGCCTCCCTAAGTGCTGGGATTACAAGCGTGAACCACCACGCCTGGCCCCCATAGTTCTTCTCTAACTGTGATAGTCCACACTAATCTTTCCCTTCTTGCTACCTGTATGTTTGAGGTGACCTGCAATTCCCGCAGTTTAGTTCATCTTATGTCTTGTATTGGCCATAAGTACCTTGACTTGTAGGCCTGATTCCCCAAATAGGTTGGGTGCCCCGTGGAGGCCTCTCTACTTTTCCACCTGCAGTGGACATGGTCACTTAGTACCAGCTCCAGAGTGGCTCCCCTTCTCAGGGGCTGAGGGCTGAACCCTTCTTCCTCCTTTCTCTCCATTCCAGACAAAAATTCCCCAAAAAGAACAAAGGAAGTTGTTCATATTTTCTCTAAAAGAATAAAATGCAGAGAGAATCTACAACAGGGAACGAATGCTCCACACTTGTAGACATGAGGAGTGGAGAGAAGTGATGGGATTTGTAACAAGCCCACAAAAGGGCAATTTTCATTTGCCTTCGTTTGGGTCAAGGCTGTACAGCCTCCTTACCTCTGAGAGACACTGCCCTCCACTTTCCCTCCAGAGCTGGGAGGACTGGGAACTTGGGAAGCCAGGGTGAATTTTCTCATTCCTTTCCACTTTTCCTCAATTCATTGTTGAGGAAATGGAGGGCTAGAGTCTTTCCTGCACCCTCTTTCCCACTGAAATTGGACACAGAATGAGGATAAAAGTTAATCTGCTAACTTCAACCCACTCCTCACATTCATCAGCAAAACCAGACTGTGCCTAGATGTCAAAACAAATCAAACCAAAAGCAAAGCAGGAATGACTGCAGTTAGACACCAAGGAGAACTGTGTTCTACATTGGGGTAGAACACAGAGAGGTGGCAGAGAGGAGCCATAGATATTTGAAGGAAAGGGAAAGGCTTTAATTACCATGGATTGAGCATGTGAGTGCGTGCGCACGTGCACACACACACACACACACACACACATGTCTGGAGGCAGAGGAACCTGATCTCACCCTCTCTTGAGTTCTGAGCTACCATGAATAAGAAAAAGGGGCCAGTGGCTAAAGTGAATGGCCCACAGGTGAACGGCAGAAGATCTGAGGTCTGTGGCCCCACCTAGCTCTATGTCCGCTGCACTGGCTGCCTGGGAAAGTTAGGAAATCTGAATTTTGGTTACCTCTGCTGGCCTTGGACAAGTTCATTCCCTTCTCTGGGCTTCATGCCTCCATCCTCAAAATGAGGGATCTGGACCAGATGGTCCCTAAGGAGCCCCCAGCCCTGCCTTCCAAGATGGTGTGAGTGCTTACTGTCTGCTGAGCCTGTTAGACACATTGCCTGCATGAGTGCCCAGCCTGAGTTGGTCATCCAGCCCCAGAGTTCACTCCAGGACATTCACCTCTGCTCCCTGAGTGCTGGGCAGGCCTCAGCCTCAGTGAGCCCGACATGCCATTTGGACACTGGCAATATCAGATGTGTGAGAAGGGACACCTGCCATTAGACTCCCTATCTCAGGACACAGAGAGCAATGGCGATGTGCCCTGTGGCCACACCCCCTCCTCCAGGTCACTCCTAGCTAAGAGGAATCCTGCAGCCCACTCTTCTAAGTGCACCATGCAGCCACCTCCAACAGCCACTGGCCTGAGTCCACTCTGCCATCAAAGAAGCCAAGGTAGCTGCTTACCCCACACCTGACAGAAGGCGCTATTCCATGGTTCAGCAAGGATGCCCTTCACCCCAGCTCTCCCAGTCCTCTCCAGCAGATAAAGAACAGCTTCAGTCCACCTCTTCCAGGAAGCCTTCTCTGATTATGCTGGTCCACACTCATCTACCCCTTTCCTGAGGGCCTGTGCCACTTGCTCCCTGAGCCCCAGAAACACCATTAACCATTTGATTGCACACTCTTTTGAGACGCTGCTGCTTCTTAGCATTAACCTCGTCTCCTCAATCACAACGTAAACTCCGTGAGTACCACATAAAGCCCAGGATCTTGGAGGGACTGAATAAAACCTAAACCTTCCATATGCACGCACTTGGCAATTAAATTAATTAGGGGGAAAGCTAAGCTGCAGAAAATCCTCAATGTACAGATTTTCAAGAGCATGGAAGTCTATTTCTCTTTCTGGCAAAGCATGGCTGATGCTGCAGGAGCTATGCCTACATCCCCTTGGTGCCCCATACCATTTCTGTACCCTCTGGCCCAGCTGCCCATGGCCAGCACTTGCATCTTTGCCCTTGGGCTGCCAACATTCACTCTGCTCACAGCATGTGGAAGACTGGAGGTACCAGGGTCTGATGGGTGTCAGGATAAAACTGCCCCTGCTTCCTCACTCCCTGGCCTGCCCTAAAGCCTGTCTCACACGATTTCCCAGATCCTCCCTATGGGATTAAGCTCTTGTCATCCACACTGTGGCTGCTTTTCCTTCTCTTTGTCCCCTCCCCACTCATCTGCCAGTGCTCCTGCCTCCCAAGCAAACTAATTCACTCAGTCCTCTTTTTAGTGCATGAACTGTACTAAGACAAGAGTGGCCCCAGGTCCCTTCCATCTTGTTGCTCTGCCCCAGCCCCCACATGTCCTCCTTCTCTGCATGGTGAAACTGTGTCCCAGGTATATCTGTGCTCCCGCTTACAGACAGGAAAACAGAAGATACTCAGGGAAGCAATTTTCCTGTAAGTGAGTGAAGTAGAAGCTGCCCCCATCCCTTCCTTTCATATGCCTTTGGTGAGAATTTAGCTACAAGGGAGGCTGGAAACACGCCCAGTTTAAAATCTATTAATAAGGACAAGAAGAAACGATCGTGGTGGACAACATACAGTCTCTGCTACAGAACTTGAATAATACTCACCCATTTATTGTGCTCCAAAATATGCCAAAACAAAGGTGCATGTCTTTCATGTGCTGCTTTGTTTAATTCTCACAACACAACAGAAGTGTTACTACTACTGTTTGCAGATAAAGAGATGAAGGCACTGAGAATTTCAGTATCCTACCTGAAGTATCATATGAGCAAACCCAGATCTGGCTTATGGGTTTTCTATTCTGCGCTTATTCTGTTTTTTATTCCCATAAATGTATTTTATCTGGTGCAGTATCCCTACTTGGAAGGTGACAGAAAGGTGGGGCCAGGAAAGGGAAGAGACTGACCCAACTCACATAGAGAGCAAAACGCAGAACTGGGCCAGAATCCAGGGTCCTGGCCACTGACCTGCTGCTTTGTCTATGAAGCCTCCTCTGAGCCAGCTACCTCCAAACAGCTCCTGCCCAGACCCAGACCAGTGCCTATGGGGCTGCCAGGGAGAGGGATGTGTATTCTTTGGTCTAGTTGAATTCAGAGCCCCCATCTTAGACCACAGTTGCATCTGAAGTTTCTAAATAGAAAATCTACCAAGCAAGGTGACAGTGATGGCCCAGTGTCCCTTGTTACCTGTGCAGCATCCAATGCTGTCAGCTCACAGGCCTTGTATCAACTCCCCGCCCCTCCCAGAAGTAGAGGAACATGTATTCTCATGGGCCTGACTGTCGGCATGCAGGCATCAGACAGGGAAGCAGGATTGGGCCACCAGGGTCCCCAGATCCTCCATGAAGTCATCTTCTCGCTGTCGTCAGTGTCAGTTGCCTAGCAACTGCCTTTGGCAGATGGTGGCACTGAGTGCATGCCAGTCTCTCCCATGGCTAAAAATACATTCCGACGACAACAGGTCTATTTTAAAAGATACAATGCGCTCCCAGCGTCTTTCCTTGTCTGTGAGGAGCTGTGCTGTGCCGGGTCTCTCTGGGCTTCTGATTTTGTCTGCTAGGGTGGAAGGGAGCATTCGAGGAAAAAAACAAAGGCCAGGCACCAAGGGGGTGCTCAGAAAGTTGTCATGGAGGAGAAGGAGGAGGAGGACGAGGAGGAGGAATAGGAAAAGGAGGCAGAGGAGGAAGAGAAAGAGGAGAAGGAGAATGAGATGGATGAGGACATGGAGGAGGAGGAGAAGGAGGAAGACAAGGAGGAGGAGGAAGAGGAGGAAGAGAAGGAGCAGGGAAAAGACCAGGAGGAGGGAGAAGAAATAGCGACCTGGGAAGTAAATGTGTAGTGTTCAACAGCAAATCCTCTACTTTGGCTATATTCTTTACCTGCTGGAGTGTGGGGTTAAGGAAGAAAAAGCACAGACTCACAGACGCCTAGAACTGGAAGAGACACAATCCCATTTCACCGTTGAGAAAACAGAGGCCCTGAGAGGTGAAGACAAAAAGGGCTCTTTGCCATTGTTCAGTGTGCAAGAACTGAGCCCCCAGGTGTGGGCATGAGGTCACAGACCTCCAGCTCCTCTTGCCTACCCACAGGCAGTTTTATCACCCAGCACCTTGTAACTGCCCTGGGTTCACCTTGCCGGCTGCCTAGACAGAGCAGATTTATCAAGACAGGGGAATTGCAATGGAGAAAGAGTAATTCATGCAGAGCTGGTTGTGCGGGAGACCGGAATTTTATTATTACTCAAATCAGTTTCCCCGAGCATTCAGGGATCAGAGTTTTTCAGATAATTTGGCAGGTAGAAGCTTGGGAAGTGGGGAGTGCTGATTGGTCAGGCTGGAAATGGAATCATAGGGGGGTCGAAGTGAGTTTTTCTTGCTGTCTGAAGTGAGTTTTTCTTGCTGTCTTCTGTTCCTGGGTGCAATGGCAGAACTGGTTGAGCCAGATTGCCGGTCTGGGTGGTGTCAGCTGATCCATGGAGTGCAGGGTCTGCAAAATATCTCAAGCACTGGTCTTAGGGTTTACAGTAGTGATGTCATCCCCAGGAGCAATTTGGGGAGGTTCAGGCTCTTGGAGCCAGAGGCTGCATGACCCCTGAACTGTAATTTGTAATCTGTAGCTGATCTGTTAGTCCTGCAAAAGCAGACTGGTCCCCAGGAAAGAAGAGGGTCTTTTCGGGAAAGGGCTATTATCTATTTTGTTTCAGAGTCAAACCATGAACTGAATCCCTTCCCAAAGTTAGTTCAGCCTATGCCCAGGAATGAACAAGGACAGCTTAAAGGTTAGAAGCAAGATGGAGTCAGTTAGATCTGATTTCTTTCACTGTTATAATTTCCTCAGTTATAAATTTGCAAAGGCAGTTTCAACCTCGCCAACTCAGTCTTTCTGTTTAATCACCATCATCTGCAGCCTTCCCTGGTACAAAGAGAGTATCAAGTCCCTTCATGAATGCATTTAGTCATTCATTTATTTAACAAATATTTATTAAGCATCTACTGCCATATGGTGCCAGGCCTTGGAGATACAGCAGGAAACAAATCCACACTGTTCCCACGTCATGTTGCCTGCAGCTCACTAGGTGAGGCAGGCAGTGAGCTGGCAAGCACAGGGTGCCCTGTGCTGCAGAAATCAGAGTCAGATCCACATCCGGGCCTACTTACTAGCTCTGCAGCCACAGACTTACCACTTAATCAGGGCTGCAAGATAAAATACAGGAGGTCCAGTTAAATGTGAATTTCTAGTAAATTACAATATTTAAAAATATAAGTATGTCTCCAGTATTGTATTACCTAAAGTTCAACTTTTACAGGGCCTCCTATATTTTTATTTGCAAAATCTGGCAACCCTACCCTTAATATCACTTTTGTTCAGTTTCCTCACCTATAAAATGGGGAAAATAGTATCTACTTACAGATAATCTCTTTGCATTAAATGAAAATATGTATATATCTGTGACTGGCAGGTAAATGTCACTTTCTCCCCTCTTCAAGAAGGACTTAACCAGGGGGGTTGGCCTGGCAAATGATGTGTCTGACCCATTGGTTCAAAAATCAGGATTTTGTGTTAGCCCAGCTGTCTCCCCACGGTCTGGTAGTAGGTGGTGGGTGGGGGTAACTCTGCTGTATCCTGAGGCTACGCCAGGGGATGAAGGAAATCTAAAGTTGACACCTGACTTAGAAAGAAACCAGGAACCAACCAGTTCTCTGGGAGTACGTGTCTGGCTGGGGATGCTTGCTAAGGACACCCAGGGTTCTATCTAAGACTCACTGCATCAGAATGTCTAGGGAAGGACATGCCCTTTAAACGAAATCCCTGATAACTTTCTGGACTCTAACGTTTGAGAATTGCTGGTCTGGGGAGCAGGGAGGAATTGCTGTCCCTGGAGAGGCACGATCCCAAAGGGCTGCTTTAGAATGTGGGATCCTGGCCTGGATCCTGGAACAGAAAAAGGACACTAGTGGGAAACTGGGTGAAATCGGAAAAACGTCAGCAGTTTAGTTAATGGTATTGTACCCTCGTTAATTTTTTAGTTTTGACCCTTGTGCTGTGGTTACATAAGATGTTAACATTAGGGAAAGCTCAGTGACGGGCATATGGGAACTCTGTGCTATTATCACTACTCTTGTGTAAATCTCAAATTAGTTCTAAATAAAAAGTTGTTTTTTTTTTTTCTTTTAAGCTTCCTTTGGCTCAAAGCCTGCATTGGGCCTTTCCCCAGTCCCATTGTGCATCAGAGACCAGTCTGTGTGTTGATATTACTCCAGGCTGGAATTAGTTAAGCAAGTGCAGGTAGCCACCCCCACCCCCAAACACACACCAGGTACCGGGAGAGCATTTGCTTCTCCTCATTGCCATTCACACTGGGGCTTAAATGTCAGCCCCAATGAATTACATTTTAATCTGTCTAAGTGATCAACCTGGCCAAGGCCCTAATTGGATGCCAGGCACACCCGCTGAATGACATGCATAATTCATCAGCTGGGAGGCTGCAGAAGGGCTTTCATCCTGGGCCAGGGAAGCGGGAGGAAAAGAAGGAGGGAAAGGAGAGAAAAGAGCAGTGGAAGGGGGTGGAGAAGGGAGGAGAGAGAAAAGAAAGGGGGAGGACAAGGGAGATAACTGGAAGGAGAAAGGTGAGATGTTTGGGGAGGGGAAAAGCTGGACAGTGGGAAACTTGGAAGGGAAGAGTTGGAGGAGAAATAGCAGGTGGGGTTGGAGGGGAGGGCAGGAAGAGGCCTGGAATATCTGATCATTGTGCTAACAACAAGGTCTTTAAGCTCCGCTAGAGGCCACCTCCTCCAGGAAGTCTTCATTCACTCCCCCAGGCGACCTTGGGCCCTCCTTCTCTCTCTCCCTTAATGCCAGGATGTACCTCTGTTTCACTTTGACTACTCACAGGTCCTATAATGTTTATGAAATCATCTGTCCCTCTCCAGACCCTGGATTCTCTCCCGTTTGCATGATGTCTGACTTGATGATGGATCACCATGGCCTGGCAGAGTCCCTGTGCAAAGCATTGAATGGCTGAAGGATAGATCTCTAGTTCAGACAATACAAAGAAACTATCTTAACATCACTATCCAATGGGTTCTTCTTGCTCACCACACAGACAAAACCAGACAGTGGCATTGCAATAAAGAAACAGTTTAATAGACACAAGACCAGCCACACCATATGGCAGACAGAAGTATTACTCAAATCAATCTCCGAAAACTCAGAGGCTAGGGTTTTTCAATGGTTGTTTGGCAAGCCAGGGATTCTACTTCTGGGTGGGGGCCACAGGACCAGTTGGGTCAGGGCAGGTCCAGGTACAGCCATTGGTACTCAGAAATGCAAACACCTGAAAAGACATATCAAATGGCCAATCTTAGGATCTAAGGTAGCGATGTTATCTGCAGGAGTAATTGGGAAAGCTACATATCTTGTGACTCCTGGAATAATGACTGGTAATGGTTTATGTCTACACCCTAGCAGAATTCAGCCTCCTCACATCCTCTTAACCTGGTGGCCTTTCATTAGCTTTACAAAGGTGGTTGAGTTTTGGAGAAAGCCTATTATCATTTATACTATAAACTATTTCCCAAAGTTAGCTTGGACTAAGCCCAGGAATGAGTGAAGACAGCCAGCCTATGAGGCTAGAAGCAAGATGGAGTCAGCCATGTCAGATTTATCTTATTATCATAATTTTGCAAAAGCGATTTCATTAACTAATTAACCCAAATAGGATTTAAACCACATGAGCCCCCTGGCTCTGCCATCAAACTTGCTTCAGCTATGGCAGTCAAGTTCCCTAACACCACCCTCTACTCAGCCCTAACCTCTGTCTTCCTCTCCTGCCTCCCATTTCCAGAGACCAAGAACCACACAGGAAAGTAAACACAGCTTTAGTGGAAATGAAAGGGAAAGTCCATATTTCTTTGGACACACCTCCTGCTGCCTAGTCAGGAACACAATCACTTCCCTGCTCCCTGCTTTCCCCAGTCCTCTCCAACAGGCCTTCTCTTCCACTCCAGCTGCTGGTCCAGGTTGCCAATCAACTCCCTGTGGTCAAAGTCAGTGACATCTTCTCAGAGGTATTCACCTTAACTGAACTCACAGCAGCATAGACTTCTCTCCTTGACACAATTTTCTCCTGACTCCTGACACCACACCCTTCTGCTCTTCCTCCTTCCACCTTGGCATCTTTATGCCCATTCACTCTGCTAAATTTCCCTTGTTTGGCCAAACCTTGAAGGCAGGCAACCCCCAAGGCTCACTCCTCAGAGCTCTGCTCTCCTCTGATCACTGTTCTTACTTTAATCATCTTATCCAGTTCCATGGTTTTAAGTGCCATCAAATACTAATGGTTGCTAAACACTTACTCCACCTTTGACCTCTCCCTTAAGCTCCAAGCACAAATATTCATTTGAATGTCTGTACTAGTTACCTATTGCTGCCTCACAAATTACCCCCTAAATTTAGTGGTTTAAAACAATGAATACTTTTTATGTCACATTTTCTGTAAGTGAGAAATCTAGTGCCACTTATCTGGGTGCTTCTAACTGAGGTTCTCTCATAAGATTATGGTCATGCTGTTGGCTGGAGCTGCAGTCTCATCTGAAGGTGTAACCAAGGGAAACTTTGCTTCCAAACTCACCCATGTGGTTGTTGGCAGGGTTCTGTTCCTGGTAGGTCATTGGACCAGGGGTCTCAGTTCCTCACTGGCCATTGGCCAAATGCCTTCTACAGATCCTTGCCATGTAGGCATCTCAGGCAGCTAACAGAGGGGCAACTGGCTTGCTTCAGGGCAAGGGAATGAGAGAACAAGAAAGAGTACCCAAAACAGAAGCCATGGTTGTAAGCTCATCTCAGGTTCCATCACCTCTGCCAAATTCTGCTTGCTAGAAGTGAGTCATTAAATCCAGCCCACACTCAAGGATAGCGAATTACAGAGGGCATGAACAGCAGGACACAGGGGTCACTGAGGCCATCTTAAACATACATATAAAATGAAGTATGTCCACAACAGAATTGATTTTCCCCATCCCAAACTTCTCCCTCAAGTTTTTCCTATCTTAAGAAATAATGTAGCAGCATTGTCATAATTGTGCTGTCAACTGGATAAGTTGAAACTGTAGCTCTCAGAATCCCCCTATTGCATGGTTCTGGGAGAGAATTGGCCAAAATAGGAACTTGCACAAGATTTGGAAAGTAGGAAGTGAAGCAGCAGTCAGCATCCTTGAAAGTTCATCATAGTCAGATATGCTGATGGGCAGGCACAGAGGTACCTGGAGTATCTCTGCTTGACCCCATGCTCTTCTATTTTGTGTCCAGCTTGTCTTTCTAATGGTAGGTCTCGCTGACCAACATCTACCCAAGGCTCACCTCCAGAGGCATGGCTGCAGGCCCAGAGAGGTACAAACTGCACAGAGGCAGCAGTATCCCATCACCCTCTACATGAGCTCTTCTCATGGCCTCCCCTTGGTGGCTGGATGTGCTGGGTTTCTTGAATATGTCCAACTACTGTTCCAACTATAATAAATCCGTCATTCCATAATAATCATAATGCTGGCTCCCTCTTATCTCAATTGAAATATCTCTTCCCCAGAGAGGCCTTTCCTGGATTTACCTCCCTGCCTATGTTCTATTCTTCCCATACCATTAGATTCTGAAAGAAATAATCATCACTAATCCTTACCAACTTCTTATCATTTCCCACATATGGCACTATATACTTTAACTATGCCATCGCAGATCATTGTAACATCATTCTTGTAATAAAGGGTGTGACTATTCCTATTTTCAATGGGGAAAAGAAGGCAAAAAGAGGTGAAGTTATTTGCCCAGGAGCTTACAGATAAGCAAGCAAATTGATGGTAAGAAGGGGATCTGAAACCACTTCTGCCTGACTTCTAACACATTCTCTCCATCACATTATAATGCTTCCCCATGTCTGAATCTGGAGTTGGGAGTTTCTTAGCCTCTCAATCTCAAGGTCTTCATTTGTAAACTACAGGCACCTCATAGAATGATCATGAGCATTCATGGTTCTTAGCAAACTTTTATCCCTTCCCACTTCCCCACCCCTACAAATCTCAAAATCCAGGGTGAGTATCTCTACCAGGGTGGGTCTTCAGAGTGTAATCAAGGTCTGAGCAGAGGATCTATGGGTCTATCCCATCTTATGGGGCAGATTTCATCCTGGAGCCTTGGAAGCATCCTACAGGACCCCCTATCTACCCCACTCCATCTCTAATCGGCTGAGACCCAACTCTCAGCCACATAGAGTCAGTCACAGAAGGCTGAGGGCTGGGCACCAAGCCTTCTGCTGGGCAATGAGTCCCTGAACAGGCTGAGTCGCCCCAGGGCACAGGCCTCCCTTCCTTCATGGCCTTCACCAGCTTTTTGTGTCAGGCCCTCAAGGCTTACGTGAAACTCTTCTGAGCTTTGTGCAACATATGAAGACATATAGTCAGAGAAACAGACTCATAATTTGTCAGGTCAAAGGGCTATGGAGAAGCTAGAGTCACTTGGGTGCCACTGTGATTAGTTTCATGTCCATTGCCTGCTGGTTAAAGCCTGAGGTCTTCGCCTACCACCCAGGGCCCTCTGGAATCTGTCTTTAGCCAGGATTCCCTACCCAAATGATTTTATCTTCGCTTTCCTCAGGAAGTATGGACTCTTTTGCTCCTACGACTCTCAGCCCAGAACCCTGCACCCTCCTGGTGACCTCCCTTTGTCTCTTTACCTGCTTTCTACCCTTGTTCAAAGGTACACGTCAAAGCCACTAGCCACATACTGATGAAACAACCTTTGTGAATGATTTTCTTTTAAGATTTAGAAAAATCTAGAAAAATCACTACTTTTAAAAAATCAATTTATACATTCCAAAAATGTTTTCCCATCTGTTGTCTCATTTTATCTACCAAAAATTATTAGGTGAGTTGGACATAAACCAACCCAACTGTAGAATTGTGGAAATAATCATAGCTGGCACATTTGAGCTCCTTCTTTTTGCCCGGCAGTGTGCCAGGCACTTTCCATGAGTTAAATACAGTGTGTCCTTCCAGGAGTCCTGAAAGGCAGCTATAGTTATTATCCCTATTCTCCAGAAGAGAAAACTGAGGTTCAGAAATATTTAAGAATGCCTGAGTCTTCCAGTTCCCAAATGGTAGCACAGAAGCAAGCTAGTTTCACATACTTCCACCACCCTTCCCCCACCAGCAGGATACAAAAAACAAATATAAGTGCCAAGATTATCATCAGAAATAACCCAGCAGTCAAAGATGAGGATGAGATAGTTTTGGGGGCTGCAGAGACGTGAAAAAACTCCGAGAAGGCAGTAAAAGAACTGGACTCTCACATCCACGATGCCCCTCCCCTCATTCTGCCCAGCACCAAGTATGCAGAAAATTGTTCTCCAACTCACTGTTTCTACACTGCAAAAGGTGAGATTGAGAAGAGCAACCAACTTCTCCACCATCTTGGGTTCTCTGACAGGAGACCTCTCCTTACCTTAACTCACAGAAAGCATCACAAGTGACTGAAAGGAGAACCATCCCTGATGTGAGGCAGACAAAAAGGGGAGGCAAGACCTACAGCAGCATCACACTGCAGGAGGTTTGTCCCACAGGTCTTCTGGGAATGAATCCCTAGCCAGCTGTCTCACACTGCTGAGGTATCCCCTTTGAGACCCCCCCATTCAGAAAGGGCACTGCTTAGATCATTTATTAGAAGGACGGCGAACCTGGGCTTAAAGCGCTACCTAGAGTTGAAAATGAGTCAATTACCTAGTGGTGAAGAATCTCTAAACAAATACATCCAATAAAAAACAAAAGAAGCCAGCCAGGGAAGACAGAAACAAATAATCCTTCAATGCAAAGACATAAACATACATCCATTAGAAGCAACTGCAAACAGGGAACCATGATCTTCTCAAATGGACAAAGCAAGGAACCAGTGACTGACCCTAACGAGATGGTGGTATGTTATCTCTTTCACCAAGAATTCAAAATAGTAGTTTTAAGGAAACTCAGTGATCTCCAAGATAAAACAGAAAAACAATTCAGAAATTTACCACAGAAACTTAACAAAGACTGAAATAATTTTAAAAATCAAACCAAAATCTTGGAACTGAGAAATATTTTTACTGAACTGAAAAATTCATTAGAAGCTCTTCTCAACAACAGAATGGATCAAGCAAAGGAAAGATCAGTGAGCTTGAAGATAGGCTTTTGAAAATACACACTCAGAGAAGAAAAAAAGAATGAAAAGCAATGAAGATTATCTACAAGATGTAAAAAGTTACCTCAAAAGGCCAAATCTGAGAATTATTGTTGTTCAAAGAGAGTTCAACAAGAATGAGAGATAAAAAGCTTTACTCAAAGAGAAAAAACTTCCCCAAATTTGAGAAAGAGATAAATATCTAGGTATAGGAAGATCAGAGAATTCCAAAAAGATCTGACCCGAGTGAGACTAGTCCACGGCATATAATAATCAAACTCTCAAAGGTCAAGGACAAAGAGAAGATCCTAAAAACAACAAGAGAAAAGAAGTAAATATTACACAAAGGAGCCTCAATTTGTCTAGCAACAGACTTCTCAATGGAAATCATACAGGCCAGGAGGAAATGGAATTATACTTTCAAAGTGCTGAAAGAAAAAAAACTGTCACTCAAAATTACTACATTCAGCAAAGCTATTCTTCAAATATGAAGGAGAGATAAAGTCTTTCCCAGACAACCAAAAGCTGAGAGAATTCACTACCACCAGACCCATCAGACAAGAAGTGCTAAGAGAAGTTCTTCAATCTGAAAGAAAAAAAAAAAAAAAAACCATTGAAGTGCAAAAAAAAAAAATTGAAGGCATAAAACTTACTGGTAAAATTAAGTATACAAACCCAGGATACTCTAATACTGTAATTATGGTGTGCAATCCACTCATAACTCTAGTATGGAGGCCAAAAGACAAATATATCAAAACAATAATAGCTACAGCAAACTGTTAAGAAATGGGTAATATAAAAATATGTAAGTTGAGACAAATAAAAGTCAAAATGGGAGAGGAAGTGGAGTTAAAGTGTAGGTTTTTAAAATTATTTTTGTTTCTATTCTTTTCTTGGTGATCTAAGATAAGTTATCATGTCCTTATAATAACTTGTTATATCTATAAGATATTTTTTGTAAGCCTCATGGTAACCACAATGTAAAAACTTATAATAGACTCACTAAAAATAAAAAGCAATGAATTAAAACATACTACCAGAGAAAATCACTTAACCACAAAGAAAGACAGGAAGAAAGGAAGAGAAGAGTTACAAAGCAACCAGAAAACAAACAACAAAATGTCAATAGTAAGCCCTTACTTAATAATAACACTGAATGTTATCACTAAATGTAAGTGAACTCAATTCCCCAATTAAAAGACATAGTACCTGAATGAATAAAGAAACAAGACTCAACTATTTGCTGCCTATAAGAAACCCACCTTACCTATAAAGACACAGAGACTGAAAGTGAAAGGGTGGAAAATGATATTCCATGCAAACAGAAACCAAAAAGGAGCAGAAGTAGTTATACTTATATGAGAAAAAATAGACTACAAATCAAAGGCTGTGAAAAGGACATAAAAGGCCACTACGTAATGATAAAGGGGTCAATTCAGCAAAACGATATAACAATTATAAATACTTATGTATCCAGTACCAGAGCTCCCAAAGTATACAAAGCAAACATTAATAGATCTAAAGGAAGAAGTAGACTGCAATACAATAATAGTAGGAAATTTTAACACCCCACTCTTGGTAATGAGACAGATCATGCAGACAGAAAATCAGCAAACACTGGAGTTAAACTACACACTACATAATAAGCCTAACTGACATTTATAAAACATTTCACTTAACTGCTGCAGAATACACATTCTTTTCACCAGCATATAGAATATTCTCCAGAATAGACTATATATCAGGTGATAAAACAAGTCTCAATACATTTTAAAAAGTAGAAATGATATCAAGTACCTTTTTTGATGACATGGAGTAAAATTAGAAATGAATAACAACAAGAACATTGGAAACTTTACAAACATGTGGAAATTAAACAACATGCTCCTGAATTACCAATAGGTCAATGAAGAAGTTAAGAAGGAATTTAAAAATTTATTGAAAAAAATGAAAATGAAAATACAACATAACTATATATGGGATACAGCAAAAGTAGTAATAAGAGAGGAGTTTATAGCAGTAAACACTTATATTTAAAAAGTAGAAAGACTTTAAAGAAACAACCTAATGCACTTCAAGCAATTAGAAAAGCAAGAAAAAAAACAAAATTAATAGAAGAAAGAAATAATAAAGATCAGAGCAGAAATAAATGAAATTCAGACGAAATAAAATTACAGATTAACAAAATGAAAAGTTACTTTTTTAAGAAGATAAAATAACAGATCTTTAGCTAAACTAAGAAAAAAAGAGAGACAACTCACATAAATAAAATCAGAAATGAAAAAGGAGACATAACAACTGAGACTACAGAAATACAAAAAGATTATAAGAAACTAGTATGAACAACTATACTCCAACAAATTGGAAAACCTAGAAGAAATGGATAAATGTCTGGACACATACAACCTATCAAGATTGAACTATGAAGAAATACAGAATCTCAATAAACCAATAATAAATAATGAGATCAAAGCCATAATAAAATGTCTCCCAACAAAGTAAAGCCCAGGACCTGATAGCTTCACTGATGAATTCTATCCAACATTTAAAGAAGTAATAAGAATTTTTCTCAAACTCTTCAAAAAAATTGAAGAGGACAGGACACTTCCAAACTCATTCTATGAGGCCAGCATTATCCAGATATGAAAATCAAATACGGACACAATGAAAAAAGAAAACTACAGGCCATATCACTGAAGAACTTAGATGCACAAATCCTCAACAAAATACTAGCACAAAATACATCACATTAACAGAAACAAGAACTAAAACCACTTGCTTATCTCAATAGATGTCAAAAAAGCATTTGATAAAATTCAACATCCCTTTATGATAAAAACCCTCATCAAACTGGGTATAGAAGGAACATGCTCAAAATAATACATGCCTTATATGACGAACTCACAGTTAAGTTCATACTGAATGGGAAACAATTAAAGGCCTTTTCCCTAAGATCTGGAATAAGACAAGTATGCCCACTTTCACCGCTTTTATTCAGTATAGTACTGAAAGCCCTGGCCGGAGTAATTAGGCAAGAGAAAGAAATAAAGGGCATTCCAACTGGAAAGAAAGAAGTCAAATTATCCTTATTCACAGATGACATGGTCTTATACTCAGGAAAACCTAAAGAATACACACACAAAAAAAACTGTTAGAATTGATAAACAAATTCAATAAATTTGCAGGATACAAAATCAACATACAAAAATCAGTAGCAATTAAATATGCCAATAGCAAACAATATGAAAAAGAGATCAAGAAAGCAATCCCATTTACATTAGCTACAAAGAATATAAAATACCTAGTAATCAATTTAACCAAATAAGTGAAAAATCTATACAGAAAACTATAAAACACTAATGAAAGAAATTGAAGCTGACACACACACACAAAGAAATATATTCCATGCTCATGGATTTAAAAAATTAATATTGTTAAAATGACCATACTACCCAAAGCAATTTATAGATTCAATGCAATCCCTATCAAAATACCAATGATATTCTTTACAGAAATAGAAAAAAAATTCTGAAATGTATATGGAATCACAAAAGACCCTTAATAGCCAAAGCAATCCTGAGCAAAAAGAACAAAGCTGGAGGCATCATACTACCTGACTTCAAAATTTATTTCAAAGCAATTGTAACTAAATCAGCGTGCTACTGGCATAAGAATAGACACATAGACCAATGAAACAGAGTAGAGAACACAGATATAAATTAAACACATTTAAAGGACAATAAATGATGCTGGGAAAACTGGATATCTACATGCAGAAGAATGAAACTAGACCCCTATCTCTTACCATACACAAAAATCTAAACAAAATGGATGAAAGACTTAAATCTAAGACCTGAAACTTTGAAACTACTAGAAGAAAACATTGGATAAACGCCACAGGACATTGGTCTGGGCAAAGATTTTTTGTATAAGACCTCAAAAGCACAGGCAACCAAAGCAAAGATAGACAAATAGGATTAGATTAAGTTAAAAAGCTTCTGCACAGCAAAAGAAATGATCAACAAAGTGAAGAGACAACCCACAGAATGAGAAAATATTTGTAAACTCTCAACCGACAACAGATTAATAATCAGAATATATAAGGAACTCAAACAACTCAATAGCAAATAAACAATCCAAATAAAAATGGGCAAATGATCTGAGTAGACATTTCCAAAAGAAGACATACAAATGGCCAACAAGTATATGAAAAACAATGTTCAACATCACTAATCATCAGAGAAATGCAAATCAAAACAACAATGAGATACCATCTCACCCCAGTTAAAGTGGTTTTTATCAAAAAGACAGGAAAAAACGGATGCTGGCAAGAGTGCAGAAAACGGAGAACCCTCGTACACTGTTGATGAAAATGTAAATTAGCACAGCCATTATGGAGAACAGTTTGGAGTTTCCTCAGAAAACTAAAAATAGAAGCACCATATGATTCAGCAATTCAACTACTGGGTATATGTCCAAAACAAAGCAAATCAATATGTCAAAAAAAATCTCTGCATTCCCATATTTATTGCAGCACTACTCACAATAGTCAAAATATGGAATCAACCTAACTGCTCAACAGTGGATAAATGGATAAAGAAAATGTGATATATACACACAATGAAATATCTTTCAGCCATAAGAATGAAATCTTCTCATTTGCAGCAACATGGACAGAACTGGAGGTCATGATGTCAAGTGAAATAATCCAAGCACAGAAAGACAAATATCACATGTTAAATGGGACTTAATCAAACTAAAAAGCTTCTGCACAGCAGAAGAAATAATCAACAGAGTAAATAGACAACCTACAGAATAGGAGAAAATATTTCCAAACTATACACCTGACAAGGGACTAATATCTAGAACCTACAAGGAACTTAAACAAATAACTCTTCTGTGGGAGATAAAAAAGACAGGTAAGGGTAGAGAGGAGGGGAAGAATGAAGAGAAGTTGATTAATAAGTACAAATATATGGTTTCATGGAAGAAATAAGACCTAGTGTTTGCTAGATCTGTAGAGTGACTATAGTTTATAACATTCTATCATACATTTTTAAATAGCAAGAAGAGATGAATTAACATGGTTCTGGAATGAAGAAAAAATATCTAAGGTTATGGACACACCAAGTACAATGATTTGATCCTTACAAATTATGTGAATATATTAAATTAGCACAAGTACCCCAAAACTATGTACATCTATTATGTATAAATTTTTAAAAAAGAATAGAAAAAAGGCAATAAATCTGTTCATTGTCCTTCAACCAATAACTATGAAGGGACTTCAACAAAAGTTGTGGAAAATGGAATTAAAAGATAACAAGAATATAAATTTTATCAGCAGAAGCTGCATCAAGTTCAAGATACTTTTGTAAGCATTAATGTCAGCCATTTAGTCCATCCCTAAAGAACTGAGGGTTCTTGCAATTTAACCATGTCAGTGAAGTCATTTTTATATTTTTAACTGAAGAAAAATGAGTGCCCCTTACAAATTTTTTAAGATTAGGAAATAAAAATAAGTCAGAAGAGGCCAAAGCAGAACTTTAAGGTGAATGCCTAATGGTTTCTCACCAAAACTCTGGCAAAATTACCGTTGTTTAATGAGAGAAATGAGCAGGAATATTGTCATGCTGGAGAAGGACTCTCTGGTGAAGCTTTTCTGAGCATTTTTGCTAAAGCTGTAGCTTTCTCTAAATATTATCATAATAAGTAGATGTTATTATTCTTTGGCTTTCAAGAACGTCAACATGCAAACTTCTGTGAGCAGCCCAAAAAACTGTTGCTAAGACCTTTGCTCTTGCCCAGTCTGCTTTTGCTTTGACTGAACCACATCCACCTCTTAGTAGCCATCGCTTTGATTGTGCATTGTCTTTAGAATTGTACTGGTAAAGCCATGTTTCCTCTTCTGTTACAATTCTTCAAAGAAATGCTTCAGGATCTTGATCTCACTTATTTAAAATTTCCATTGATGCTGGGAAAACTAGATAGCCACATGTAGAAGAATGAAACTGAATCCCTGTCTCTCACCATATACAGAAATTAACTCAAGATGAATTAAATACTTAAATAGAAAAAAACTAAAGACTTAAATGTAAGACTTGAAACCAGAAAAATCTGAGAAGAAAACCTAGGAAAAACTCTTCTGGACATTGACCCAGGCAAAGAATTTATGACTAAGACTCCAAAAGCAAATGCAATATAATCAAAAATAATAAATGGAGCTTAATTAAATGAAAAGGCTTCTGCACAGCAGAAGAAATAATCAACAAAGTAAATAGACAACCTACAGAATTGGACAAAATATTCACAAACTATACATCTGACAAAGGACTAAGATCTAGAATCTGCAAGGAACTCAACAAATCAGCAAGGAAAAAAACAAGTAATCTCATTAAAAAGTGGGCAAACTACATGAATAGACATTTCTCAAAAGAGAATATACAAATGGCCAACAATAGTATGAAAACAAATTCTTAACACCACTAATCATCAGGAAAATGCAAATTAAAACCACAGTAAGATATCACCTTGCCCCGGTCAAAATGGCCAATTTTTACAAGTCAAAAATCAATAGATGTTGGTGTGGATGCAGTACAAAGGGGATGCTTATACATTGTTGGTGGGAATGATGTAAATTAGTACAACCTTTATGGAAAACAGTATGGAGCTTTCTTAAAGAACTAGAAGTAGATCTACCATTTGATCCAGCAATCCCATTACTGGATATTTACCCAAAGGAAAAGAGGTTACTATATTTTAAAAAGTTACCTGCATTCATATGTTTACCACAGCACAATTCACAATTGCAAAGATATGGAATTAACTTAAGTTCCCATCAACTGACAAGTGGATAAAAAAATATGGTATACATATACCATGGAATACTACTCAGCCATAAAAAAGAATCATCTTTGAGGCTGGGCGCGGTGGCTCACGCCTGTAATCCCAGCACTTTGGGAGGCCGAGGCGGATGGATGACGAGGTCAGGAGATCGAGACCATCCTGGCTAGCACGGTGAAACCCCGTCTCTACTAAAAATAGAAAAAATTAGCTGGGCGTGGTGGCAGGTGCCTATAGTCCCAGCTACTCGGGAGGCTGAGGCAGGAGAATGGCATGAACCCAGGAGGTGGAGCTTGCAGTGAGCCAAGATCGAGCCACTGCACTCCAGCCTGGGCGACAGAGCGAGACTCTGTCTCAAAAAAAAAAAATCATCTTTTCCAGCAATTTGGCTGGAACTGAAGGCCATTATCCTATGTGAAGTAACTCAGGAACGGAAAGCCAAATACTGCGTGTTCTCACTTATAAGTGGGAGCTAAGCTATGGCTTTGCAAAGGCATACAAAGTGGTATAATGGACACTGGAGACTCAGAAGGTGGAAGGGTGGGAGGGGGATAAGGGACAAAAAAATCCCCTATTTTGTACAATGTACACAGTTCAGGTGACAGGTACACTAAAAACCCAGACTTCGTCACTATACAGTTCATTTATGTAACCAAAACCCACTTGTACCCTAAAGCTATTGGAATTTGTTTAAAAGATACTCAACCTTAATCTTAACAAGAAGTAAACGTCATTTTTAAGAAATAAAATAAAATTTCCACTGAGACTGTGCTCTTGTCTATAGCTGATCTGGGTGCAACAGTTTTGACACCCATCAAATATAAAGTTTGCTCAGCTTTTTCAGTCAGAATTTGGTAAGCTAAACCAATTGAGATGTCTATGGTGTTGGCTGTTGATTCTGCTGTTAATTGTTAGTCCTCTTCAATGCCTTTCCCCCATCCCCTGCTGTCCCACATGCTCCTGACCTGTCCTTGTCTTGACAATCCTACCTGTGTCCCCAGGACTCAGAGGTCCCAGGTGACTCTGACCTCACATCATGGGAAGGTCTTCTAGCATGCGTCCAAGGCCCTAGATGGATGTCGCTTGCTTCCCAGCCACAGCCTGCAGGACCATAGAAGCAGGTTAAGTTCAGGGGTGGAGCACAATCTGCAACATTAAAGACACAGGCAGGTCCACAGACCCAGAAGGTCTAGAAGCACATGGCCAGTGGGCTCTAAGACTCCACAAGCTGGAACCAGGGCTCACCTGGAGGTGAGCGGGTCACGTGGGCAATAGAAGGGAACAGATTAGGGTTTACCAAGGGAGCACATCAGAGTAGCCCCAAGGCATGGCCGAGTCAGACCATGAGATGCTTCCCACTCTCCTGGTAAAATGGCTTCCCAACAGCCTCGCCAAGGGAGGTGGGCGCTTGGCTCGCAAGCCTGGCTGGCAGTCACATAGTGCAGATGGGCTGCTGACAGCATCCCCCTCATACCCCCTCCTCAGAATCCCCAGAAGAGGGGGCGAGCAGCATGCCTGCCCGTACATCCCCTCCTGTCGCATTCAGACAATCTGGCTGCATCTCTCATGTGCACCCCACCCCCATGACTCCCCACATCCACACTGGCCCCTCTGCGCCTCCACATCCACAGATCCAAGTCATCACTTCAAAATCAGAGTGCTTCAAAATTAGGGCCAGGCCCAACATTTATGGAGACACCCTAAATACTCAGCAATCAAGATAAATACTATTTTCATGCAATATTTTTAAATGAGTGCAAAATATGTCCATGGTGAACAAACTAGCAAAAATTTACATGAAGACAGCATCCGACAGGGCATAGATTGTATTGAAGAAAGTGAGGTCGAATCATGAAAGTGCAGGATTAAATGCTGTCTTTATTGAAAATGTTGATGTTTTGCTCACGATGGAATGTTTTTTGCATTACTTTGAAATTTTTTAAAATATTTTTAAATATTGCAGAAATCTATCTTAAGTACTGATTTTTGGCCCCCACTTCAGTTCTGAGGCTGAAGTGAGAACCTTGCTCTCCTCAGCTTAATCTCAGTTCTGTAAAACCCAATTGTGGCCCCCTCACCACCTTCCTTGGCCCAGCAGTGGCTCCCCAATATTGTCAGGGCAAACTCTATGTCCTCTAGGTCTTCGTGGTTGATTGGATCCCTGCCCACCTCTTTGTCCCAATCACTAATGGTCAGATGGAACACACCCACGTAGCCATAAAGATTGTTAGAACATTGAAAATACTTCCTTATCCCAAGCACACCTACACCAAATGTTCCCTGACATCCTCCCTCCTCCCCCAGCAACCTGTCAGAACCCCCCACAATTCAGCAACCAAAGGACCAATGTCTGACCAACTGGATCCCCTAGGCTCTGCATATGCAATATTTTAAATAGTCCCCTGTCCAGCATCATCCTTTGCCAGGCTTCTCTCCCTGCTCCAGCCACACCAGCCTTTGCCCTGTCTCTCCGAATATGCTGTTCCCTCTGCCTGGTACTTGATACCTTCCACTCCCTGCCCAGTTATCTCTGACTTATCCTTCAGATCTCCCCCAAGTGTCACTACTACAAGGAGTTATCATAAGAGAGGGTCTATTATAAAAGCCAGTTTGGTTCTGGTTTTTGCACCCCTTAGCCATGTGATGCCTTGTGCCACCTTGGGACTCTGCAGAGAGTCCCCACCAGCAAGAAGGCCCTTGCCAGATGCAGCCCCTCGATTTTGGACTTCCCAGTCTTCAGAACTGTCCCAGGCTTTTCTGACTCCCTTTTGAATGGTTCTCTTCATGCTATGTGTTACTTCTGTGGTTCTAATCACGGTTGTAATTTTACATTGTTTGTGTGATTTTTTAAAAATCAGTTTTCCAGTGCTAAACTGTAGGCTTCATGAAAACAGAGAGATTGGGCCTGTATGTTTTATCTCCAATGCCTATCAAAATACTGACACATAGACACATAGTATTCCTTCTCCCTTGAGAAGGGGAATGGAGGAGATGCATAAGAGCCATTTATAGGAATGTCTTAAGTCATAGACAAAAAAAACAAAAAAAATTACATCCTACTTCAAGATCATGGTGCCTGAAATCCCACCACCAGTATGATTCTGTAAGGTTGGACATTTTTGGTGGATTACCAATTAAGCCCAAAACCCCATTTTCCATATGGAGAAATCAAGGCCCAGGTAGATAAAATGAGTTTTCCAAGGCCATACAGTAATTAGTGACAGAATCAGGGTTCTTGACTCCTAGTCCAGTGCTTTTTCCACTCCACCCTCTGCTATTCTTTCTTCATCCCAGGAATTACTTCCAATGTCCAAACTTCTCTACTGTAAATATCCTTCCTTCTCATTCCCTTCCTGCAGTCTATTTTCTACACAACATGTATTAGACAGAATGGAGTTGGGAGCCATGGAGAAGAGAAATCTATGCAGCCAATGAGGAACAGAGGCAAGATCCTTTAACCAAAGGTCCTCCACCTCACCATGATGCCCAAAAGGAATTAGCCTAAGTTTGTTCTGCCACAACACACGTGGACTCAGTCAATGACAGCCTACTGATGCAAGGTCAAGTGCAATCTTCTTAGCCTGACATGTCAGGCCTTAGATGATCTGGCCCTTGCTCTGTCTCCACCCTATCTCTTGCTATTGCAACTCATATCCCACATTGCAGTCATTCTGGACTGGCCTTAACCCTATTCTCACCCCTCTGATCCTTTATGCATGCCACTTCTCCTTTCTAAAAGGCCCTTCTCTTAATCTATCAGGCCAACTAATAGCCCTCTGTCCTTTGGGGCCTGCCTCAGGAATCCCCTTATCCAGGAAGCTCTTCCAACCTTCCCCCAAATTAGGTTAGATTGGGTTGCAAACCCACTGCACCCTGACTCCTGGCCTCTCACTACTCAACCATGAGATTTCTGAGGACAGGGACCTTGCCTTGGGCATGCTGTGTCTCTGATGCTGAATCATGTGATGCTTATGAAGCATCTACCACATGTTAAATGCATATCAGACATGGGCTGCCATGGAGTTAATGTTTGGCCCCTCTGAAACTCATGTTGAAACCCAATCACCAATGTCGCATTATGAAGAGGTGGGACTTTTAAGACCCTCATTGGGTCATGAGGGCTATGCCTTCATAAATGGATTAATTCACTCAAGGATTAATGGATAAATGGATTGATGGGTTATCAGAGGACTGGGTTGGTTATCACAAGAGTGTGTCTATTATAAAAGCCAGTTTTGTTTTGACCAGGAAGTGCCATGTGTCACTTCTCTTCACAGCTCATTGGCCAGAACCAGTCACACATGCAATTGCTATCCATGTGATGCCCTGTGCCACCTCAGGACTCTGCAGAGAGTCTCCACCAGCAAGAAGGCCCTCACCAGATGCAACCCCTTGATTTTGAACTTCCCAACCTCCAAAACTGAAAGAAATAAATTTGTTTTCTTTATAAATTGCCCAGTCTCAGGTATTCAGTTGTAGCAACAGAAAACAGACTAAGACACTGGGGGTACAATGATGAATACAGGTCTCTGTTCTTGTGGAGTTTACTGTCAGTGGATGAGACAAAGAGTAAATATGTTAGTTAGTTAGTTGCTTACTTCATTTGTTCATTCATTAAATGATAGATTGTTATTAGTGTTTAAAATAAATAGTGTGTGATGACAGAAAATAATGGGGGGGGGAGGGTGGGCAACTCTGGATAGAGTCATCAGGGAGTCCTCTCTGAGAAGGGTGAGATCTAACCTGAGACCTGAAGGATAGGAAGGAGCCAGCCATGAGACCAACCAGGCAGAGGAAATGCACAGGCAAAGACCCTGCAAAAAGAAAGAGCTTGTTGAGTCTGAGGCAGAGTAAGCAGCTCAGTGAGCTAGGGGCTGATGAGATGAGGTTCAAGAGGGAGGCAGGAGCCAGATTACACAGCAACTCAGTGATAAGTGCAACAGGAAGCCATTGAAGAACTCTGATCTGGCTGCTGCGTAAAGAATGAATTTGGGGGATACAAAGGTAGGAGTAGGGACATTAATTAGGTGACTATTCCACAAAATTTGGCAATGATGATGGAAGTTCAGACTAGGGTAGCAGGAGGGAGAAGAAAAATTGTGTGAAGATAAATCTGATATCTCAGTAGTTAAGTAACACTCAATACATACAGAGTTTATTTTTTGCCCACATGAGAGTCCAGTGTGAATTGGGAAGTCCTTCATCTTGCAGCTCTACCATTTGGAATACATGGCCTTCAAGGCCTATCAGGGAAAGAGAGAGATGAAGGAGGCACGTCATGGGTTCTTAACTGTTTTGACCAGGAAGTGTCATGTGTCACTTCTCTTCACAGCTCATTGGCCAGAACCAGTCACATGACTCCATTCTAACTGCAAAGGAGAATGGGAAATGGCGGGGAGGACATGGGATATCTCATAAGCACTTTCTGATGGAAATGGACTTACTCAAGATACCCTTTCGAGGTAGAAGTGATCTGACTTGTTGATAGATCAGATGTAGGGATTTGGGATAGTAGTGATAAAGAAATGGGAAGAGTAAGGGATAATTCCCAGATTTCCCTCATTAGCAATTGGGTGTAGATTTAACATATCCCAAACTAAACTATTGCCCTTCCCTTCCAATGAATCTGCTCTCTTCCTCCATCTTAGTTGGTGAAAATTCCATGTTTCTGGTTTCTCAGTTCAAAAGCCTTAGAGTCTTACCTGAATTGTATACTTTAAGTGGGTGAATTATCTCACTAAAGCTGTTACTATATGTATATACATATACATGACACATATGTATATACATATATACACATATCTAGAATCTGTTCACTTATTTTACCTCCACTGCTACTACCCTGGTTCCAGCCACCACCATCTCTCACCTGGACCACTGAAACACAGCAGCCAGAGTGATTCTGTTATAATGTAAAACAGAATAGGTCATCATCTGCAAAATACACAGCAAAGACTAAAACCACATTCTTTGCAATGGTCTACAAAGGCCTACATACTATGACCTCTCTTTCGTAACCCTTGACCCCACCTCCTCCTATCATCTCCTCTTATTCATTCTCATCCACCCACACCAGCCTTCTTGCTGTTCCTCCAATGTACCAAGGGTTCTTGTCTCAGGGCCCTTGCACTTGTTGTTCCTGCTCTCTGATTTGCTCACTCATACATCTCCTTCTCAATACTTTGCTCAAATTTTACCTTTATAGTGGGGTTTCCTTGACTGTCCTATTTAAAATTGCAATCCAACCCCAACCTCAATGTGTTTAATCCCCTTTACTCTATCAACACTTTTAGAGTATTTATCACCTTCTAATGTATTGTATAATTAATTATTTGTTATAGCTAGCATTATTGTTCTGCCTTTCCTCACTAAAATGTAAATTTCAAGAGAATGTATATTATTGTTTTGTTCACTGATGCATTCCAAGCATTCAGTAGACATTCAGTTAGTATTTGTTGATTAAATAAATAAATAAATATGTGAAATGTGTCATCACGTGGAATGGAGAAGTCTCTGGACCATAGTAGGTGCTCAGTAAATATCTATTAATTTAATATCAGTACAATATTGATCCACGGACTGGACTTAGAAATGTTTCCCACTGCATGGGGATAGGGATTAAATGAGATTATGCATAAAGTGCTTGACCCATAGTAGATTCTCAGTAAGGGTTAATTTACTATGACTTTGCCTCAAAAGTTATATTCTTCATTCTATTAGTCAGGATTATCCAGAGAAATAGAACCAATAGAAACCAAGAAATTGTGTGGGGTGTGTGTGTGTGTGTGTGTGCGCGTGTGCATGTGCACATGCATGCATGTGTGTCAAGAGAGGAAGAGAGAGAAATTATAAGATACTGCCTTGTGTGACTATGGAAGCTGTGAAGTCCCAAGGTCTGCAGTCAGCAATCTGGGGGCCCCAGAGAGCCCATGTGTAGCTCCAGTCTAAGCGCAGGGCCTGAGACGGGAGAGTTACTGGTGTAAGTTTTAGTTTGAAAGTTGGCAGCCTAGAGACCCAAGAAGAACCCGTGTTTTTTGTTTTGGGTTTTTTTGTTTTGTTTTGTTTTGTTTTTTTGAGACAGAGTCTCACTCTGTCACTCAGGCTAGAGTACAGTGGTGTGATCTCAGCTCACTGCAACCTCCACCTCCTGAGTTCAAGCCATTCTTGTGCCTCAGGCACCTGAGTAGCTGGGATTACAGGTGTGCACCACCACGCTTGGCTAATTTTTGTATTTTTAGTAGAGATGGAGTTTCACAGTGTTGGCCAGGCTGCTGTTGAACTCCCAACCTTAGGTGATCCACCCGCCTTGGCCTCCCAATGTGCTGGGATTACAGGCATGAGCCACTCACTGTGCCTGGTCTAATGTTTCAATTTGAGTCCAAAAGGTGGAATAAAAAAAGATATCCCAGCTCAAAACAGGCAGAAAGAGTTTCTTCTTATCTGTGGGAGAGTCAGCCTTTCTGTTCTATTTCAGCTTTCAACTGATTGGATGAGGGCCACCCACATTAGGAAGGGCAATCTGCTTTACTCAGGCTATTGATTCAAGTGTTAATCTCATCTAAAAACAGCCTCACTGACACAGCCAGAATAATATTTGGCCAAATATCTGGGCACCCCATGGCCCAGTCAAGTTGACACGTAAAATTAATCATCACATCCATCTTAGAATATGATTTCTTCTCCTTCCATATATCCAAAGTCCAACCATCCTTCAAGGCCCAGTAAAGAACCACCTCTTCCTACAAGCCTTCCACCACACTCCTTTTCACTCTGAGTTCTATACCATTTTTAAACTTTATTTATAGTCAACCTCAGATTCTCTCTGGGTAGATGTCTGTGTGTAACTTCTTTGCCAGTGCATTCTTCTATGAACTCTCCTGGTGATGTTTCATTCACTAATGCTTTTTTTTTTTGGCATATTCTTTCTTCCATACACACTCCACCTAGTCCTTCTGGCAATGTATACAGTATGAGAGACAGGCATGCCTTCCAACTGTCTCATCACAAAGTTATAAGAAATAGAAGTTAATAAACAGGAAGCAACATATAAAAACATTGAGTCAAAGAGATGGCACACAAAAGCTGAAATTTCCATTGCTGCCAATATTCCAATCTGTAGATGGGTCTTTAACAGTCCCCAAAGTAGGGAGCCCATGAGCCCATGTTCTCAGGCCTTTCTTCCTCCTGACTTCAGTTCGGCATTCTCTGATGTGGTGCTTCAACTCTCACTCCTCCTTGGATCCTCTGTCACCTCCAATCTTCCCAACACTCCAGTAGCCATGCTGTTATTTCTGGACCATCCTCAGCAGCATGCCTAACTTCCCATGATACTTGGAAATCTACTTTCCATGCCTCAAAGAATTAATGGAAGAGAAAGAATTCATAAAGAGACCTGGGGTTTGCCTTGCACAATGCCATCTTTGCAGCTCTGCAATCCCACGTCTTCTCCTCCTGTGTGTGTTCGTATGGAGCACTTACTGGAAAATCCATTTGAGGATCCTCTAAGATCTCTGCCCAGTCAGATACTTCTCCTCCCACACCCTTCTGGCCATGATGCTCTTTATATCAAAGCATCTACATGCTGCAAAGTGGGATCATCCTATGGTGTATCTTTTCTGTTGGACCCAAGCATACACCGGGTTTCTCCAGCTGGCCACTAAGTCTGAGGGCCAGTTCTTAGTCCAATCTTTTTTTGTATCTCCCTGACTTTTAGTAGTAGGTGCTCCTCTAATCCCTGCTAATCACTGAGTGATACCAATACAGATCAGAGGATTAGCTAATTCAGTGGAGGGATGCTTTTTGAGAGTAGACATTAGGCTGCTAGTAGCTTCCACCAGCCAAAATAGTTTTTATTTTAGGTGACAGGGGTCACACGAAGTTGAGGAGCACTTCAATGAGGAAAACATTTTTTGAGTATCTATTAAATATAAAGTATTGTACTGTAGCATTTACCAAGTGTTTACCATGTGTAAGACATCATCTCATATGCTTCATATATATCCATACACCTTAAACAATTTAATCCTGAAAACAACTCTGGTGAGGGAGCATTATAATTATACTCCCTTGACAGATGAGGAAACTGAGGCACACAGATGTTAAGTACAACAGCAAATGGGCTACAAGAGACCAGGCAGATACATGATACTATCACGAAGAGCAGAGTAAGACAAATACCACAAGAAAAGAAAGCAGAGAGGGTAGTTCTCTCACCTGGGATTTCCGTATGTGCTTTGCCTACCTGGAGAACTTAACATGTCCTTCAAGACCCACCTCAAGATCTGTGCATTTTAGTAAAGCCTTCTCTAACCCCTTCCCCCAGCAGAGCTGTCTCCACCCTTTGTTGGCCCCTCCTGCTGAGACATAGCATTGGCCCAACCCCAATCACCTTGCATGATGACTGCTTCCATATCTGCCTCCCTCGCTGGGCCATGAACTCTCCTGGAGGGCAGGGACAGATTGTGCTTCAAGGCCTTCTCAGCACCAACCCTTGTTGATGATAAAGCAGTGAGGCAGGCTTACCTAAAGGCCTCCATCCTGAAGTGACATGTGACTTCCACTCACATTCCATTGCCCGCAGCAAGTGGCATGCTTCTGGTTGCGTTCTACACCTCACACTTTGCCTGGTGAAATTCAGCTATGCCAAAACAAAACCAAAAAAAACATGGGGATGGGGACTGCCAGTTGGCTGAGTGACAAACAGGTGGCGGATGGCCAAGCCAAGTGGGCATATCATACTCACAACTGGGACGCCTGCAAAGAGGCACTTCTGGAAATGTAGGAAAGTTGTGAGTCTGGATGGTGTGGGCTATGGTGGAAGCCTTTGGGACACAGAAGGAGCCCACGCACCTTCTTCATAATTCTTCTCTTTATGTTAATTATCAGCCTGACCTTGGACAGGGCCCTTTCCCAAAAGGGTCCTCTTTCTCTCCATTGGCAAAATATTGGGCTACAAGCTTACTGTCTTGTGGTTGTAAGATTCCATGCTCTTGACAACCATGCCAGGCACCTGCCTCATCTATGTGCCAAAAATGTTATCTACCCCCTAGTTTGGGATCCTGAGAAATTTTAGCAAAATTTGCCAAATACTATAGAGAAATAGATACTTTTCCTTTCCCATTTTTAAAAATCATCTTTTTTTCTACCCACAACAATTTTCTCCTCCTCGAATACTGAGTTCCACGAGTGAATAAGCTATGTCATCTCTAAGTTTCCAGAAATGTAGATTCCATGGATCGAGGGAAAGAAGGGATGAACCATCTTTTCCCTTTCGTCACAGGAAGCTGCAGCACATTTCCAAAGTAAGATGGGCTTCTAATTATTAAAAATAAACTCTGGCCCACAGCCTGATTTGCACATTAATGTAGCCAGCAGATGCAGACTTGCAAACATGCTCTCTGGCTCCATACTGAGACCCAGCTTCTCTGCCCATTTTTCATGCTGAGATTCTCTAAGGACAACCATTTCTGTTTGGAGAACCATGAAATCAGCTAATTGCTCTCTCAAGGAAGGGGATGCTGCCCTAGGGCTTAAGGGGGCAATGGTTCCCTAGATTCTGACTAAGGAACTTAAGGAAGATGAAAGGAAACTTAAGATATGTAGATATGTTGGGAGGCCAAGGTGGGTGGATCACAAGGTCAGGAGATCAAGACCATCCTGGCTAACACAGTGAAACCCCGTCTCTACTAAAAATACAAAAAATTATCTGGGTATGGTGGCGGGTGCCTATAGTCCCAGCTACTTGGAAGGCTGAGGCAGGAGAATGGTGTGAACCCGGGGGCAGAGCTTGCAGTGAGCCAAGACCATGCCACTGCACTCCAGCCTGGGGGAGAGAGTGAGACTCCATCTCAAAAAAAAAAAAAAAAAAAAAAAAAAAAAAATATATATATATATATATATATATATATATATACACACATATATATATATACACACACATATATATATATACACATATATATATGTAGATATGTATTAAGACTTTTAATATTAAGTGGCAGAAACACCAACTGATACTGGCTAATGCAGAGGAAGTGGGGTGGGGGGTTGTTGTTAATTTGTTTTGTTTTGTGTTGTTCATGTACCTGAAAAGTCTAGAATGTGGGAGATGATTACTAGTTTCAGGAATGGCTGGATCTATGTGCTTTGGCAAGCTGATTAGGAGTTTGTCTTTCTCTTTTCTAGCTCACTTTCCTCAATGTGCCCTTTTACTCTCAGGCAAACTCTTCTCAAGCTGTAACAAGATTTCATCCCCATAGGTAAATAACCCCAGTGAAGAGAAATTCTGTTTCCTACTAGTTCCCACAAAAGTATCAGAAATGACCCTTGTACAATTTAAATCACATGCTCAGTCCTCAACCAATCATTGCAGCTTTGGGATAGAATACATTAACTGATCAGATCAGAGCACATGGAAGTAGGGTTGAGGTCCACCCCACTCACATCTCATGAACTAAGAGTACAAAGGGGTAGTTCCCCAAAGAAAAATCAACTTTAAAACCTGGACTAAATATGTGCACTGTTCTGAGGACTCTGTATAGTAAATACTAACAGGTAGATAGGGAAGTAAGACCAGAACTCAAAGTTCTATTGAAGTTATGAATTATTTTTTCCCCTCTGTTATTCTAGGACCAGAAGATGACATGGCCCCCTGACACCCTGATGTGGTCATTAACATAAATAGAGAGCTCTAGGAGACACTGTATAGTTCTGGGTCAAGAAGTAGGAAAGGGAACTCCTACTCTTAGATAGGAATGAACTGAAAAACACCATCAACAAATAAGACCTTACTGACATTTATGGAATACCCTCATCCAACAAAAGCAACATTCAATTTTTTTCAAGTGCATATTAAATATCCACCAAGATAGAGCATGATCCTGGATCATAAAACAAGCTTTAACCAATTTAAAATAATGGAAATTATACAAAGTATGTTCTCAAACTATAATGGAATTAAACTGGAAATCAGTAAGAGAAAAACAAGAGGAAAATATCTAAATGCTAACATATTAAACAACACACTTCTAAATAATTCATAGGTCAAAAAAGAAGCCCCAAGAAATATGAGAAAATATTTGAACTGAATGAAAATAAAAATACAGCCTATCAAAATTTGTGAAGTGCTTCTAAAATAGTGCTTAGATGAAAATTTATAGTATTGGTTAAAAAAGAAAGAAAAACAAAACTGAAAAAAAGAAAAATAAAGATCTCAAATCAGCCATCTAGGCTTCCACCACAAGAAACTAGAAAAAGAAGAGTAAAACAAAACCAAAGTAACCAGGAGAAAGAAAGCAGTAAAAGTAATGCAGAATCAATGAAATTGAACCTGAAAGGCTATGGAGAAAGTTAATCAAGTCAAAGGTGTTTTTTCAATAATTGGAAAAATCAAAATGTGTCTAGCAAGACTGACAGAGAAAGAAGAGATAAGATACAAATGATTAATATCAGGAATGAAAGAGAAGATATCACTACAGGTCCTGTGGCCATTAAAAATAATAAGGTAATACTACAAACATAATACATATAAATTCAAAAACTTAGATAAAATTGAACAATTCTTGGAAAACCACAAAAAACAAAACTCATCCAAGATGAAATGAATAACCTAAATAGTCCTATACTTATTTTAAAAATTGAATCTATCTTTTAAAACCTTTCAAAAAAGTCATTTCCAGGCCTGATACCTTTACTAGAAATTCTACAAAATATTTAAAGAAGAAAAAATAATAATTCTACACAATTTCTTTCAGAAAATAGAAGTGAAGGAAACATATACCCAACTCATTTCATGAAGCCTGTATACCAAAAACATACAAAAATAGCGACAAATAGAAAACTGCAGACTAATATCCTTCATAAATACAGAAGCAAAATTTCTCAGCAAAATAATAGCAACCAAATTAAAAAAACACATACACAACCAAGTGGAATTTATAGCAGGAATATAAGGCTGATCCAATATTTAAAAATCAATCAATGTAATCTACTATATTAAAATTTTAAAAGGCAAAATACATCATCATACGTAATCCAGAAAATGCATTTGACAAAATGCAACAATTCATGATAAAAAAAAAACCTCTCCATAAACTTGAAATAGAAGAAAACATCCTCAATCTGACAAAGAACAAATGTAAAAAGCCTACAGCTAACATTCTACTTAATGGCAAATTATGAATGTTTTTCTTATCAGATTGGGAGAAAGGCATGGATGAATTCTCACTGCTCCTTTTTAATATTGTACAGGAAGTCCTAGCTATTTGCAATAAGCAGAGAAAAGAATCAAAAGGCATACAGACTAGAAAAGAAGAAATAAAACCTTCTATTTGTAGATGACATAGCGTTCTATACAGAAAATCCCAAGGAATCTATAAAAGCTTCTAAAACTAATACCTGAGTTTAGCAAGATTGCAAGGCAACACACAAAATCAATCATATTGCTATATATTAGCAATGTATAATTGGAAAACAAAATTTTAAAACAATGTCATTCACAATACCCCTCCAAAAAGTGAAATACATATATAAGACCTGTATGCTGAAAACTATAAGAAATGCTTATGAAAGAGGTTAAAGAAGACCTCAATAAATGGAAAGATACACCATGTTCATGGATTGCAAAACTCAGCATAGTTACAATGTCAGTTCTTCCCAAAATGATCTACATATTTAACACAATTCCAATAAAAATCCCAGGAGGATTTTTTTTTAAATATTGACAAGTGGACTTTCGAATTTATATGGACATGGAAAAGAACTAGAATAGCCAAAACAATTTTGAAAAAGGAATTACAAAGTTGGAGCACTTACACTACCTGATTGTATGATTTCCTATAAAGCTTCAGTAGTCCAGATAGTGTGGTGTCAGCAAAAGAACAGGCACATAGATAGCATAAGGGAGTTTCTTGGGGTGATCAAATCGTTCTATATTCTGATTCTAGCAGTGGCTGCACAAACCTATACCTGAGTTAAAAGTCATAGAACAGTACATCCTTCCAAAAGTCAATGGTACTATCTTATACTTTTAAAATAAAATTTCTTTTTAGACCTTTTAATTGAAAAATAAACTTCCAAGGCGTTAAGTCAGTTCACTGGCGAAAAGAAAATGTTTTTAACAGAAGCGCTGAAACAATCCATATGGAAATGAATGAACTTCAACTCTATCTTCATTCCATACACAAACATAAATTAAGACAGATCATAGACCTAAGCATAAAAGTGAAAACCATAAAGCTTCTAGAATAAAACACAAAAGAATACTTTTGCATTCTTAGATTAGACAAAGATTTCTTCAGACATTAAAATCACGAAGCATAATGAAAACAATAGGTAACTTGAACTTAAATTTTAAAATCCCTACTTATGAAAAGACGTCATTAAGAAAATGAATAGTAAAAAACACAAATGGGGAGAGGTTTTTGCCACATTTATATCTGACAAATGACTTGTGTATAACACATAAAGAATTCCTACAAATCAACAATAAAATGGCAAGCTACCTTTTTTAAACTGGGCAAATAACTTAAAAGATACTTCACAGGGGAAGATACACATATAGCTAATAAGAAATGGTATTTAACATCAATGCAAATTTTAACTACAGTGAGACACCGTTTTATGCTCACCAGAATGGCTATTCTAACAATACAAAATGTGGAACCTATGAACCATCTGGAACTCTGGTGTGTCACTGTTGGGAATGTAAAATGGTACAGCCATTTGGATATCTATTCAGCAGCTTCTACTAAATTTACTCATGTGTCTATTGTATGCTTCAACATTCCACTCCTATTTCAACAGAAATGGGTTCATATGTGCACTTAAAATGTGGAAGAGGATGCTCATTGCAGTCTTAATCATAATATCCAAAATTGGAAATAACTCAAATGTTTTCCATAGTAAAATAGATAAACAAATAGTGGTATGTCCATACAATAAAATACTATTCTGCAGCAGTAAAGGAAAAAACAACCTGGATGAATCTCAAAAACATTACAGTGGACAAAGGAAGCCAGGCACATAATAGCACATACTGGGCGATTTTGTCTATGTCAAGTTCTAGAACACACAAAACTAAGCTAAGGTGATAGGAATCAGAACAGTGGTTGCCTGCGGGCTTGGAAGGTTGGCTACAAATGAGCCCAAGAGAACTTCCTGGAGGGATGTAAATACTTTGTAGCTTATTTTGGATAATGGTTTCACAGCTGATTACAATTTTCCAAACTCATGAAATTGAACATTTTAGAGTTGCGCATTTCTATTGTATATAAATTTTACCTCAATTTAGTTAAAAAAGAAACCATTTATAAATGTAGCACTTTATTTTCTACAAACCATTTTCACATCCATTCCCCTATTCCCTCCATGTAATCTTCTCATCAACCCCAGGCAGTAGGAAGATCAGGATTATTGTACGAATGAGTAAACTGCGAGAGATCAGAATGAGGGAGCGACTCCCAAGGTCACACACAGAGCAAGCTTTTGCCAGAGCAGGGACTAAAGCCCAGGTGTTAGGACTCCACAGCCAGTGCTCCTTATGCAATGCCTTGTTTTTCAACGTGTTATCCCTTTCTCTCTGGCATTACAGAGATCCCCAGGGGCACAGTAAATGTCAGCTTCCTCAATTCTCACCACATTAATCTCTTTTGCATACCAAAATTCTGCCTAAGATTTCATTGAAAAGTTTGTGAATTACTGATGTTACAAATGCTAAAAATATGCTAAAACAAACATACATATCCAGTAGCTTCTCTTTTCCTTTGCATAGCTTTGTGGTATAATTTGGGAGACATTAGAGTCCAATTTTCACTCTGGGCTGAAAACAGTTATATCTGTTTGAAACAGTGCAGGCTCCAGGCACCAGCTATTATACCAGAGTACACAGAACAGAAAGACAGGCCGGAAAGGAAGGGCTTTAACCACAGTGTGATGTCAGCCTAGTCATTCTCCCTCTCTGAGACTCAGTTTCCCCATCTTTCATACAAGGAGCCTGGACCAGATAAGCTTTAACTGAGTATCCAGTAAGAGGGTCTAGAGCTGAAGGGGCAGTATTCATCTTCTTCTGAAACCTCCCATATGAGCATTATCAGCCCAGGTATCCCACCTGAGGATTCTCTTTCCAGGGAAAAATCGCAAGTCATTGAGGTGAAGGGGACTCACCTCCATGCAGAGAAGTGACCAAGACCTCCAGGATAAATCATCTTCCATTTCCTGTCCAAGGAGACTTCAAGGGATCTGACAACCTCTCTGTATTACTTATGGGCTAAGAAATTGTATTGTGAAGACTTGGGTCCCAGTCCTGGTTCCATCAATAGCTGACAGTACGACTCTGAACAAGACCCCTCTCCTCCAGGGACTTTTTGCCTCACCCATAAAATGGAGTTAATGGCCCCTGGTGACCTCCTGGATTGTTGAGAAGATCTAATGAAGTAAAAGGTAAGAACATGCTTTGAACAGAATAAACTCTCTACCACCATTGGGGGCTCTCATTTTTGGGGAGAGGGAAGCCAGGGGCATCTTCTAGTCCCTGCAGTGCGGTCCAACCTTTTTTCCCCATCCCTGTGCAGTGCCACTCAGACCACTAGATGGCGGTAGCTGTCACTTGCCAATTCTGGAAAAAAGGGTGTGGGAGAGCCAGGGGGCCGTCTGCTTTAGGAAAACTAGGCCAAAGCCAGCCCGTTACATCACTTCTGATCCAAGCAGCCAGTTCAGTCTAGATTTTTCCTTACTGCAGGCGACAATGCAAAAAAACTTCCAGGCTCTTGCGCATTTCAACGCTAACTGTTCGGCCTGAAAAATGTCCTTAACTCCCAGGGATTGGTCCTGCAGGCTCTGCCCCATCTTCCCTGGGTACAGCTTCTCTACTTAGGGCCTCCTACTGCCCTCTCCAGATACCCCACCCTCAGCCATACTTGAAGTGAATTTCTCGTCCTGCCTTTAAATCTCAATCTCATTCATCAGGCACTTAATGATATCTACTTGTGTGCAAAGGCCTACACCAGGGCCCATGCTGGAGTAAGTGGGACCCAGACCCTATACTCAAGGGAAAGAAGGGGGACTACAAACTACATGAGTTCAAATCCGCCTCTGCTTCTCACTTGCTATATGCGTGATTTGAACCGGTCACTCAAGTTTTCTCTTCTTCAACTTTCTTCATTTTAAAATGGGGTTAATAATAGGCTTGTTTTATTGTTAAATGAACTCATACTGGCCAGTTCTTTGGCTTGGAATGGGGTCTAGCACTTCATAAGCAATAATCATTTATTGAGCACCTATTAGGGGTAGGTACATTATCTGATTTAATGCCCAAATTAATAGCTTGGAATGGGGTCTAGCACTTCATAAGCAATAATCATTTATTGAGCACCTATTAGGGGTAGGTACATTATCTGATTTAATGCCCATATTAATGGCTTGGAAAAGTTAAGCAATTTGCACAAGGTTGTTCAGTGAATCAGAAGCAAAGTTAGAATTTGAACCTGGTCTGTCTGACTCCAGGAGCGCTGCCTTCAGCTGTTCTTACAGAAAGTGAGCAGCTAAACAAAGGTACCAAGGGACCAGCAGACCTGCAGACTATACGGCCAGTCCCAGCAGCACAGCTGCAAATTGGGCATCCTAAATCTGCCATTCGGGTCTCAGTGATCCTGTTCTGGATTTAGCTCTAGCACTAACTGGGGACTAACGCTAACCTCTAGCACTAACCCCTCCTTGGGACTCAATTTATTCACCTATAAACAAGGCAGCTTGATAGATCAGTATTTTCCACACATGTCTAGTTGTCAAAATCATCTGCGGTCTTTCTTGAAAGTATGGAATTCTGGACTCCACGTCAGGTCTGCTAAAATAGAATCTCCAGGGGAAGGGTCTGCAGATCTATTTTTAACAAGCGATTCAGAAAACTCTTAGGACCAGGAAAGATAGGAAAGCATCCTAGGCCCAGATGATCTTAGCAATTCTCCCAGCTCCTACTATCACTCAGTCAGGCTCTTGATCGGCCTCCCTACAGACCCATCATGAACACTACAGTCCCTCTCCCTATGCCCCAGGATTTGACCCTCCTGAGCAATTCCCCACCCTGCATGGATTTGATAGCTCCTTCCTTCCTGTAAGGCACTTAGGCTCTTAAGGGAGGTAAAGCTATTTAAATAATGAATGGAATTTACAGTAGCATTCGGAATTCACTTAAGCAATAGAAACATGATTGCAGTAAAGTCCCTTAAAAATCTTTTCATCGGGTTAGAAAGAAGATAAAGTAACTTCTCCCTTGACTTTCCTAATATGCAAACCAGGATGTTTTGACAAGACTCAATTCTAAATTTCTGCAATGTCCATTTGGAAGGTGTAATGTTCACTGTCAGAATAACAGTGCCCTGCTGCCCCAGTCTGATATACCCAGAAGCTGTAGGTCAAACCACATTTCAGGCCAAGGGCAGGGTTACCAGCTCCTGTGTCCTGGTGGGGAGCCTTGTGAAAAAAAAATGGGAAAGAAGCTGCAAGGCACAAAGCCAGCCCCAGCTCCATTCTATCAGTTTGTACTATAAATCCTGTCGATCCTTGTTCTTCCTGTTTGCAGAGTCATCAAACAGCAAAACTGAGCAATATTGGCTGCCCATTTTTCCTCCTTTCTGTTGCAGTCTCTCAGTTCCTATGAGCAGCTGACCTCACTAACCTGAAACATACCTGAAATTCTCACTGTTAGGCCATGCCCTTGGGCTTAGGGAATGTTTTCTGGAAGAGTGTGTACCTTGGGTTGAGTTTTGGAAGATTGGTGTATCAGTCAGCTATTGCCATAAGAATGCCACATAACAAAGCACCCCAGTACTCAGTGCTTACAGCATTCAGTTATTCTCACTCATACATATGTGGGTTAACGGGGGCAGCTCTGCTGATCTCACTTGGGCTCAGCTGAGTTTGGCTCTGGCCTTTGGTTTGATCCAGGTACTCCAGGCATCCCTCAGTTCTTGGACCACCAGGTTAGCCAAGACGTGTTTCTCTTATTGTGATGGAAGAAGCCCAAGAGGACAAGCTCACCACTCAAGTCTATTTCAAGCTGCTGCTGACTTCACATCTGCTCACATCCCATTGACCAGAGCAAAGGGCAATGACATACAATCTGCCCAATGTGAGGCCAAAGCAAGTCACAGAACACAGGAGGGGCATGGGAAGGTTAAAATGGAAAGAGAGCCAAGTACTTGGGGCCACTCCCTGCAGGTGGGATGACACCTGGGAGGGACCCCGGGGAAGTTAGAGCTGGGCTTCATTTAGAATTCACTTAAGCAATAGAAAAACAGTTGCAGTAATGTCACACCAGGTTGTTTGCATCAAACAAATCACAATTTCAGCAAAAGATCAGATGGAGAAGAGACACTGAGTGATCATCTTGTCCCACCCCCTCAGCTTCCTGATAGCCTGATACGAAAAGGGGCTTATGGAAGGTCATTAGGCAAGTAAGCAGCAGAATGAAGAATATTATCTGTCCTTAGGCAATTTTCCCATCTGAGATGCTCCTAAACAGTCCAGGGAATTAAAATTTCATTTATTGACAAACATTTATTTAGCACTCACTCTGTGCTAAGTACTGTTCTGGATGTTAGGAATAAAGTGAACAAAACACTTCTCATAAAGCTTCCATTCTGCTTGGGGGAGGAATAGACTAAATAAACAAGGAAATCCATTGCATGGTGATAAGTGTTATGAGAAAAAATAAACATGGCGAGGGAGATGGTTAGTGCCAAAGTTGGGGTTGTAGGGAGAGGAAGTTAGTGTCATTGATTGGGTAGTGAAGGAAGGTCTCAGATAAGATCACATTTGAAATGGAAGTTGAAGGAAGTGAGGGGAGGAGCCATGAAGATATCTGGGCATTTTCAGCAGGGAGAACTTCAAGTAGGTCAGGAACAAGCTTGCCATGGACTGGAGTGAGCAAAGGGGACATAGTGGTAGGAAAGGTCAGCAGGACAGCAGGGGAGGGCCAGGTCATAAACAGCCTTGGGGGCCATGGAAGGGCTGGGAGTTTTGATTAAAATGGGATGGAAAATATTGGAGAGCGCTGAGCCAAGGAGACACACGAATGGACTTTGGTTTTAAAAGATCCTTTTCACTGCTGTGTTGAGAATAGATTGTAGGAGCTAAGAGTTTGGAACCTGAGAGCCTGATTAGGTGGTATAAACCAAAAAAAAAGAAAAAAGAAAAAGAAAATGTAAAAGAAGAAGTGATGTCGATCAATTTAGAGGTTGATTTTGCCCAGGTTGAGGACGTGCCTGGGATAAAGAGACACAAGCCACAATAGGATCTGTGGCTCATACTTTTTCCAAGGATGATTTTAAGGGCTTCAATATTTAACAGGGAAAAGATGGGCAGGCCGAGAAAGGAGGGAAAAAAAAGAGGGAGGATATGGTCACATTTTTCTGAGGCTTTGATTAGCACTCACTGAATCCACATGTTTCATGTGAAAAGGAGGGGGCAGAGGAACAGTCAATTATGCATCCGTCTCACGCTCAGTTAATCTGCACTTTACATAAGATAAAGTAAACACAGTACAGGAAGAAGTCGAATATAAATTCATCTCGGGGTAGGCGGTGGAAGGGGGGTAAAATTTCTAGTCTCCTCTTGTCCTGTACCATAAAGATAAGCTGTTAATTTACATTGTCAGGGTGAGGGAGGCCCCCTGGGGAAATTTGTGGCCTTCTATCTTGTAGCTATCTATTTATGAACAAAAGAAAAGGCAAGTTTTTTGCATGATTTGGTTTCCAAGCTTAACTTTTCCCTTGACATGCTGAGTTGAGGGTCCCAAGATTTTATTTTCCTTTCACAGTGACAATTGCTGTAATCCAAGCTAGGGATGGTGATGGTGGCTGGGACCTAGGGGTTGGCATTCCAGGTGGTGAGAAAGGGTCAAATTTAGGATCAATTTGGATGGTAAAGCTAAGCAGATTCCTTGATGAATTAGATTAATGTGGTGTTAGAGTTTGAGGTCAGAAATGACTCCAAGATTTTTGTCTTGACTGACTGAATAGATGTAGTTGCCATTTTCTGAGTTGGGGACAGTTGCAGAAGGAGCGGATTTGGGTGGGCAAATCAAAATACATGTGTAAGGGGCCGTTGCCTCCCCATACTTTCTGGCTGGCCATATGCAGCTCCTTTCCCCAATCCCAGGGCAGGTTTAAAGGTTTCTGTAGCCAAATATAGCCACAATAGTGCTTTGCTCTGATACACGTAATAATTCTCAGTAAATGCTCAATCATAGGTTGGGATCCACAGGAAGCAGACCCTGAGATGAAGTTTAGCAGGCATGAGGTTTATTAGGGTGTTGATCTTGGGGTCACTGCCAGCGTAATGAAGGGGAGGAGGCAGACTGGGAAGAGGGAGACAGTGAGCTGCAATGCAGTGCCAGAGAAGCATGGGGAGTTCTGAAGATGAGGTGATCCTTCGGAACTGCCTGAGTTGGGGCAGAAGGCTGAGAAAGTGGGCTGCTGGCCGCCAGGGGCAAAACCATTCTTTTATCTGAGGCAATCCCCAAAGGGGAGATAGCTGCAAGCTGTACCACTGCCAGCAGTTGGGGAAATATGTCCTTCATTCCTAGAAGCTGATCTAGGTGGCACATCACAATGCCCACCACATCCCCTCATGCCAGACACAAAGAAGCAGGCTGATTTCTTTATGTCCATCTCTTCTCCTGCACTAATAATTCAAGGCTGGTCAGCAAATGGCAAATCCATCTGAGTTCCCAAGCTTTCCAACCAGAGGTGAGGCAGGATAAGAACATCTTGACAATGAAAATAAACACAAAGGGAATTCCCGGTGGAAGTATGCCACCAATGGAACCATGGACTGTGAGTCAGCTGTTGGCCAGACTCAAGGGGCAGACCCAACCCTGGTAAATTCTTGTCAAACAACTCACCCTCATCTTTGGAAGTGTAGTTTAAGACATCAATCCTCAATACATACAAAGTTGAGGAGGCTGGATAAAAATAGTAAACCAGGCACAATCTCCACATTCCCCTTCTTATCCTAAACTCCTGGAAAAAAAGAAATAATAATAATAATAAACATTGATGATAACAATAATATAAATAAAATATAATATAACCAATACAGCATATAAGTAAGAATATAACAACATATAATAATAAAAATCCATAACAGTGTAGGAAAAAAAGAAGGGGTACCCACAGTAGATGAAAAAGTTAGGAATGCCTGAAAGGGGAAAGGCAGATGGAGAAGACTGAAGAAAGAAACCACATCCCAATAGCACAAAGGAGAGACCTGCTACAAGAAATGGAGGAGCACCAATGTCCAAGGCAGCAGGAGCACCCAAGGATGATTGACAGGATGATTGGTTGGGGTTCTGAAGAAAATCAACCTCGTGAAAGAAAAGTCCTAAATTTAACCATCTGAAGACTAAATTGGACATGAAGAACTAAATTTAACAAACTGAAGAACTACATCCCCATGGAAAGAATAGAATCAATAAGAAAATACTTTATAAAAGTCTAATTAGTATTCTCATGCAAGGGAATGTAGCACACATACAAAATTATCAGATGAAGGTCTTGGAAATTACAAACTTGAGTACTGAAATTTTAAAAAATCAATATATGAACTGAATATCAGAATAGATAAAAACTAAGAGAAAATGACTGAACTGGAAGATTCAACCAAGGACTTTTCCCAGAAACAGAACACACAAGGAAACACAGATGGAAGTTAAGAAAAAATGAAAGAGAAATGGAAAATAATTCCAACAGCATGAAAATCCATTTAACAGGAATTCCAGAAATTGGAAATAAGAGGCATGAAGGAGAAGAAATAATTGAGGCAAAGAAAAAAAAACCCAAAAAACGATGGAAGTCTTTAGATTGAAAAAAAAGATAGAAGTCTTTAGATTGAATGGATCTATCAACTGCAGAGTAAGTAAATAAAAAGACCCACACTTGGCCGGGCACGGGTGGCTCAAGCCTGTAATCCCAGCACTTTGGAAGGCCAAGGCAGATGGATCACGAGGACAGGAGATCGAGACCATCCTGGCTAACACGGTAAAACCCCATCTCTACTAAAAATACAAAAAATTAGCCAGGCGTGGTGGTGGGCGCCTGTAGTCCCAGCTACTCAGGAGGCTGAGGCAGGAGAATGGCATGAACCTGGGAGGTGGAGCTTGCAGTGAGCCAGGATTGCGCCACAAACTACACTCCAGCCTGGGAGACAGCGAGACTCCATCTCAAAAAAAAAAAAAAAAAAAAAAAAAAAGACCCACACTTAAGCTTTTTTTGGAAACATTTACAAGGAAGAAGAGAAAATTCTTCCAACGAACAAAACAGATTAATCAACTTTGGCTGCCATAGCAAAATACCACAGACTGGGGAGTTTAAACAATGGAAATTTATGTCCTCACAGTTCTGGAGGCTGGGGAAGAAAGAGAGTAATAGGAGAAAGTAAGCAGTAAAGAAATAAAAGTTTTTAATATTTTTTGCTGGGAGGATTTAGGAAGTGATTGACTCTAAATATCAATATGTCTCTTAAAATGCATCAATGCATCAATCTATGCATTAGCAATAAAAAATAGGTTGAATAATTTCCAACTATTATAGAAGAAAAAATGAAATGAGAAGTCATTTAAATGGAAAATCTTAGATTTAGAAACTAACATCCAGATACATGCTGCTTGTAAGATACACCTAAAGCAAAATGAGACAGAGAGGTTAAAAATAGAATACTGGAAATAGCTATGTTGTGCGAATTCTAAGAAAAAGAAAGCCAAGTTGTAATAATATCAAACAAAATAGAGCTCAAGGCAAAGAACAATGAAAGAAAGTAGGGGGATGGAGTATCCATGTTGATAAAATATAACATCAATAGAGACGATATCTCAGCCATGAACTTTTATGCACCCAATAACTTAGCTTCAATACAGAAAGCAAAAACTGAAGGATATACACAGAGAAAGTGTTAATCTACAATCATGGTAAGAGACCTTATTATTCATCTCTCAGAAATCACCCAATCAAATAGCTGTGGATCAGGGACAGTTAGAGAGAGTCTGAAGAACATACATATTAAAATTTTACAGTGTGATCTAATAGACATAGATGTTAAGAAGAGGAGACTTCATTATTTTCAGTCACACATGGAGCATTCAAAAAAAATTACTCACGTAGTAGGCCACAAAGGAAACCTCAACAACTTCATTAGAAAGAAGTCAGACAGGTTACCATCTGGGACAAAATGTAATAAAATTAGAAATTAATAACAAAAAATGGCCAAATAATTCTATGCACCTGAGCATGCTAAATACTTTGAAAATAACTCTTAGGTTAGCAAAGAAAAAAGTATTACTATTTAGAAATGAATAACAAGGAGAGGCCATATATCAAAAACCTGAGATATATACCTAATTCATGAAAATTTATAGTCTCAAATAAAGTTCTTAGAAATGAGGAAAAAATGAAAGCAAAGTCAATAAGCTCTTCAGTTCAAGAAGTTAGAAAGAGAAAAACAAAATAAGCTCAGTGAAATTAGAGGAAGATATTAATAAAGATAAAATGCAAAAATTAACTAGAACACAAAAAAATCAATAGTATAGATCAATAAAACTAAAAGCTGTTTCTTTGAAACTATCAATAAATTAGAACAGCCTGTGGCAAGACCGAGTGTGAGAATAGAGTGAGTAATGGTCACAAAAATAACAACATTAAGAAGTAATAGAGACATAGTATACAAAGCACATTTCAAATTAAAGAGAATTTAGACCAAAACATTTCAAAATCTAATGAATGAATAATTTCCTGGGAAACAATAAATCACAATAAACAATAAATAATAAATGTCAACAATTGGTTCAAGAAGAAAATCATGGAAGACCAATAATCATATAAAAATTAAAATAGTAATTTAAGATCTACCCCCACTAAAGTGCACCAGAGTAAGAAAGTTTATGGTCAAGTTCTAGCAAACATTCAAAAAATCCATAATCCCATGTGATATACTATGCAGGGCATGGAAGAAGATAAAAACTACTCTAACTCGTTCCATGTGGCTACCATAACCAAATACCAAAAGTGGGCAAGGAAAACATGGATGAAAGGAACAAGCCAATATTGTTTATGAGCAAAGATACAAAAATTCTATCTAAAGTATTAGAAAGTCAAAACTAATAAGGTATTAGGAGCAAAAAACGGAAGAATAGTCCAACATTAGAAAGCAATTGATGTTCCTCACTAGAGTAAAATCATCTCAATAGATACTGTCAACTGATGCTAAAATTTAATGTAATTTAACAACAATTTCTGATTAAAACAACAAATTCAACTTGTAATGTTTTTATACAATAGACCCACAGTGTACATCGTAGTTATGGTAAAATATCAGAAACAATCCTTTTAAAATCAGAAACCAGGTAAAGATGTCTATAATCACTATTACTTTTCAATATTGCTCTGAAAGCTTACGTAAAGACAAGAGAAGAAAATAAGAAATGTAACTCTGAAGAGAAAGAGACAAAACTGTTAGTATATGCAGTCAGTATAACCATCTGTCAGAAAAATCCACAAGAACCAAATGTGAGTTAAACAAGTTGACTAGATATAAAATCAACACACAAAATTAATAATTTTAATGTACCACAGCAATGACTATGTAGAATATATATTTTATGACCCTATTCACAAAAGGAAAAAAAAACCTGAAAAATACCTCAGGCAAATTTCATAAGAAATGTCAGCAGAAGTGGTATAAAGAGTTAGGATGTGAAGGGAAACCTGGTTGTGATGTTACTAGGTGGAGTAGAGCTTAAATACCTGGTTTTGTTTGTTTTGCTTTTTAGTTTTTCTTATTATTTTGCTTCAAATGGTATTTTATTTTAAAATTCTTAATTATTATGGGACATAGTAGATGTATATATTTATGGGGTACATGTAATGTTTTGATGTAGGCACGCAATGTGTAATAATCACATCGGGGTAATTGGGGTGTCCATCACCTCAAGCATCTGTCAGTTATTTGTGTTAGAAACATTCCAATTCCACTATTTTAGTTATTTCTAAATACACAATAAATTACTGTTGACTATAGTCAGCCTGTTGTGCTATCAAATACTAGCACAAATTCATTCTATTTAACTATATTTTTGCACCCATTAATCATCCCCACTTTTCCCCTGCTCCCCGCTGCCCAAGCCAGCCTCTGGTAACCATCATTCTACTCTCTATCTCCATGAGTTCAATTGTTTTAATTTTTAGCTCCCACATGTGAGTGAGGACATTCAAAATGTGTCTTTCAATACCTGCTTTTTAGGTTCTATTTCCCTTCCAACAGAACCAAGCTCAGATAGCAAAGGCCAAAATCAAACACCTGCCTGTTGATCCAAATGTGCCAGGCTTTGCAGGTTCGGTATTTCATTAGCAATTAAGAAAATAACTTTTCCAGAAGCAGAATGCATTGCATGCATTGGAAGCAAAGGGAAGGCAGCAGAAAGAAAATTTGAGGAAAATGGAAAACAAAGCCTGGAGACACGCTAAAGCTTCTCATAGTCGGTCCTGACCGAGGTGAAGCTCAGGAGCGGGAGAGGAGAGGTCTCTCCCCCTACACATGCCCCAAAAAACCAGGGTGGCCAAACAGATGGTGAAGAACATTTTTAAACCACTTTTAACACAGTAACTTTTTTTTGCCTGCTTGCTCTTTATTCCTTTAGTCAAAAGTCTTACCAGCTGTCACCATCTCAAGGAAAATGTCAGAGGCTTGTGGCTGCCTGTGCCTCTCCTCAGCTTGGTGCGGGAGAGAGGTGTGGAACCTCAGCCAGCCACAGTCCTGGCTGCAGAACTGCTGAAGTGGCCAAGGATAGGGGGAAGGCCCCTCACAAAAATGGACCCACCATGGAGGCTCGCAGCCAATCTCTTCTACATACAATCCCTTCCAGGAACTAAGCATGTATACTTTCCAAAGTACTTTCCCTAGGTTCTTATATCCTCCAGACACCCCTGAGATAAATATTATTCCCATTGCATGGAGAGAGCAATGGCAAAGCCTGGCTTCTAGCTTTGCAATCTACCACCTGTGGATTCTTGGAAAAGTTCCTTTTCTTCTCTGGACCTTAGCTTCTCCGCATGCACAAGGAAATTGTCCAAATGTCCTCCAAAGTTGCTTCCAACTCTAAAGCTCTGATGCATTGTCTAATACCAGTTAGACATCCCTGATCCTCCTCTCTGAATGACAGTTCTGGCTGCTGCTTCCCTGACCCCTTCCTTCTGCCCCAGGGAGAGCTCAGTGTACACCAAAGAAATCAGAACATGAGAACCGCAAGAGGCTACCAAAGTCACTTCCTTAACTTTTTTTTCCCTTCTTTTTCAAATACCAATAAGTAACTTCTTTAAAAGGAAGCCAAGTAGGGCTGTTAGTTTCCTGTTGAGTCAAAAAAAAATTTTTTTAATAAGTAATTTGCTGAAACTAATCCCCCCCATCTTTTAAAAATCACACAGTTAAACTGATTTAAAGAAACCTTTAAAGATGCATTTAAATTTTCTTTCCTCCTTGTTTAACTATATAATTGTTTTCACTCACAGTAATATTCTCTTGGAGGCATATGCTTGACTTATTTAATAAATCTTTCTCCACATTTGAAATCATCCATTAGCAATAAGGAGCTTGACGCTCCATTACCCACAATAAATTTCACTGCCATTAAATCGCCACATGCCGCATGGAGGAAAGGAGATACCAGTATGGCCTCTCTAAGACAGGGCAGAGTCAGAGCTCAGCATGGAGCCTGCTCTGAGCCTGCCTCTCAGTTCCTTAGCCCAGCCCTGGGTTCTCCTGGCAGTCAAGGTATCCATCTAGCCTACCGTGGGGGCTGACCCAGAGAGACAAAGTTGGGTGGGTAAATTTGCATCTAATCTAAGGCTCATCTTTCTCATTCCAGTGGGTTTGGGGGTGGGGTCCAGGCAGTAGCACCCTGTGGCTAATACTCACCTTTAGGCCATGGCATGAAGCAGGGCAAACCAGAACAGCCATCAGACTTGCCCTTGGTCCTAACACAAAACCTCAGCATCCCAGCTGGCCTTGACACAGAGCCCCAGTCCTCTTGCACATCATGTACATGGTACAGCTGATAAAGAAAAGTCAAATGAGTTCACCACTTTCCTCTACCGTTGCCAGCTGGCTGCATTCTCAGGGGACACTGAAGCTCAGCTTGCAAGCTGATGACGTCTCTGCTTACCACCAACGGGCAGCTCCAGCGTGGAGAGAAAGAAAGAAATCATTGACTGGGAGGACCTCAGAATCAGAGCTGAAAGAGACCTCAGAGGCCATTGATTCCAGTTCTGAAGCTTTGGTATGTCAGCATCACCTTGGGAGCTTGTTAAACGTACTCATGTCCAGCCCCACCACACACCAAGGAAATTCTAACTCAGAAGATCTGGGTGGGCCTGGGTGTCTGAAGCCTCAAGAGCAGCAAATGCTGATGCATCCCAGATTTTTAAAAACCAGTGATTTGGCCTCCAGTTTCTCAACACTGGCTATAAAATGTAATGAGCTGGGACCAGGCGTGGTGGCTCATGCCTGTAATCCCAGCACTTTGGGAGGCCAAGGGGGTGAGATCACTTGAGGTCAGGAGTTCGAGACCAGCCTGGCCAATATGGTGAAACCTTGTCTCTACTAAAAATACAAAAATAAGCTGGGCATGGCGGCGCACACTTGTAGTCCCAACTACTCAGGAGGCTGAGGCAGGAGAATCGCTTGAACCCAGGAGGCAGAGGTTGCAGTGAGCCGAGATTGTACAGCTGCACTCCAACCTGGGCAACAGAGTCTCGCTCTGTCTCAAAAAACAAACAAACAAAAAACCCAAAACCAATGTAACGAGCTGGGGAAGGTTTAAAAATACCAATTCCAGGGCCTCATGCTACCCTGACTAATCAGGATTTCTGGCTATAAGCCCCAGGCATCAGAATTATTTAAAAGCTCCCCAAGAGATAACTATAGGCCATGAGGATTGAAAACGACTATCTGGGCAGTGTTTTTCCCTTACAGAAGGGAACTAAGGCCCAGAGAGGGGTCGGAACGTGCCCCAAGTCACACAGCAAGTGAGAAGGATTGCTGCATAGAACCCAGGTCTCCAGCAGTCTGATGAGAGCTCCTTGTGTGCGCCAAGGTACCTGTGAGGAAGGAACAAGTTGGGCTCAGGTCGGTTACTGGTGCCCAAGGAAGAATGCCATGCCCTGGAAATAACTGTCACTCTTCAGGGAATCAAGCACCTAGGTTGGGTCAATGTTGCTGGTCTGGGACCACACTTCTAGCAGCGAGGGTCCAGATCCCTTTTATTTACCTCCTCCTCCCTTTGGAATCCCAGTGTCCAACTGTCAAGCAACAATTCCCAGTTTTCCACAGTCTCTGCACATAGTTAGGTCATGGAAATGAATGCACTTTGTCATCTGGACCTTAGGGAGGGATGCTAAGTGTTGTGAACGAATGGCATGTTGGGTAGATCCTGCCCAGATTGTAAGTGTTCTGAGGGCAGTTCTGAGCCCCCTTCTCTTGTCTCTCTTGGATTGGGCTGAACAGTCAAAATGTGAAGCATGCCCAAGACCCTGCATGGCCTTGGGCAAGTCACTTCCTTGCAAGAATCCTATCTGTAAAACTGGGATAACTAATATTCACCTCCTAGGGTGTCATTTGGATTAAATGAGACATTGGAAGGGAAGGGCCCAGCACAGGAGGGATGTGTAAAACGTAGCTGACTGTCTCAATTTCCTTACAGAGATGCCACAAACAAGGAAGAGACACTGAACTCAGGCTGCCTGGGTCCAATCTTGCTGTTTCACTTCTTAGACCTGGGGCAAGTGGTTAACCTTTCTGGCCTTGATTTTCTCTTCTGTATGATAACAGCACATGCCACAAAGGGTTGCTGTGAAGTTTAAATTAGAAAGTGCATTTAACATGCTTAGCACAGTGCCAGGCACACAACACCGTAAGCACACCATAAACATCAGCTATTATTTTGGCTACTGTTGTTGTTACTATTGGTGCTCCAGATCCCTGGCCTCCTTTGCAATCAGCAAGGTAAATGTTGGGAGTCCTATTCCTGGTAATGGTTGGGACTTGCATGGGACTTTCCACCTTAGGAAACAGACACATCATCATTGTAGTGAGGATTGCAAAGTATGGCCATAAGCCAGAGGGAGCTGGCTGGATTTTCAGCACCCCTAGCCTGGGACTCCAGTCCTCAGGGCAACTAGACAATGGTACCCTTCACATGGCAGGAGGGTATCCCCTGTTGGTGCCTTATGGAGTCTTGTTTATGCCTCTATCAGGGTACTCGTAACATCCGAGTTCAATCATTGTCTTGCCCTCCAACAAAGACCCCAGAATCCAGGGCCAGGCCTTTTTCAGCTGTGTGTCCCTTTTGAAGCCCGGGAAGCAGTAGGTTCTCTAGAATATTTACTGGATAAATGAATGAGTGAGCTAATGAATTCATATTGGAAATTTTTTTGAATTTAATAATCCTAAAAATCTTATTACCCTTTTTGGAGTTGAGCAGTGTGCTGGAGCCCCACTAACAAAGAGCAGGATCTACTACTTATCTCAAGACAGCCAGACCCATCCAGGATGGGGACAGTTTGGGAAGAAAAGGGAGCCCACAGGATAGAGATTTTCTGCTGGCAAAATTCTCTAATTCCATGTCTGGACCAGGAAAATTTCTCTGATGCTCTTGGAAGTACAGTATGGAAACTGTGGAGGGGGTTCCTGGAAGGAAAGTCAGGAGGAAGCCTAGAAGGGTAGACTCTGTCCTAGACCGATGTCCTGAATCCAGAGCCTCCAGACCACAGAACATTGGTCTTATGAATCAGAGTGAATGCTACCATTTGACTTTGCTTCACCATCACACAAAAGCTTGAATTTCCACTAAAACTGCAATTTAATACTTTAACATAGGGACTCCTCTACCCTAGCAGTGGTGCTGAGTTCCAACCCATTTATTTCCCCAAAATGGGCAACATAAGCTCCTTAGAAACATTTCAGATGGTCCCAGCACCGCACAGATGGGGAAAGCAACCAAGAGGAGTTTTGCATTGCCAGGAGTATTGATGGTTGGAATGCAATTGCTTTTGCAGTGATTCAGGAGCATGCTATGTTGCAAATGAACAGAAACCTGTAACTCTTGCATGATTAGGTCACTTAACTTAGTAAAAGATAGTGTCATCTACCTCCTTGTCTTCTCCTTTAGAATAACAGAAGGTCACAAGACTTAAAATAGACCCATAAAAGCCAAAGGTAAGTAGATAATCAAAAGAAATGTGGTAAAGTTGGTTTTCTATTGCACTGTGCACTGAGCATGAGGCAAGAGCAAAATTAATGGGCTCAAGCAAAGTTTAAATGGAGGTAGACATCTCTCCAACCTTAAGGGCTATAGGGATTTGTGAAGGTGAGAGATGTCCTTGAAATTAGTTTCACCTCTGCCCAGGCTCCTTGGAACAGAGACCATGTCACTGTCAGATTCATGTTACCATCACCTGATACAGTATTGCTCCCCTGGCCCATAAGAGGTGTTCGATATGTGTTTGATGAGTCTCCAGGATGGTGTAGAAATTACTCATAATTGAAAGAAGACTATGTTGAAAAAGAGAGAGAAGCTTTGCCAGAGGTCAACAAACTATAGCCTGTGGGCCAAACCAGCCTCAAACCATTTTTGTGCAGCTCACAAGCTAAGAATGGTTTTGACATTTTTAAATAGTTGGAAAAAATCAAAAGAAGAATATTTTGTGACAAGCAAAAATCATCAGTGTCCATAAGGTTTTATCAGAACACAGCATATTATTGATAGCTGCTTTTGTGTGTTACACTGTGAGAGTTGAGTAGTTGATATAGAGACTATATGGCCCACAAGGCCCCAAAAAATTTACCACAGGGTCTAATCCTTTACAGGCTTAATCCTCCTGTTCTAAACCTTTAAAATTGGTGAAGAGTTGGGGGAGAGTGAGATACACACACACACACACACACACAGAGAGAGAGAGAGAGGAAGGGAGAGAGAGAGAGAGTAACTTGGTAGCAGCGAAAACTGCTTAACAACCAGAATGCATTAGTCAGCTTGGGCTGCAACAACAAATTGCCATAGACTTGGTGGCTTAAACAACAGACATTTATATTCTCATGATTCTGGAGGCTGTGAAGTCCAAGATCAAGGCACCAGCAAATTCAGCATGTGGTAAGGGCTTACTTCTTGGCTTACAGATGGCCATCTTGCCCAGATCTTCCTCAGATGTCAAACAGGAGAGAGAGAGAGCACAAACACAAACCCACTCTGGTGCCTCTTTGTGTAAGGACACCAACCCCATCATGAGGGCTCTACCCTGATGATCTCATCTAAACGTAATTACCTTTCAAAGACTCCATCTCCAAATACCATCACATTGGAGATTACAGTTTTAACATATGGATTTGGTGGGGGTGGGGGGATACATTCAGTCCACAGTACAGAGTTATTAAAAAATGATATATGTAGCCTTGAAAAGAAGTGTTTTCTCTCACTGGAAGTGTCTGCAGATAGGCACGCACTTCTCAGAGATGCTTTTAGAAGTTTCAAGAATTAGGACAGGGAGCAGGCAGATGATCTTTAAACCCCTTCCAGCCCTGAGGTGTCCAGAGTTTATGATTCAGACACAATTGAGGCCAGAAGGTGCCAAGGTGACTCTCTGGTCTAGGGGTCTCTTATGCCTTTGGGTTTCACATCACGTTCTCCCTGCTCTGCCTGTCCTATGGGAAGCTTTTCTAATTACAATAAGCTGGAGGATCCACTGAAGATCATTCATCTATCCATCAGGTAGGCATAGCCAGAGATACTGGACTGTAAATTCTGAATGTATTTGTTAAACCTAAGTGATAGCAGTTGCTGACAAGGGGAAAGTAATTTCTTTATTCACCAAGTCTCAAAGCTTTTGATATGAGTCAGTCTTCAAACATAAAGGTGACTTTGCAGTTGCAGATGGTTTTCTGTGGCTTTTTCTCTATGGGACCACTATTTCTCATTTGAAGCCAGAAGAGACTGATGTACTTGCAGTTCCAGCCTTCCATCTCAAAGGGCTCTATAAGCCATCTTAACTTCAAAATTTTCCTTTTGGTATCAACACAGGCTGGATTTGGGGTTAGGCATTGTAGTGGAGATAGGCATGGAAGCTGTTCTTTTGTTTGTTTGTTTTTGGTTTGCGACAGCATCTCACTGTTGCCCAGGCTGGAGTGCAGTGGCATGATCTTGGCTCATTGAAACCTCTGTCTCCTGAGTTCAAGTGATTCTCCTGCCTCAGGCTCCCAAGTAGCTGGGATTATGGGCCTGTGCCACTACACTCAGCTAATTTTTTTGTATTTTTAGTAGAGATGGGGTTTCACCATGCTGGCCAGGCTGGTCTCAAACTCCTGACCTCAAATGATCCACCTGCCTTGGCGTCCCAAAATCCTGGAATTATAGGCATGATCCACCACACCTGGTGAGGCTGTTCTTTAATCCTCTTCTACCTAATGAATAGTCATTGATGTGGGCAAATGAGGGAAAGCCACAGAAGAGAGCAAAGAGCAGGCTGAGCAGCTCACCAGATAGCTCAGAGTAACCCTGGGGAATCCAAGTGGCTGGAGAAGAGGCTGATGTGGTTTAAAATTTTTTCTGTCATTTCGGATGGTGTAAGAGTCAGGTTTTACTGTAATAATGCTGTGTAACAAATAATCCCAAAATCCTAATGGTTCACAATATTAAGCATTCATTTCATACTCATGGGTCAACTGCAGTTTGGCTGTTCTCAGCTAGGTTTAGCAGAGCTCCACAAACTAGACTAGACCCATGCTTTGGGATGTTTCAGATCTCTTCTCTGTGTCTTCCCTCAGGATGGCACATGTTCTCATAATGCAGAGCAGAAGCTACAAGGGAGCTGGAAGAAACTCACTTAAGGTCTCAGCTTGGAATTTGCACTATGTCACTTTTGCCCACATCCCATTGGCCAAAGCAAACCATATGACCAAGCCCAAAATCAATGGTGCAGGGAGGTATACTAGAGCTATGGATAATCCATGGCTAGGACATAGAGGAAAGAAAGAATTATGGAGAAATAATACATCTAACACAGGGGGTGACCTCATTTCCCTTTACTTCACAAACTTTGCTGAAATGCTACAAGAAAATCAAGATCCTTTTCCAGACTCATTTAATAGGGCTCAAGGATTATAAAGAAATTTTGGTTTGAGATGGAAAGCATGAGGGTACAGACCATTATTCTGAATACCATTGGTCTCATGGATCCCAGGAGATACAGAAGTTTATGGGTGTTGGGGCTGAATCCTCTAGAACTTAAAGAAAAAAACACCAAGCCCACATGAATGCAGTTTCTCCTATCTCCACATCCTTTAAAGACTCTATTTAACCAGTTAGTCTGCTTGCAGTTCACCAAGATTGTATCCTGTAAGTGTTTTCACCATCAGTTAACATGTGATAGATTATTTCTGAATACCCAGGATAATGATAAGCTAAACAAAAAAGTATGGTCCTTTTTATGCGCTTGCTTCTTAACAGTTTACAAAATGTTTTTACCTACATGATCTCCTTTAACACTAACAACCATCCTTCCAGGTAAACAAAAGGAACACAACAAAAGGAAGATAACTCCATTTTAAGGAGGTTTTAAAAAGGTAAATGATGTGCCCAACTTCACAGGCAAGTATTAAAGATCTGGGACTGGAGATGAGATTTCCTAACCCCTGGCCCTCTCTCCCTGCTCCTCTCCAGCCACACCCACCTCTGTGATTTTCCTTGGGCACCACAATCGTGCTTCCCTCTCAAGGTATTTGCACCTTAAGCTCCCTCTGTCTAGAATGCCGTTCCTCCAAATAGACCAGGGGTTGACTTTCTCACTGTGTTCTGTTCTCTGCTCGATTGTGCCAACTTCAGAGGTGTCTGAGCACCCTGCCTACAATTATGCATCTCATTACCCTCTATGCTTTTGCTGTCCTTTGCTTTTCTGCATAAGGTTCATCACTCTGTGACGATACATTCTACACGAAGATGTCTGCTTATGTATTATCTGTCTCTCTTCTGAAATGGGAGCTTCACAAGGGCAGGAAGCTTGTCTATTCACTGCAGTATCTAGCGGCACCCTGAAATAGGAGTTGTATATGGCAAATGCTTAGTAAATATTTCTTGAATGAATGAATCAATGAATGGAATAAATGAGTAAATTAGCTTTAGTACTTTCTGTCTCCAGACATAACCCTCTCTGACGCCTCACCTATGGTAGGTGCCAAACTTTGCCAGAACTGTCTATGAGCTTCATTCGACCTTTAAGAAGAACTGAGCCCCAAGACACTATCAACGATGTTCCAACCCCACTTCAGGCCCTTCCAGTGGCTGTTCTGGCAACACTGTATGATCAGCAGCCTGGATCAGAGGTTTGAGGAGCCAAGCCAGAGTTCTGGAGGACCAGCATCTTGCATCCCTGGAGCAGAGGTCTTGAGACAAAGTCCTGGCAACTAGCATCTGCACCAGAAGCATGTGATAGGCTGGATTAATGCTCTAGGATCTCTTCATAAGCATGGCTTCCTTAAGCCAGTTTGCTACTTGGCTTCAGTCCCCAAAAGGCTCCTGCTAAGAGACCCCACTAACCCTGAGGATTTCCTTGATCACAGGAAGTACATAATCTTGTTTTGTCCCAGGCCCATCCTGTTGAAAGCAAATGAAGACCCACCTTGACCACCCCATGCAGTGGGAAGAAGACCCTCTCCCCTGCCAGTGTCAGCCTTGGTCCATTAAGGGTTATTATCCCACTACTCATCAACAGAAACCCAACTCCCACCACAGAATTTTAAAGTAGAAAAGAAACACGTGTTAAATTGTCTCTATCACTATGCAAACATCAAGATGCATAACTCACATTACAAGCACAGTACATCTCACATATATGGAACTACCAGCCATGTGACCTTGGCCGGACATCAAAAGCTTTCACTTCTCAAGAGCTTCAGTATCCTTCAATATCCACAAAATGGGAATCTGTCTCAACACATTGCTAGAAAGATGCTGAGAGATGATGTTTGATTCTCTAATGTATCTCTAGTGATTTATTTAACGGGTTAGTTTAGCTCTTTCCATTTCAGTTTCCTCTGTCATAAAAATGGGAAAGCTAAATAAATACTAAAGTTCCTGCCAGCTCTAAATGTCTATAAAATGTCATCAGATTGTTCAATGAATTTGGTAAGCTTGCCAAAGATTTTATTTCTGATACAATAAAATACATAGTACATTGTAAACATTTTAATTAGTAGAACAGATTGTATAATTTACATGATGTACATTGCATTATGTCAAATACATGTGTGGTAATACACCTCAAAATTATGACAATGTGTGACCCACATAATAAAAACAACTATTCCTTCCAGTTCACACGCCCAATGCTTAATTTGATTTGGAGATAAATAAAGCACGGAAATTACCAATTGTCTCATTGTTACAGTGTTTTAAAATACCAATTGCCTTGTAAAATGGATGTGGGGACAATTTACAGCAACCCAGGCTCATCGGAGGGCAGGAAGATGCCATTTCAACAGTCTTATCCTTTCCTGATGCCTGCATTGGTCTAGATATGAGAGCAGGATGTGTCCAGCCTCCAAGGGAATGGTGTAGGATTTAGTACCACAATCTCCACCGACTTAGACCAAGAACAGCCTTGGATTTCATGGTTGGCAGATTGCAAGGCCAACAGAGGAAGAGCTTTCCAGCATCAAATTTCCACCAAAACATGAGCTCTGCAAGGCCAGGGACTGAGACTATTTGCTTACCACATAATGCTTGGCACACAACAGGTAGTCAACACTTATTTTTGGAAGGGAAGGAGCAACAAGACATTACAAAGATCCCAGAGGGGCCCAAGCCATAGGCAAGATGACCTCTTGGTGGGGATATCGCCAAGAGAAGCCTGGCATTCCTGGGGACCGGGGATCTAGGTCTTTATGAATCCTGAGTTTCCACCAAGACCTGCAAAGATGAACACAAAATGGGGAGCCGAGGAGAGAAAAGACCATCTCTCTTTCTCATTTAGGTCCAAAGAGTGATGAATGGATATGGTATTGGCTGAGTTGTACTCAGCTGGGTGATTTCTCTTCAGGAACACGGACTTTCAGAAGCAAATTTACATCTGAAGCTGGACTGCTGGTGAAATGAATAATAGAGTTCAGCCCAGGCTGGGAAAAGCATGGGCTAAACTATAAGCATGGTCTCAAGAAGAATCAAAGCTTGGCCTCTATATTAGCTTCCTAAGGCTGCCATAACAAAGCACCACACCCTGGGTGGCTTAAAACAACAGAACTGTATTCCCTCACAGTTCTGGAAGCCAGAAGTCTGAAATCAAAGTGACAGCTGGGCCTTGTTCCCTCTGAAAGGTCTAGGTAAGAATGCTTCCTTGCCTCTTTCAAGCTTCTGGTGGTTTTCATGGCATTCCTTGCCTTGCAGCTGCGTCACTCCGATCTCTGCCTCTGTCTTCATAAGGCCTTCTTCCCTGTGTCTGTGTTACTCTGTCCAAATTTCCCTCTCTTATACGGACAGCAGCCTTGGATTAAGATCTACCTTAACCCAGTATGACCTCATCTTAACTGAACTAGTTACATGTGCAAAGATCCTATTTTCAAATAAAGCCATATGCTAAGGATTCAGTGAACATGAAGTTTTGGGAGACAATATTCAACTCAGCACAGCCTCCAAGGGTTATAATGGGACACTCTCCCTGTGGGAGCTTGGCTGGGTCTCAGAGCCTAGGCACTCCAATGGCAATGTTTGCCCTTCTGGGGCTCTCAAACCCCTTCTGCCACTAATGTGCTGGCCTCAGGGGAGGGTGGCACTGTGTCTCCTTTAAACACACACACACACACACACACACACACACACACACACACACAGAGAGAGAGAGTTAGTTAGCAGACAATCTGAAGGTTCTTTTAAGTTCAGTGGGGAAGCCCTGCCATCTCCACAGAGCAGGGACCCTACAAGATCCTCACCTCCTAAAGTGACCACAAGGGTGTGGATATGGCTGAAGTCATATGAATCCAAGACAGGGAGACCACTGAAGCCAGCATCCCTGCTCCTGACCTCCCTGGATGCTCTAGCAGTCTCTGCAAGAGAGTCCTGGCCCCAGCTCCTCCCCACAGGGCTGTGGCTTGGTTCTTGTCTCCACAGACAAACCAGTAAGCCTCAGAAGGGATGCATGAGGTGTGTGTGTGTGTGTGTGTGTGTGTGTGTGTGTGTGTGTGTGTACACGTGTGCATGTGCTCAGTGCTCTCCTGGAACTGCTTAGCCCTGAGACAGCAAGGGGTTAAGGGAAAAGAGTGAGTAGAATCAGAACACAAGAGGACCTCTCCCTCCTTTCAGTAACCAGTGGAATGCTGCTCTGCCAGTTCTATGTGATTAACCTGAATTGCCTTGTCACTGAGGGATGAACAGACCTTTAAAAGCCAGCTAATGTGGCGGGTGCCTGTAGTTCCAGCTACTCGGGAGGCTGAGGCAGGAGTATCTCTTGAACCCGGGAGGCAGAGGTTGCAGTGAGCCAAGATCGCGCCACTTCACTGCAGCCTGGCGACACAGAGAGACTCCGTCTCAAAAAATAATAATAATAAATAAATTAAAGAGCCAGCTAATGTAAGATAATTGTTCCAACAAAATACAGCCTATGAAAGAGATCAGAAAAGAAAGTGGGGTTAATGGTTAATAATTATGCTGCTGAAAATCTAGGCAGCAGCTCCCAACCCCAAATATTTAGCACTGAGGAAAACTCCCAAGCGCCCACTGCTGCCTGATCCCCATGCATCTCCCAGCAAGCCTGGAGGATGAACCTTCGGGAATCACCCTCCCCACTTTATAGATGGGGATATGGATCCTTGGAGATCATAATATGGCTAGCAGGAAGTGGCTCCTTCAAGGACATCCAAAGAACCCCTTTCATTTACAGAAAATGAGGTACAGAGAAGGTGATGCATTGGAACAAGGTCACACAGCTGTTAAGATGCCGAGTCAGAATTGAACCCAAGTTTGCCTGGCTCGAAATCCAGGGCTCTTTCCACAAAACTCCATGATGATGTGGTTTTGTGGCTTGCTCAGTTTCCCATGGCTAGTGGGTAACATCACGGGGTCTTAACTGAAATGAGGGTCTTCCCCCTTCTTGTCCAGCCTCCTATCCCACTTCATACTTTTAAGACTCAAAGAGAGGATCACCTGATCACCAGCTCAGCCTTCCCCTTCTTGTTTCACTCTCACTGATGGCCACTCCAGGACCCTCCTCAAGGAGACCTGGCAGGTCCACGTGGGAAGAATGGGAGACCCCATGACTAAGCATTTATTGGAAGGACAAGTCCTTGCCTTTACTACACCACCAGTCTGTGTTCTCAAACTGGGCCAGACATTTGTTATTTTGCATCAGCTCTAAATGCTGAATAGCAGAGAAAAAGTGGGACACTTTGGAACTGGCTTTCCTCAGTGCCAACAAAGTGCCATTATTTTAACTTCATTTGTGCGGTACAAATGAGAAGGAGATAAATGTCGTGTTCCAGCCAGAGTCTATTAGTGAGTATCAACTGTAACATGGAAAGATTGTACAATCTGGCCATGTTAGAGAAGCAGAAGGAAAACTGCACCCAAGATCTTAGCTCTTACATTCCTTCTACCTGGGATTTCTGAAATGTGAAGCAAGATAAAAATGCAGACAGTGAATTACATACCTACAGCCAGTTGCCTATACTTTTTCCTCAAATTAAATACTAATTCTAGCTGGGTGACCTTGGATATGTCCCAGGTAACCTCTTGAGGTTACTAAAGTTTACCCAGTTAGAATTAGTATTTAATTTGAAGAAAAAGTATAGACAACTGGCTGGAGGTATGTAATTCACTGTGAGCATTTAATTTTAAATTTTCTCATCTGTAAATTTAAGACAATATCTGACCTGCCTGCTACACCATTTTTGTATGAGAATTAAAGAAGCAAATGCAAGGAAAATTGCAACTGTTCCATAAATGTTATTAATTATGCACTACACATAATATACACACAAAATAATTATGCAGCTAAGCAATTTGGAAGCATATTATAAGTGTGTAATTCAAAATATAATATATTGATGTTTTACATTCCTGACGTTACTTGTTTGTATAATAATCCTGTGAGATCCAATAGAAGAGAGGAAGGACTGTTTAAACCTCTATTCTTTTTGCTTCGTTTGAATACATTTTCGTTCAAATATAGAGCATGTCATATAGAGAAGTACTTGATGAATTTTTCCAAAGTGAATACATTCCTATCACCAGCAGCCAGAGTCATAATTAGGATATTATCAGCTCCTCAGAAGCTCCACACCCAACTGTTAAATTAAACTAAATTTGGCCTGAGGATATCTCCGTACTTGAGTCTTTATATAATGAACTGCAAACCTATCTTAGCAGGTAAGCTCACTGAAAGCCTAACTCAGGAGTATACTCTTGTAACAAACAGCTGAGTCTCAGCCAATCACAGCAGCCAAGCTTCAGTCAATCACAGGCGCCCCACCGATCAGGCCACGTTCAAATAAGGCAAATGCTGAGCTGTAACCAATGGAACTGCCTCTGTACCTCACTTTCCTATTCTGTCCATAAATGCTGCCTGACCCCATTGCAGGCTGGAATTCTCTGAATCTGTTCTGGTTTTGAGGGCTGTCTGATCATTATTTTGTGTGCAAATTGTTCTTTGCTCGACAAAACTCTGTTAAGTTTTAACCCACTCCCTTCAGGCTGGACTGTTTCCCCACCAGAGGAAGCCCCCAAAGGCTTCACTCCCAGGACAATAATCTATTAATCTCCATCCCCCCAACCAAAAAATCATAATAATAATAATATTTCTTCATTAGGGATTTCAAACCAAGTCTGAAAGATCTCCATGTACAAACCTGTTTAATTGACACTTTTAGTTTGTCTGAAGTTTTTCTTTTAACAGATTGATGTCAGAGTGGTGTCCAGAGTAGAACTCCAATGACCCCCCAGGAGCCCTGAGTGAAGGCAAAGGTACCCACCTGGGCCCATTGTGCCCTTTGACTTCTCACAACAGTTAGGATCATGGGTAAGTTTTCTCCCAGATTCCGAGCTCCATGAACTTGTATTTTGAGCCCTCCAAGTTTGAGTGTTTTTGATCTAGACTGGATTAGGAAGTCACAAAAGAAACAAGACTGGGCTCTTAAGGAGGCCTCAAGTATCTGACTAGGTCAGACAGAAACCAGACTGGGTTCAGTAGGTAAGGTTCCCAGAAGACAGGGAATCATGAGTTCATCTGTATCCAAGGAATCTAGAACGCCTCCATCTGGAACTCCAGCCAATTTCATGTGTAAAAACTACAGGCCCAGAACCTGTGCTTTTCTAGAGAAATGGATGAACCTTACCAAAGGTATTATAGAGTTACAGTGGTCACAGTAGGAAGTTTTAACCTGTATAATTGTTCACTTGTAAGATGCATTAGAAAAGAAGGAACCAAAAATGCCTCAAAAGCAAAGAAATGTATTTTTTATTGGTACACAGAGACTTCCAAAAAACTAAATGAATCAAAAGTTGCATCTCTAAAAGACTCCTTACAAGAGGCAAACAGGTGCCCATCTTCACAGCTACAACAATTACAGGGACCACACACACACACACACAAGGCAAAGGTACATATATATACGTGTGTGTGTGTGTGTGTGTATATATATAAATTATTTTTTTTTGAGACAGAGTCTCACTCTGTCACCCAGGCTGGAGTGCAGTGGTGCAATCTCAGCTCACTGCAACCTCCACCTCCCGGGTTCAAGCAATTTTCCCACTTCAGCCTCCAGAGTAGCTGGGATTACAGGCACCCGCCACCACACCTGGCTAGTTTTTGTATTTTTAGTAGAGACAGGGTTTCTCCATGTTGGCCAGGCTGGTCTCGAACTCCTGACCTCAAGTGATCTGCCCACCTCTGCCTCCCAATGTACTGGGATTACAGGTGTGAGCCACTGCACTAGGCCTTTTTTTGTATATGTTTTAAATCAAAACCAAGGGGTCCCAAACTGGAGAGTTCTGTATCCCCATATGTCTGCCTTTATTATAAACAGCCAGCCCCCTGGAAAATATATTGTCCATTTTTACACCAGCCATCTGATGAACCCACTCCCTTTGGGGTGCACTGTTTTCCCACCAGAGGAAGCCCCCAAAGTCTTTGCTCCCAGGACAATAATCTACTAATCTCCCAGAATAAAAAATACTATTTTTTCATTAGGGATTTCAAGTGAAGTCTGAAATGTCTCCATGTCCAAACCTGTCTAATTGACACTTTGACCATTTTTTGGAAAATATCTGTAAGAATTAGTCCTCTTTGTTTTTCTATTTGATCCCACTTCTCCCATGGGAACCTCTCAGTCAGCTAATGCCCCTCTTCTAACCCACTGCTGACAAAGTATTCTAACAACTGTTCCCTTTTTTTTCTTGTCATGATCTTTGGTATGCCTCAGAAGTCTTTCCTGGAAAAAAAAAATAAACAATCAACTGGTCTATCATTCATCTTAAAAACAGACAGAAAAGAATGGAAGCAGTCTCTGACTATAAGGCAAGATTAGAAGTATCCATGCTGAGTCCAGGCATGCAAAATGCTTGGCTTAGTCTTCAGTGGGAACCACTCACTTAGTATTCTAGTTAAAAGACACAGGCTGAGCTGGGAAACCACCGATTTAGTCAAATTAGTCTACAAAATATGCCTTTCTGGCATAAGGACTATTTTCAGCTGGTTATTTTGAGACCCTTTTGTAAGAAAGTTTTACATCTATACAGAAAATTGTCATTTGAAAGAGTGTCTCCCTCTCTGCACTGGGAAGAGAGGGAGGACTAAGTCACTAGAAACCCTTACAATGGAGAAGGCATTGGCTTAGATTTACGTAAGACTTACCTTTGTTTAAGATGCTTTTTCTGGCCATCTTGTCTTAACTGGGCCTTAACCTATGCGCTTCTTTCTTGGTTTAGGCAAATAATAATATTTAGGCCTGAAACCTAAATGCTATGCTTTTGAGATGTAAAATTCCTACCTTGTTTTACCTAAAAGCCATCCATTAGGAAATACAAATTTAGGATAGAAAAACTTTAGATGGTTATTACAAACAAGATGAGTAAAATGGACAGTTGTGGAGTTAAAAGAAAGTTTTAATACAACACTATTGAAGGTTGGATTGACCAAAGGGAGTCCCTGCTAGTCCCCTGACATAAGGCCCCAAATCAGCCTGATCCATTTATCCAAGTTTGGAGAAAGTTAAAAAGCCAAAAAGTAGAGATAACAATGAACAACATTGCTAACAATGGCTTAGAGAATTAACCAGGCAGGTCAGTTTAGAAAAGGGCACAGGTTCTTTGCCTCAATCTCCTCACTGGAATGGGTAAAATGGTCAGGAGATTGTCAATCAAGAAAAATGTTGCAACAAGTCTCAATCATTTTAGGAGCTTTATTTGCCAAAGTTAAGGACATGCACCCAGGAGGCAGGTCAATGCCTTTCTCCGAAGATGACTTTGAGGGCTCCAAATTTAAAGGGGAAAGGGTGAGATATTAAGATGTACACAATTTTCATGTAAGAGGCAGGTGGGAAAAATAATCGTCCATGCCTTTGTCTGGCTCAATGAATCTGCATTTTTTTACATAAGACGTCATAGACAAAGGGGGCAGAGCAAAAATGCAGGGAATCTACATTTTTACATAAGCGAACATAGACAAAATGGGGCAGGGAAACAATCAGGTATGCATTTGTGCCAGGTGGGCGGCGGGGGGTGGTGGGTGACTGCACTTGTAAAGATAAGCTATCAATTTACATTGCCATGGTGAATTTTAACAGAAACACCTTAGGGTAAAGATCTTGGAACTTGCTAGGAAATTCTTTATGGGCAAAATATGGGGAAGGCATGTAGCTTTTCATTTTGTAGCCACCTTATTTAGGAACCAAAAGGAGGAGGCAGGTTTGCATAACCCAGTTCCCAGCTTAACTTTTCCCTTGGACTTAATAAGTTTGGGGTCACAAGATTTATTTTGCTTTCACAAGTTAAAGAAGAGAGATATCCTCACAATAAGTGACTTTTGGGAAGGATGAAAGGGGTCTTGGAGGAAGACATGATGGTTTGTGGCAAGGTCTGTCTGGATGGGATGAAGTCTCCTCTCCTCTGATAAAAGTTAAACTTCCCTGGTTGCTGAGACTCCCTGTGGGGAGGACTGATAACAATTAAGTTCCTCTAGGAGAATCTGTCCTTAGGCAGATAAAATGAATTCAGAAAGTCTCACCCTTCTTACCTATTGGTGATCAATACAGCAAAGCAACTTATTTTGGGGTGGTCCAAGCCCATTTTATGTTGCTATAACAGAATATCTGAGACTGGGTAATTTATAAAGAAAAGAGGTTTACTTACCTCACAGTTTTGCAGGATGGAAGTATGAGAAGCATGGCACCAGCATTCATTCAGCTTCTGATGAGGGCCATGTGCGTGGTCAAAACATGGCAGAAAAAGGGAAAGCTGACACATGTGAAAAGGTAAAACCCAAGGGGTGTCCTTGCTTTATAACAACCTGCTCTCAAGAAACTAGTCTGTTCCTATGACAGCAAGAACTCACTGACCCCTACAGGAAGGCATTAATCTATTCATGAGGGATCTGCCCCCATGACCCGAACACCTTCCACCAGGCCCCATCTCTCAACCCTGCCACATTGGGGATCCAATTTCAATATAATTTTGCCAGGGATAAACCATAGCATTCCATCCCTGGTCCCCTAAAACTTAAGTCATTCTCACATACTAGATAGAATCACTTCACTCCAATAGTCCCAAAAGTCTTAATTCATTTCAGCATCAACTCAAAAGTCCAAAGTCTCATCTGAGACTCAAGGCAAGTTCCAACTTGAACCTATACAATCAAAAAGAAGTTATTTACTTCCAACATACAATGGTGGAATGACACTGGGTACACATTTCCATTGCAAAAGGGAGAAATTGGCCAAAAGAATAAAGGAGTAACAGGCCCCATGCAGTTTTGAAATCTAGCAGGGCAGACATTAAATCTTGAAGCTCCAGAATAATCTCTTTTCACTCCACATCTCCTTCAACTACATCCTGGGTACACTGGTGCAAGAGGTGAGTTCCCAAGGCCTAAGACAGCTGACCCTCACGGCTTTGCTGAGTGCAGACCACATACCTACTCACTCTCACAGGTTGGAGTCAAATGCCTGCAGCTTTTCCAGGCCACAGTTGCATGTTTCCAGTGGCTCTATAATTCTGGAGTCCCAGTGGTGGCCCCACCCCTGCAGTACCATTAGGCATTGCCCAGGTTGGGGCTTTCTGGGATGGCTGTGTCCCTACAGCAGGTTTCTGCCTGGTCTCCCAGGCTTTCCAATACACCCTCCAAAATCTAGGTGGAAGCAGCTAAGCCTCCACAGCTCTTGCATTCTGGGCACTTGCAGACTTAACAACACATAGAAGCCCTCAGGCTTATCCCTTGCGTCCTCCAGAGCAGTGACACAAGCTGCATATGGGGCTGCTTGAGCCACAGCTAGAATAACTGCTGAACACTGTGCTGGAATTTGGGGAGCAGAATCCTGAGGCAGTGCAGGACAGCAGTGCCCCAAACCTGTGCTCCCAAATCATTCTGCCCTCTCAGGCCTCTGGGATTGTGATGGAAGACGTAGCCCGAAAGACTTCTGAAATGCCTTTAGGATGTCTTTTCCATTGTCTTGACAATTAAGGAACTGGCTTCCTTCTATCACTACTAATCTGTTTAGCAACCAGTTACTCAGCCACACCCTTGGACTCCATTCCTGAAAATATTCTTTCATTCTCTACCACATGGCCAGGCAACAAATTTTCCAAATTTTTATACTCTGCTTCCTATTTAATTATAAGCTCCTCCATTAGGTCTTTCTTTTGCTGCCATAACTGAACATAAGCTGTTAAAAGTAATCACATCTCTTCTTTAGCACTTTGCTGCTTAGAAATTTCTTCCACCAAATATGCTATTCCATTGCTCTTAAGTTTGGCCTTCCACAAAACCCTAGGACATGAACACAGTGAAGTCAAGTTCTTTGCCACAGTGTAACAAGAATGGCTTTTTCTCCAGTTCCCAATGTCTTGTTACTCATTTTCATCTGTGGCCCTATCAAAATGGCCTTTACTATCTATATTCCTATCAGCATTTTGGTCACAACCAGTTAACCAATCTCTAAGGAATTCCAAACTTTCCCTCCTCTTTTTGTCTTCTTCTGTGCCCTCACCAGAATTGTCCTTAATGCTGTATTCACTGCAATACAGTGTGTTTCTATCTTGCTCCTCCAAACACTTCCAACCTGTGCCCATCACCCAGCTCCATCCAGTTTTTATTGGTATAACAAAATATCTGAGAATGGATAATTTATAAAGAAAAAAGGATTTATTTAGCTCATAGTTCTGCAAGATGAAAGTACAAAAACATGTTTCCAGCATCTGCTTGGCTTCTGGTGAGGGCCATGTGCTGGGTCAAAACATGGCAGAAGAAGTCAAAGAGGAGGTGGACACATGCAAAGAGGCAAAACCCAAGGGGCATCCTCACTTTATAGCAACCTGCTCTCATGGAAACCAATCCATTTCTGCATTAGTGAAAATTCACCCCTGAGGGAGGGCATTAATCTATGCATGAGAGATTTGCTCCCATGGCCCAAACACTCCTGTGTCTCCACCTCCCATCACTGCTACATTGGGGATCAATGTTTTTTAAGAGACAGGGTCTCACTTTTTTGCCCAGGCTGTTCTTGAACTCCCAGCTTCAAGCAGTCCTTCTGTCTTGGTCTCCCAAAGTGCTGGGATTACAGGCATGAACTCCTATACCCCTCCTGGGGATAAAATTTTAACATGAGCTTTGATGGGGATAAACCACATTCAAACCAGTGTAGATGGCATTTCCTGAACTCCTTCAATGGCTATCTTTGCCTAATGGGAAATTCAAACATAACTTTTATAAGTGAATAAACCAGGTGAATGTAGATGAGATAAAAGTTTATAAATAAATTTGTCATAGTTTCAAAAATCCTTCTCAGTAACTTGAAATTTTAAAGTTATGTTATGTTAAATTAAATAGCTGATATTTATGAAATATCTGAGTCATTTCCAAGTTAAAATACTGAAACATTAATTTCTAAACATAAGTTTAAAATACATATACTTCAGCTTCTTGTTTTTATGTGATATAGAGAAGCTAAATATATTTGGATCTGTTAGTGAACATAAGAAAATTGCTCTCTGAAGAAGCACATGTTTCTAGAAATTATGAACTATATATTCATAAAATGTCAGTACATGACAGTTAAAAATTGCTTGTTGGGTTTTCATTAGAATTAAGGCTACAAATAGCTAAAATTCTAATCAATATATGGTCATTAAAAATGGAAATAACAAGGGAAACAACACCATCATGAAATGAAAGTAAAATATGCCTTTGGTAAGGAAAATAGACAAGTATAAGGAAGTTTAGTTTTATTAAGAAAAAATGATAGACTGGATAAAGAAAATGTGGCACATATATACCATAGAATACTATGCAGCCATAAAAACTGATGAGTTCATGTCCATTGAAGGGACATGGATGAAGCTGGAAACCATCATTCTCAGCAAGCTACCACAAGAATAGAAAACCAAACACTGCATGTTCTCGCTCATAAGTGGGAGTTGAACAATGAGAACACATGGACACAGGGAAGGGAACACCACACACCAGGGGGTGGGGGGCTAGGGGAGGGATAGCATTAGGAGAAATACCTAATGTAGATGGCGGGTTGATGAGTGCAGCAAACCACCATGGCACGTGTATACCTATGTAACAAACCTGCAAGTTCTGCACATGTACCCCAGAACTTAAAGTATAATAATAAAATAAATAAATAAATAAATGGTTGGAAAACTTAAAAAAAGAAAAAAGAGAGTAGTTTTGTTCTAAAGTAGAATGACTGGTTGTTCCAAAATGAGAAGAGGAGAAGTGTAGGACAAAAACTGAATGGACAAGAAAATTGTAGAAAGTTTGTGAAAGATGAATCTTGTGAAATAAATTTTATGTGTAATCAAACTAGCTAATATGAGAAAAAATTGTTTGTAAGCTTCTCTAAAAATTGAGCAATAATATAGTGAGGCAAAACCAGAATTTAGTCCTTTCTGTTAAAACAACAAGGTTTTCTTGGAGTATTGGCCTCTGTTTTTAATAGGAAATTATAAACGGTTTTTCTTTACTTTTTAGGGTAACTGGCCTAGAAAATAAAGATTCTATGTTTTAACAAGATAATTTTCTGTGCTCCATGTTGTCTTTATTAGGGTTTTGATCACTTAAGAAAACTGAGTTCTCACTATGAAAAGAGCTAACGTTATTCTACAACTTTGTAACTTTCTGCATTTGCCTTGAAGTCTTTTCATTATCACGTTAAATGAGTGACTGTTGTTTACAATAACCTGTGATTCCATTTTGATTAAGTGTTTTAACACACTTTGGATTTTTCCATACTTCCCAAAAATCAAATTCTAAATTAAGTCTTTTTGGCCTTTTGAACTGTGGGGTTTTCCAAATGGGCCCTTGGAAATGATCAAAAGAAAATTGCTCTCTCTTATAAAAGAGATATTAAGCTAATTAGGCTTATTTGATATGGTAAATTATATGGGAAGCATTGTCAAAAAGAAATGATGTTTTATCTCCTTTGAGCATACTTGCATGAATGTATTATTAATATGTATTTTATAAATTATATAAAATTCATAGAAATCTAAGTCCTGGCATATGGCTATCAGTCAAAATTCTAGTTATCTTAAATCATTATATGCAAGAGGAATAACTATATCTTTGTCAATTGTGTCATTATTGTAATGAACTCTCCTTGGATCTTTAACCATGACTACTTTAAGTCTTATTATTCACAGTTAATTGTTTACTCTGGTACTTTCCTGAGCAACTATAAGCCTAAAGTGTTTCATCTTTAAGAATATTTATGGGAAGGACTCTGACAAGTTCAGGTTTCTGATAACTTTAAGGTCATACTATTGGCCTGGGTAAGGATTCCCAGAACTCTAAATGAAGAAACTGACTGGTTCATGAAACTGCTAACACAGCATCAAGCGGAACAAGAAGCAGTTAAATAAAAGGGAAATGATTTGGCAGATTTTCAGGCTAAGTTAGCCAGTACTGACGTTGTTAAGATAGTCCATTTAAGTGAACTCCTTATGATTGATCCTCAAATTACCTATGATAACCTATTTAATAAATAGTGCTATGCAACTGAGATGGAGAAACAAAATTGGATTTAAGAATCTAGAGTTAAACTCATGAAGAGTTTAGACAGCTACCTGGTTGGCTACCTGGTTCTTTGTGAGTCCTTAAAGCTTCCGTTATTAAAAGTTCTGCACTCCATAACTCATCATGGACTAGACAAAATGAGACAAAGTATAGAAAAATATTGGTATGGTGATTTTTCTAAAGTTGCTAAACTGGTTTATAACCAATGTTTGGTTTGTCAAATCCTAATCTTAAGAAGATAATCAAAGCTTCAAATGGTACATTTCTGCTACCTGATGAGTCATTTGTACATTTACAGAGGTATTTTATTCAGTTGCCACCTTCAAAGGGATATGAATATGTTTTTGTAATAGTCTATGTTTTCTGGCTGAACAGAAGCTCTCCATGCAGGAAGACCAATACTACAACTGTAAGCAAAAGGTTATTCAAAAATGTGTTTCCTTTATGGGACATTTCCAGAGAAATCTACAGCAATAGAGAGACCCATTTTACTGGGAAAGCTATAAAGCAATTAAATCAGTTGTTGTTAACATAATGGCACTATCATTGTCCCTGTCATCTGCAGTCTTCTGGGAAGGTTGAAAGAACAAATGGGAACTTAAAAACTGAAATTGGCGAAGTTACCTAAATTGATTAGATTGCCTTGGCTAAAGTTATTACCATTGGCCTTAATGGCAACCAGATCCAGCCCCAGTGGAAAAACATAAGTTGATCCCTTATGAAATAGTCACCAAAAGGCCTATGTTTCTAATAATAAAACCTCATGTATCTCCTGCTCTCCTGAGCTGACATGATTACATGCTACAAGGCTTTAATGCATTATGCCAAAGTATATTTTCAACAGGTAAAGGAAGCTTTTCATTGGATATTTTGGAATCATCAGAGAATGACTGCCCTTGAACTCTGTTGGAAGGGACCATGCCAAATTCTTCTCTGCAGCCAAACTTTAGAGTCTCAAGTCTTAGATCCACATCTTTCAACTCAAAAGGGTCCCTCCAGACCCTGGGAACTACATACTTTTTAAAAACATTACAGTAAAGCTGACCAGAGAAGGTTTTTCCCCAGAGGCAGACAGCATCTTTGATATGGACAGCTTTCCCAAGATCATGGATCAAGACTTCTCTGTCATAAAACTCTTATCTTTTTCCTTTTCCCCCTATTTCCTGATGTCCAAATCTCTTCTCGCTCTCTTTTTTTTTTTTTTTTTTTTTTTTTTTACCAAAAAAAAATCCATGGAACATAATTTGTAGATAGATTTATGGTGTTTGTTAAGGCTTATGTTCTAGCAAAAAAAAAAACAGAGTGACAGTTGGGTTTATGAAGATAAGCTAGTTATCACTGAGGAAAGATTCCAGTGGGATTCCTGGGAACTCACTCTCGGTGGTAGTGGAGTACCAGTAATATGAAATTTGAAGCTAATCCACACATTGAAAAAATAACCTTGGACTTTGTGACCAACCAGACCTCTTAAGGGCTCAAATGGGTAGAAGTCACTCTCCAAAAGGTGGATAATGACATCTAGGTTCAACAAAATTACTTAATGAGACATCATGATTTCTATCTCCTTTTTCCTCAAGCTGGGAGCTTGTGTATGGTACTGAACAAAATTGAATGTTGTACCTACCTCTCACCTGATTTTGCTACTACAGAAAGCTGAACTATAAAGGTGGCTGATACTGCTGTTTCTTTAGACACTCTACCAAATGCATTAAGGGAATTTGTCAAGGGAAAGGAACACATGATGTATTTATAGGAGCAACTAACGGTTGGCAGACATCCTAAGTGGGGATGGCAAACTTGACTTTTCCAAGGTTTTCAAATCTTGATGTTCTTCTAGTAAGTCTCCAGTTTACTATGATTTGTATTAAAGGCTAGGAACAAAAGTGGATACCTCATTAAATCAGACCATTCTGCAGAGAAAAATGGCCCTGAATTGCCATCATACAATTTGACTATAGCCAAGTGAACTCAAATAATATTGAACTAACTATATTGGCCTGAACTTTGACTTGTGTGATTTAGATCAGTTCAGTTTGTAAGGACTCCTGTTAAGGTATACACTTTGGTCCTTTGGTATTTTCCTCCTGATAGTCATTATAATAGTCCCCCTGGTGTTCTCTATTCTGTAAAGTCTAAAGTGTTTGGATACAGCCATCCATCAAGCACTGAGTGATTTTACTTCAACTAAACAAGCAAGAACATAAATAATTATTTAGCTTATGTGATGTCTGACTTGTGAATTCTTACATGGAAACCAAAAGAATCCTTTCATAATGGTTACAGAGTGGCATCAATGCCCAAAGTTTTGGACAATCTCTCAGCATTGAGAATCTGACCAAAGGGGAGAATTGTTCAATGAAACTAAGTGGCCTGAGGATGCTTCCGTACTTGAGTCCTTATGTAACTTACATTAGTTACATAAATTAAAGTAGGCTACCTTATGTAACTGAACTGCAACCTACTTTAGTGGGTAAACTGACTGAACATTCTACATAGCAGTAGCTCATTTATTCTTATCAGGATCCCACTGTATGAAAATACCTTTATTTATTTACTCTACTGTTAATGGACATGTAGGTTGTTCTCAGTTGGAGACTAATACAAATAAGCTGCTCATAGCACCCCTGTATGTGTCCTTAAGGACATATATGTAGATTTTTTTGAATACATAACTGAAAAAGGAATGCCAAGTCATACCTAGAGTGGTGAATGTTCAGCTTTATCAGATATGGGCAAATTATTTTCCAAAGTGATTCTTTTAATTTATACTTAAGCCAGAAGTGTATGAAAATTTTTATTGGTCTGTGTCCTCACCAGCACTTGACTTTGTAAGTCTTTTTTAAAATATTCAACCATGTTGATGGGTGACAATAGTATCTCATTATTATTATTACTTTTTCTTTTTTTGAGACGAGTCTCAGTCTGTCACCCAGGTTGGAGTGCAGTCGCATGATCTTGGCTCATTGCAACCTCCACCTCCCGGGTTCAAGAAATTCTCCTGCCTCAGCCTCCTGAGTAGCTGGGATTACAGATGTGCACCACCATGCCCAGCTAATTTTTTGTGTTTTTAGTAGAGCAGGGGTTTCACCATGCTGGCCAGGCTGGTTTTGGACTCCTGACCTCGTGATCTACCCACCTCGGCCTCCCAAAGTGCTGGGATTACAGGCGTGAGTCACCAAGCCGGTTCTCATTATATTTTAATTGCCCTTTCTTGATAACTGATGAAGCTGAGCACCTTGTCATGTGTTTTTTGGTTTATTTGTTTGTTTTGTTTTGTTTGACAGTCTCACTCTGTTACCCAAAAGGTGGAATGCAGTGGCACAATCTTGGCTCACTGCAACCTCCACTTCCCGGGCTCAAGCAATTCTCCTGCCTCAGCCTCCTGAGTAGCTGGGACTACAGGCGCGCACCACTGCACCCAGCTAATTTTTGTGTTTTTAGAGATGGGGTTTCACCATGTTGGCCAGGCTGGTCTCGAACTCCTGACCTAGTGATCCACCCGCCTCAGCCTCCCAAAGTGCTGGGATTACAGGTGTGAGCCACCGCGCCCGGCCTTGTCATGTGCTTATTGGCCATTTGGATATCTTCTTTCATGATGTGCCCCTTCAAGTCTTTCCCACTTATTTGTATTGTGTTGCTTGCCTATTTTTAATCTGTAGGAGTTCTTTATATGTCCTGATTATTGTATTATAAACATTTTCCCCCTGTGTTCTGCCTTTTCACTCTTTCAATCTTTTGCCTTTTTAAGAGGAGAGATATAAAGCCCAAAGGGAGGCAACTTGACCAAGATGTCCCAAAAAGCCAGTGGTACAAAATGGGAGGAAAAGCTCATATGATTCAGGTCCCAAGATACAGCTCTGTGCAGTAAGAAATGATTTTCAAAGAAAACTTGAAAGAATTAGTGGTAATCAACTTATAATTTTCTTCAAAAAATAATAAAAAATAGTAAAATTGTGTTATGAAAAGTGAAATGCTCATACAAAGAGAAGTGAACTAAGTATTGGGACAATCGTGTAAATTATTCAAGCCAAAGGCCTTCAATTATTTATTTTTTAATGCTTCAATTTCTTTTAATTTTTTCCAAGTTTCTATTTTGAAAAATGTCAAAACTACAGAAAGATGAAAGAATATCATAGTGAAAACATGACTTTTGCTTTATACACACGTGTGTGTGTGTGTATGTAGCTAAACCACTTTAAAATAAGTGTCAGACACCATGACACTTTGTTCTCTAATATTTAAGTGTATTTCTATTAACAACAAGGGCATTCTCCTATATATCACTAACACCATTATCATATCTAAGGAGTTTAACAGCTAATATTATACAACATTCAGTCATTTTCAAATTTCCTCAGTTTTCCCAAATATATTGTTATGGCTTCTTCTTTTTTTCTTTTATCTAGGATCCACTAAAGATCTTACATTTAATTTAGTTGTCACATCTATTTTATCTCTTTTAATCCAGAGCAGTAGCCTTGCCTTTTTGTGGTCACTGATGACATTGATGTTTCTGAAGAATCCAGGCCTGTTGTCTCATAGAATGCCCCATGTTCTGGATTTCTCTGATTGCATCATCGTGATTAGATGAAGTTTAAACCGTTTTTCTAGGAATAACCCATGCTACTTTTACTTGAGTCATCAGTGCTTTTCAGACTTGGAATGTACATTACTGGTGATATGTGGGATGGTTTAAGTAGCACCAGGATGATTTTAAGTGATACCATGGATAAGACTTTTTTTTAAATTTGGTAACATAACAGTTTTATTTTTTATATAACAGTTTTATTTAGATATAACTCACAACCATATAATTCACCCATGTAAAATACACAATTCCATGGTTTTTAGTATATTCAGAGTTGTACAATCATAACCACAATTGATTTTAGAACATTTTCATCCCAAAGAGAAACCTTGTATACTTTAGCCATCACCTCCTAACTACCCTTCATTCCCCTAAAAACATCCCCCGCTCCATCCCTTCCCCCACCTTCACTCCCCACCTCTTCATCCAACCTCACTCCCCCTTTCCCACTCCCAACCCTAGGCAGCCATTAAGCTACTGTGTCTGGACATTTGCCGTTTGGGGACGGTTCGTATAAACAGACTACACCATATGCAATCTTTTGTGACTAGCTTCTGTTTTTTTTCTTTATACCACCTGTGGGAGTGACTGGCTTCTTTAACTTAGCATAATGTTTTCAAGGCTCATTCATGGGTAGCGTGTATTAGTACTTCATATCCTTTTATTGTTGAATAATGCTGCATTGTATGAATATACCACATTTTATTTATCTGTTTATTAGTTGATGGGCATTTTGGTTGTTTCACCTTTTGCCTATCATAAATAATACTGCTATAAACATTTGCATAGAAATTTTTTGCATAGAAGTATGTTTTCAATTTTCTTGGATATTTACCCAGGAGAAGAATTTCTGAGTCATACAATACTCTGTGTTTAACATTTTGAGGAACAACCAGGCTATTTTCCAAAGTGGCTAAGCCATTTTACATTGCCATTAGCACTGTATGAAGGTTCACATTTTTCCACAACCTCACAAACACTTGTTATTGTCTGCCTTTTTTATTATAGTCATCCTAGTTGACATAAGATGGTATCTCATTGCGGTTTTCCTTTGCATTTCCCTGATAGCCAATAATGCTGAGCATCTTTTCATGTGCTTATTGACCACTTCTAAGTCTTCTTTGGAGAAATGTCTACTCAGATTCTTTGTCCCTATTTTAATTGTTTTATTTGTCTTTTTATTATTGAGTTGTAAGAAGGGTACTTTTTTTTAATAACAAAACTTACTGCTGTTTCTTTGTTAAGAGTTGCAAATACTTCTTCCCAGTTGGTTGTTTCCTTATTTTTCCCTCATGCAGAATTTTTATGAGGTTTTTCTTTTTTTTTTTGGTCTTTATTTCTTAGAGTGGTTTTAGGTTCACAGCAAAATTGAGAGGAAGGTACAGGATTTCCCATATACCCTCTGCCCCCACAAATGCATAGTCTCCCCATTACCAACATTCCCCAACATAGTGGTATATTTCTTAAAATTTACGAATCTATATTGACACATCTTTATCACTCAAAGTCCACAGTTTACCTAGAGTTTACTCTTGGTGTTGCACATTCTATTGGTTTGTACAAATGTTTTATAACCTATATCCACCACGATGCTAGCATACTGGTTATTTTCATTGCGTTAAAAATCTTCTGTGCTTTGTCTATTCATCCCTTTCTCCAACCTCTAGCAACCAATGATCTTTTCAGTGATCTAGCAACCACTGTCTTATAGTTTTGCCTTTCAAAATGTCATATAGTTGGAGTCATACAGTATAAAAGCTTTCCACATTGCCTTCTTTCACTCAGTGATATGCATTTACGTTTCTTCTATGCTTTTTCACAGTTTGATAGCTCATTTCCTTTTTCATTTGTTCGTTTGGCCCACTTTTATAAAAACGGAAACCAACTTTTTTAGCATTGATTAATATTTATTGTCTGGATGTACTACAGCTTATTTATCCACTCACCTACAGAAAGACATCTTGGTTGCTTTCAAATTTTGGCAATTATGATGCTATAAACATTCATGTGCAGGCTTTGATGTGAGCATAAGTTTTCAACCGCTTTTGGTAAATACCAAGGGGTGCAATGGCTGGATTGTATTGTTAGAGTATGTTTAGTTTTATAAGAAATCACCAAACTGTCTTCCAAAGTAGCTGCATCATTTTGAAATTCCACCAGCAATGAATAAAAGTTCTTTTTCTTTTTAACTTTTATTTTAAGTTCAGGGGTAGATGTGCAGGTCTGTTATATAGGTAAACTTGGATCACAGGGATTTGTTTACAGATTATTTCATCACCCGGGTATTATGCCTAGTATCCATTAATTGTTTTTCCTCATCCTCTCCCTCCTCCTACCCTCCGCCATCTGATAGGCCCAGTGTCTGTTGTTCCTTTTTATGTGTCCATGTGTTCTCATCACTTAGCTCCCATTTATTAGTGAGAACATGCAGTATTTGGTTTTCTGTTCCTGCATTAGTTTGCTAAGGATAACGGCTTCCAGCTTCATCTGTGTTCCTGTAAAAGACATTATCTTGTTCTTTTCTACGGTGCAGAGTATTCCATGGTATACATGTACCACATTTTCCTTATCTAGTCTAATATTGATGGTCATTTAGGTTGATTTCATGTCTTTGCTATTGTGAACAGTGCTGCAATGAACATACACATGTATAAGTCTTTATCATAGAACGATTTATATTACTTTAGGTATATACCCAGGAACAGAATTTCTGAGTTTAATGATATTTCTGTCTTTAGGTCTTTGAGGAATTGCACACTATCTTCCAAAATGGTTGAACTAATTTACACTCCCACCAACAGTGTATAAGCTTTCCTTTTTCTCCAGAACCTTGCTAGCATCTGTTTTGTTTTTTGTTTGTTTTTTGGGGGTTTTGTTTGTTTGTTTGTTTTGTTTTTTTTTATGAGACGGAGTCTCGCTCTGTCACCCAGGCTGGAGTGCAGTGGTGTAATCTTGGCTCACTGCAACATCTGCCTCCCAGGTTCAAGCGATTCTCATTAGTTCAAGCCTCATTAGTAGCTAGGACCATAGGCACACGCCACCACTCCTGGCTAATTTTTGTATTTTTAGTAGAGATGGGGTTTCACCATATTGGCCAGGATAGTTTCCATCTCCTGACCTCATAATCCACCCGCCTCAGCCTCCCAAAGTGTTGGGATTACAGGCGTGAGCCACCGTGCCCAGCCGCATCTGTTATTTTTTGACTTATTAATACCATTCTGACCGGTGTAAGATGGTATCTCATTGTGGTTTTGATTTGCATTTCTGTAATGATCAGTGATGTTGAGCTTTTTTTTCATATACTTCTTGGCCACATGTATGTCTCCTTTTGAGAAATGTCTGTTCATGTCTTTTGCCCCCTTTTTAATGGAGTTGTTTGGTTTTTTCTTGTAAATTTAAGTTTCTTATAGGTGCTAGATAGTAGACCTTTGTCAGATGCATAGTTTGCAAAAATTTTCTCTCATTCTGTAGGTTACCTGTTCACTCTGTTGATAGTTTATTTTGATGTGCAGAAGCTCTTTACTTTAATTAGATCCTATTTGTCCATTTTTGCTTCATTGCAATTCCTTTTGGCATCCTTGTCATAAAATCTTTGCCTGTTCCTATGTCCTGAATGGTGTTGTCTAGATTGTCTTCCAGGGTTTTTATAGTTTTGGGTTTTACATTTAAGTCTTTAATCTGTCTTTCGTTGATTTTTGTGTAGGGTGTGAAGAGAGGAGTCCAGTTTCAATCTTCTGCATATGGCTAGCCATTTATCCCAGCCCCTTTCATTGAATAGGGAGTCCTTTCCCCATTGCTTGTTTTTGTCAGCTTTGTCAAAGATCAGATGGTTGTAGGTATGCAGCCTTATTTCTGGGCCCGCTATTGTGCTGCCTTGGTCTAGGTGTGTGTTTTTGTACCAATACTATGCTGTTTTGCTTATGTAGCCCTGTGGTATAGTTTGAAGTTATGTAGCATGATGCCTCCACATGTCAGCATTTGGTGTTGTCTGTGATCTGGATTTTGGCCATTCTAATAGATATGTAGTGGTATCTCACTGTTGTTTTAATTTTCATTCCCTGATAACATATGATGTGAAACATTTTTTATAAGCTTATTTGCCATCTATATATCTTCTCTGAAGGGGTGTTTCCTAAGACATGTGGCCCATTTTTAAATTGGATTGTTTGTTTTCTTACTGTTGAGGTTGAGAGGTTTTTACATATCTTATAACAGTTTTTTATCTGATACATATTTTGCAAATATTTAATCTCAGTCTGGCTTGTCTATTTATTCTCTTGATCATGATTTTTGCATAGGTAAAATTTTAGATTTTATTGGTCCAGCTTGTCAATTCCTTCTTTCATGGATCATGCCTTTGGTATGACGTCTAAAAAGTCATTGCCAAAACCCAGGTCATCTCTTGTTATCTTCCAGGAATTTTATAGTTTTGTACTTTACATTTAGGTCTGTGATCAGTTTTGAGGGGTTTTTTTGTGTGTGAAAGATGTAAGGTCTGTGTCTAGATTCATTTCTTTGCATGTGACGTCCAGTTGTTCCAGAACCACTTGTTGAAAAGACTATTTTCTCCATTGCATTGCCTTTGCTCATATGTATTGCAATGCCTTTCCTACATTGTATTACTTTTGCTCAACGATCAATTTACCAAATGTATGTGGGTCTGTTTCTGGGCTGTCTATTCTGTCCCATTGATCTATTTGTCTGTTCTTTCACCACATTGCTTAATCACTGTAGCTTTATAGTAAGTCTTTAAGTTGGGTAACGTCAGTCATCTGATGTTTTTCTTCTCTTTAATGTTGTGTTGACTATTCTGGGTCTTTGCCTTTCCATATAAAAACTCACATTACAATCAGTTTCTTCCTAACTACAAAATAACTTGCTGAGATTTTGATTGGAATTGCATTGAATTCATAGATCCAGTTGGGAAGAACTGCTATCTTAAAAATGCTGTCTTCCTATGTATGAACACTAAATATTCTGCCATATTTCCATTGTATACTTTTATGGTTTTGTATTTCGCATTTAAATGTTTGACACTTTTGAAATGTTTCCAAATGGCTATGCAGTTATTCCAACATCATTTACTGAACTGTCCTATAATTTGGGTTATCTTCTTTATCATATTCCGAATTACCATAGTAGTTGGACCTATTTCTGGATTTTCTATTTTGTTTCATGGGCAGCGCTATTCATTCACCACAACTACCTTGCTTTAGTTATTGAGGCTTTATAGTATGTTTTTATACCTGGTTAGGCTAGCCATTTCTTTTATTTGCAAGTATCCTTCTTACCATTCTAGTTTATTTTTTCAAGTGAACTTTGGATAAGCTTATCTAATTAAAAACAAAACCCTGTGTATACTATTATAATTATATTAATTGTAAAAACAAGTTAGTAAGAACTGACATTTTATTATTATGAGTTTGTCTCTCCAAGTGCATAGTTATTCCATTTTTTGAAGTCCTCTTTTGCATCTTATGGGACTTAAATTTTTTGTTCCTATATGTAGTGCACATTTTTTATTAAGTTTATTCCTAGGTGTTAGGTCTTTATATATGCATGGCCACTGTAATAGGGTGACCTCCCATTATATTTTCTAACCGGCTGCTATTTGCATACATAAAAGTATTGATTTCTATAGTTTTAAATCCTGCCACCTTACTAAATTATCTTATTGTTTGTAATTTTTTTTAGTTAATTCTCTTGAGTTTTCCAGATACACAGTCATAAGATCTGCAAATAGTAGTAGTTTTACTCCCTGCTGTTCGATTTTTTTACTGTCAATTTCTTTTTCTCATCTGTTTAAATTGGATAATTCCTCCAGTACAATTTTCAACAACAGTGAGCATTTTTGCCTTGCCCTTGTTTCTAATTAGAATGTTACAAATTCCTGAGTAATGACGATTTTGGCTTTTAGGCTGAGAGAGATATATTTTATCATGTTAAGAAAGTAACCATCTATATCCATTTTATTAAGTGTCTTTTTTTAAATCAAAGCTAGAACTATCTGCTCTTTGAAAGCTTTATGGAGTTTTTCCTTGTTCCCTTCAAAACTCATGTTAAAATTCATGACCCAGTGTAACACTACTAAGTGATGGGGTCTTTAAGAGGCCAGTGGGTCATGAGGGCTCTGCCCTCAGAAATAGATTAATCTACTCATGGATTAATGGGTTAATGAATTAATGGATTATTTCTGGAACGCATTAGTCATAATGAGGGTGGGTCTGTTACAAAAGCCAGTTTGGCTTTTGTGTCCCTCTCATCCTGCAATGCCTTCTGCCCTGTTATGACACAGCATGAGGCCCTCATCAGAAGCTGATCAGGAGTAGCCTCCCAGTCTTGGACTTCCCAGACTCCAGAACAGTAAGAAATAAACCTGTTTTCTTACTCAATTGCCCGGCCTCAGGTATTCAGTTATAGCAACAAAAAATAAAGTATGACATCATCAATACCTGGTGCTTTTTTGGAAAGTAGCTCTTTGATTATTTTTTTCAATTTTGTTTATTTAGGTAATTTACCTCTTCTAAAGTTAGTATTGATAGATTATATTTTTCTAGAAAAATATCTATGTCATCTAGATTTTTACATTTATCTGCTTAAAGTAGAACCAAGTGGTTTATTTTAATTTTTTAAAAATTTTCTCCCCCTCCCCCTCCCCCTCCCCCTCCTCCTCTCCCTCTTGCTCTCTGTCTCCCTCTTTCTAAGGTCTCCCTCTCTTGCGGAGCCTGGACTGTACTGCCATGATCTCTGCTCGCTGCAACCTTCCTGCCTCGGACTCTGGTGATTCTCCTGCCTGTGCCTGGGATGCCAGGCATGCGCTGCCACTCCTGACTGGTTTTTGTATTTTTGGTGGAGACAGGGTTTCACCCTGTTGACCAGGCTGGTCTCCAGCTCCTGGCCTCAGGTGATCTGCCCGCCATGGCCTCCCGAGGTGCTGGGATTGCAGACGGAGTCTCGCTCACTCAATGCTCAATGTTGCCCAGGCTGGAGTGCAGTGGCGTGATCTCGGCTCGCTACAACCTCCACCTCCCAGCCGCCTGCCTTGGCCTCCCAAAGTGCTAAGATTACAGCCTCTGCCCGCCCGCCACCCCATCTAGGAAGTGAGGAACGTCTCTGCCTGGCCGCCCATCGTCTGGGATGTGAGGAGCCCCTCTGCCCGGCTGCCCCGAATGGGAAGTGAGGAGCGTCTCTGCCCGGCCGCCACCCCGGCCAGGAAGTGAGGAGCATCTCTGCCTGGCCGCCCATCATCATCTGGGATGTGAGGAGCCCCTCTGCCTGGCCGCCCCATCTGGGAAGTGAGGAGCACCTCTGCCCGGCTGCCCCGAATGGGAAGTGAGGAGCGCCTCTGCCTGGCCGCCCCCATCTGGGAAGTGAGTAGCGCCTCTGCCCAGCCGCCACCCCATCTAGGAAGTGAGGAGGGTCTCTGCCTGGCCGCCTATCATCTGGGATGTGAGGAGCCCCTCTGCCTGGCCGCCCCGTCTGGGAAGTGAGGAACGCCTCTGCCCGGCTGCCCCGTCTGGGGTGTGAGGAGCGCCTCTGCCCGGCCGCCCCGTTTGGGAAGCGAGGAGCGCCTCTGCTCGGCCGCCCCGTCTGGGAGGAAGTGAGGAGCGCCTCTACCCCGTTGCCCCAAATGGGAAGAGAGGAACGCCTCTGCCCGGCCGCCCCATCTGGGAAGTGAGGAGCGCCTCTGCCCGGAAGCCCCGTCTGGGAGGAGAGGAGCGCCTCTGCCCGGCCGCGCCATCTGGGAGGTGAGGGGCGTCTCTGCCCCGCCACCACCCCATCTGGGAAGTGAGGAGCGCCTCAGCCCAGCTGCCACCCCATCTGAGAGGTGAGGGGCGTCTCTGCCCTGCCGCCCTGCATGGGAAGAGAGGGGCGCCTCTGCCTGGCCACCCTTCATCTGGGAGGCGGGGAGCGCCTCTACCTGGCCACCCTTCGTCTGGGATGTGAGGAGCGCCTCTGTCTGGCTGCCACCCCGTCTGGGAGGTGAGGAGCGCCTCTGCCCGGCCGCCCCATCTGGGAAGTGAGTAGCGCCTCTGCCAGGCCGCCCTGTCTTGGAAGTGCACCCAACAGCTCCGAAGAGACAGCGACCATCAAGAACGGGCCATGATGACAATGGCAGTTTTGTCGAAAAGAAAAGGGGGAAATGTGGGGAAAAGAAAGAGAGATCAGATTGTTACTGTGTCTGTGTAGAAAGAAGTAGACATAGGAGACTCCATTTTGTTCTGTACTAAGAAAAATTCTTCTGCCTTGGGATGCTGTTAATCTATAACCTCACCCCCAACCCCGTGCTCTCTGAAACGTGCTGTGTCAACTCAGGGTTAAATGGATTAAGGGCGGTGCAAGATGTGCTTTGTTAAACAGATGCTTGAAGACAAAAAAAAAAATTTCTCTATTTCTTTGTTATTTCGCCCTTTCAAGTTCTCATTTGTGTTTACATTTTGACCATTATTTCTTAATTATGTTATCTAATGATTTATGTATTTCATTGGTTCAAAGAACTAGAGCTGGAATTTATTTATTAGTACTTTTAATCTGTTTTCTAATTTGTTAATTCCCACTTTTATCACTACTGATACTTTCCTTCTAGAGTCCTTCTATATATTTTGGTATGCTGTTTCTAACTTTTTGAGCATAATGCTTGATTCATTTTATTCTTTCTTTTGCTATTTAAGGCTATGATTTTTTTCTCTGTACACTGCTTTATCTGTGTAGTGGTTTTCTCATGCTGCCATAACAAAGTACCACAAACTGGGTATCTTAAACCCAGTTCAAGACTCGCAGTTTTCTGAAAGCTGGAAGTACAGTGTCAAGGCATCATTAGGGTTGGTTCCCTCTGAGGGCTGTGAAGGAGAATCTGCCCCATGCCTCTTCCCCAGCTTCTGGTGGTTTGCTGGCAATCTTTGGCAGTCCTTGGCTTGTAGAAGCATCACCCTGATCTTGCCTTCTCTTCACATAGTGTTCTCCCTATATGTGTGTATCTGTGTCCAAATTTCCCCTTTTTTATGAGGATACCAGTCATATTTGGTGAGGACACCCCTTCTAATGACTTCATTTTAACTCGATTACCTCTGTAAAGACCTTATCTCCAAATAAGATTACAGTTTGAGATAATGAGGGTTAGGACTTCAACATATGATTTGGGTACACAACTCAACCCATATTATCCCACAAATTCTGATAAAGAGTACTTGCATTACTGTTTTTTCCTAAAACAATCTTCCATTTTTATTTGTATTTCCTCTCTGAGCATTAAGAGATCCTTTATAATTTCCAGATGGAAGGAGTTTTTGCTTTCTCTTTTGTTATCAGTGTTTAGTTTTAATGAATTATAGTTACACAATGTTATCCATACTATGTCTATTTTTTGGAATTTATTAAATATTTCTTTATGAGTTAATATATGATCACTTTCTATGAATGTTTTCACAGCTTTTGAAAAAACAAAAAACTTATTCTGTGTTCTTCAGTTACATGGATTAATCACGTCTGTCTCATTAATTACTTAGGCATTCTATATCCCTGTTTATTATTGTCCTCTTGGCATAAAATAGACAGAGAAAAGTGAATTAAATTCCCTTTCTATTCGTATTTCTGCTTATTTCTTCTGTCTAATTTCTGCTTTATGAAGGTGGATGCTATATTATTTGGCATATAGTTATTTATAAATATTATCTTAAACTGATTTATATCCTTTATGTAAAAAGGTACCCTTCCTTCCCTATTTAATGATATTTGTCTTGAATTCTATGTTGTGTGATATTAAGATATCCGTCACTGCTTTCTTTGCATTTGTATTTCTCTGGTGTGTATTTAACTCTTAAACTTTGTGAATATCTTTGTTTACATGTATTTCTTACATATAACAAAGTTGGATTTGCTTTGTGATCCATTCTGAAAATTATCTTAATGAATATTTACTTTTATTAACATATAAAATATATTTGGTCTTTGTCCTATCATATTATTTGTACTGTGTTCCTGTTTAATAATTTCATTTTTTAAATATTTTTATTATGTAGTTATTATGGACTGAATGCTTGTACTCCTCTCCCACTCCCCACCAAAAGTTACATGTTGAAATCCATACCCCAGTGTGATGGTATTAGGAGGTGGGGACTTTGGAAGATAATTAGGTCATGAGAGAGGAGGCATCATGAATGAAATTAGTGTTCTTCTAAAGGAGACCGCAGAAAGTTATCTTGCTCTTTCCACCATGTGAGGATACAATGAGAAGTCTGCAGTCTGCAACCCTGAAGACAGTCCTCAGCAGAGGCTGACCATGCTGTCACTCTGATCTCAGACTTCCGGCTTTCAGATCTGTAAGATATAAATTACTGCTGTTTATAAACCACTCAGTCTGTGGTATTCTGTTATAGCAACCTGAACTAAGACACTATAGCTTTTACATGTAATTATTCCAATATTAAGAAAGCCTGTATTTGTGTTCTAACAGTTGCCTTTATAAGTGTAGTATTTTTTAATTTTCTTAGCTATTTCCTTAGTTAGCTCTTTATTATAAGCAATAGTGAAATAATTATATTTTCTCTTTCTTTCCCTGTCATGTTTCTTCGTTCTCCCACATAGCTCAGAGATGAGGACACCTCTGATAATCAATAAACATTGATTAGCTGTTACTACTTTCTAAAAACAAAACACAACAAAATGCACACACAGTGTCAAGAAAAGAAGTTTCATTCTCTTTCCTCTTCTGCATGGATATCCCACACTGGTTTGTCTAGAATCGTCTCCCACTCCTGTTTGAAAACATTCTCTCTGACCTAAAGACAGGAAATTTAATGCCTTGGAGATAAAGAAGGGTTGAGTCAATGCAAGAATACATGACACGTTCATATTTCCCTGTTACATCCTGATTTGTTTATTGCTCAGGCTCTGAATATGGCCTAAAACCAGAGATTAGTGGGAGAAATCTGAACTGAATCTCTACAGGGCCAGCATTCATCAAATGCTGACATTCCAAGGTGCTGGGTCCACAGGAATGGCAACACAAGTCAGGAAATAGAAGCAAGTTTTAGGGACATACCTGATTATCAGAATGAGTCACATGGCCTATGGCATCTGCCTACCCTGCTTATAGCATGGTCATAGGTCTCAGGGAACAAGGTTGCTTTATGCCTGATGAACCAAGGTATTTCAGTTTGGATAACAAATTATAGAATCATCCCACCTATAGCCCACACACATTAAATGTGACAATTATGTCATATCTAATTAGGCCAGTGATAAGGTAGCCTTGGCCATCATCATCATTGTAAATGGAAAGCCCACACCTTGATGTTGCCATTGATTGGCTGCCTTTCTGGCTAAGGCTCAATTTCCTCCTCGGTAAAATAAAGACAAAAAGGGGATGAGTTCATTGGTCTCAAAAGTTTATTTCATCGGTATATCAGAATTGGATTTTTACATAGTTCAACCATTTTTCATTATGATCACATTATGTAGGTCATGGTTATTTTAAGGCTCAGAACAAAAATGCCCAGAAAAGTGCTTTCTAAGTCATGTGACAGTGGGTGAATGACAAGCACTGTTACTATGGAAGATTTCCTGGCGCTTACTTTCTTTAGGAAAGAAAAAAAAAATTAAACAGTTCTCTTGATTTTTACAAGAGTTGGGTTCATGGAAAGAAATCTTCCACCATCCCAGGGATGTGCACAAGGTCTATGGGATCCATGAGGACAACAGTACCTGCTTTATAGGAATCAGGATCTGAGCAGGGTGTCTTGTGTGCTCACAGAAATTCCAAGCACACAGTAGTTTCAGGTGACAGCCAATTCGTGGGAGACTCTGGGGACCTTAATTAAAAGGTCAGTAAATTTTTTTGAAAGTAAAATTATTCAACTCAGGATTTTTACCGTGTGCATTAGAAGTATTCATGATCTGTTCTCCCTGGGTGGAGCTCAAACTGACTGAAGCACACACTCCTGCCTCTAAGGAATGAGTAACAAAAGACATTCATTAGGCAAAGGTAACTACACCTAATAAATATCCCAGATTACCCTTCCCTTGTCCAACTCCACCTCTTGTATAGAATCTGTCTGTAAAGGAAAAATGTCTAGAGATAAGACTCAGAGCTTTGGATCCACCTGCTATTTTGGGAAAATTTTCTAAGTATCTTAGTTATACTACATCCTTTCTCTTTCTCTACCTAGAATGACGTATTCATTTCCCTAATCCATAAATTCCACCCCTTTTAGATGAGAAGTCAGCACACTTTTTCTTAAAGGGCCAGGTAGCGCTTTGTAGACCATATGATCTCTGTTGCAACTACTCAGTTCTATGATTGTAGTGCAAGAGTTGCTGTAGACAACAAGTAAACAAATCGGTGAGGCTTTATTCCATCATAATTGTATTTATGGACACTGAAACTTGAATTTCATATCAGTTTACTGGTCATAAAATATTCTTCTTTGGATTTTCTTTCAACCACTTGAATATGTGAAAACCATTCTTAGCTCATGGGTCATGCAAAAATGGCGGCAGGCCAACATACTTTGCCAACCCCTCCTCTATATCATGAGCAACTTGAGAGCAGGGCTGAATGATAATCATCTCACTATCTCCTAAGGCTGGGCTTCACTGCTTGACACCTAGAAGACATCCAAAACTGTGGAGGAAGAAGTGAGAGACAAAAGCCATGGAAAACACAGCAGGTGAATCCATCACACACAACAAGAAAGCCCTTTATGTTGTTCAGAGTGGGTACTAGAAGGGAGAACATGTGGTAGCAGGGTTCTTCTTTTCTCCTGACATTTTTTACACCAAATGTGTGGGGAATTTTCCACACCAGTTCTCCAACTGTCTGACACCAACTCTCTGTATCCAACAATTCAATTCAATTCTGACACTATCTAGATGAAGTTAGCATCAAATCCTACATGTTAAATGGCTCAGTCCCACAAGAGTGGCCCCACTTCAGGTACCAATCGCAAGTCCCAGGCCCCCTATACTTCTGACAACCAAGTGTAAACTTGGAGTTCCCAAATTCGCTAATTCATGTTGGATCATTTGCTAGAATGACTCACAAAACTCAGGAAAGGACTCTACTTACATTTACCAGTTCATGATAAAGGATACAAATGAACAGCCAGATGAAGAGGTACATAGGGTGAGGTCTGGAAGGGCTCCAAGTATGGGAGCTTTTGTCTTCATGAAGTTGGAGTGTGCCCCTCTCCCAGCATGTGGATGTGTTCACCAACTCAGAAGCTTCCCAACCCCATCATTTAATTTTTAAGGAGGCATCATTATGTAGGTACAATTGATTAAATCATTGGCCATTAGTGACTGATCCAATCTTCACCCCTTTTGCCCTCCCTGTTGGGTGGGTGGGGAGGAGGGGCGGGGGTTGGAAGCTCCAAGCTTCTAACCAAGGCTTGGTCTTTCTGGTGACAAGCCTTCTAGGGTCCCACTAAGAATCAGCTCATTAGAACAAAGATGATTCTATCACCCTTATTATTCAGGAAATTCCAAGGGTTTTAAGAGCCTTGTACCAGGAACCAGGAGCAAAGACCAAATATCTTTCTAATTATATGTTAAAAAGCTAATAACATCACTTTGGAGTCAGAAAGACACCTGTGTTTGCATCCCAGCCCCACCATTTCCTGGTTTGGCCCTGAGCAAATAACTGCACTTCAGAGTTCATTTTTCTGCAAGTAACAGAAAAAAAACAACTAAAGGTGGCTTGAACACTTATCAAGAAACATGGGCATAGGGGTTCCAAGGCTGGTTCAGTCACCCAGCACTGTCACTGAGATCACAGCTCACACACTCTTTCTTTCTCGTGCTCATTGGCTTTTCACCTCTGTGTTTGTCATCTGTGGTTGCCAATGGCTGCCAGAACTTTAAGCATCACATCCACCGTGTTCAAGTCAGGAAGAAGGAACAGAGTAAGTATACCAGCTGTCTGCTCTTATGCTAGTCCCTTTATCAGGAAACCAATGACTTACCTAGAACTCTCTAAACAGATGCCATTTATATTCTCATTGTCCAGACCTGGGTTCTATGGCCACCCTTGGTGCAAAGGAGGTCAGTCTTTATGGTGGTTAGCAAGGGAGAAGGGAGTTGGGAATTGTTTGGGAATGCGGCAAGGGGAGTGGGGCCTTAACGGTGTCCATCTCACAGATTGTTGTGAGGATAAGTGAAGCAATGTGTGTAAAGCATTGCACATAAGCACTCGGTCAATGGAAGCTACTATTATCAATATGGCTAGCTTAAATATTTTCAAAATCATAAAACATAGTCTCTACACTGCCAGTATAAAAACTGCAATTTCTCAAAGTTAGAAAGCCTCACATCCTCATTTCACAATGCCAATAATTACATACATTTAAGGTGAATGAAGACTGAAATAGAAGAGAGAGAGAGAGAGACTGTGTGTGTGTGAGAGAGATATTCAGTTATTGATGTATAGCATTCCATATGTACATAGAACTACACACACACACACACACACACACACACACACACACACACACACATTAAGAGTAAATGAATAAAGCCAGGTGTTGATAGATAGGCTCTGCATTCTGAATGCTAAATTAGATAACTCAGGCAATTTCCTCAGGCTAAAATCCTGAGTCATCCTTCTCCGTCTCTCTTTGCCTTTCCCTAGTCAGTCAAAAAGTTCTGTAGATTTTGCACTGCAATATGCTTTCTATTTGTTTGCTCTTTTCCACTGCCCAAGTGCAACCTTTATCACCTTTTGTCCAGACAATTGCAATAGACTTCCTAAGTATTCCCCTGTCTCTAGTTGTTCTGCCCCCTACCAAAGCAATCCATTCTCACCTTCTTGCCAGTTATCTTCTTAAAGCAAAGCTCTGACGATGCCACTTTCTGCTTGAAAAACTTTAATGGTTCCCGGCTGCCTACAAAGTCCCAATGCCTCAAATATTATTCAAGGATGTTCTTACCTGCCCTCAACCTCCCTTTCTCACCTTCTCATTTCCTTACACACTCATAGTCCAGCTTACTTAGAAACTGTTCCCTGTTCTCTCAGCAAATGCCTCCCCTATGCTTCATGCACGTATCTTAATTCACACTAATCCTTCTTTGCTCTTCTAGATTCTACCTAGAGGGATGACGGTAGCTTCTGTTTTAAGCTACACTGAAACTCTGTCTCATGGAAGACTACAAAGCACCCAGAATTTTGTGGACCATAATTTGTGCAAAATTATCTGATTAAATCAATAAAGCTTTCAATAATTCCTTCTGGTGTTTTTCTAGTCCTGGGACATTTAAATGTGCTGATGACTGACAATTTAAAATTGTAATGTTCCATCAAATGAGCTGGGAAGGAGACAGTTGATTCAGGACTGCAGGGTCAGGATCAGGACTGGACAAGGAAGAGGCCTGGTTGGAGCTCGGCTTGGTTCTCTCCCTCCCTCTAAATAGAGATGTCAGATGAGCTTTCACGTAGCAGAGAATCATGTACTCTGTGCTGTCCCAAAGTGGGAAGGAAGCTATTATTGTTGGTGCCAGGCACTATACCGGATATGCCATTTTGCTGCCCAGTTAACCATCTTAATATCTGTTAAGGTAGGGATTCTCATTGTCTCTATTTTCTATCAGAAATGAGAGATGCAGAAGTGAGTAAATTCTTAAAGTCACAGTGTTGGGATTCAAAAACAAGTGTATCTGACTTCAAAATCCCACTCTGCTCTTATCCAAGATCATACAGCAGAACAACTAAATTTATTTTTTATTAATTTTTAAAATTGACCCATAATAATTGAACATATCCCCTGGGGTACATAGTGCTGTTGCATCTATTCTCAGCCTTTTGGCTATGATCATGTATAGCACAGTGATGTTGCAATACATATAATGTAATGATCAGATCAGGGAACTCAGCATATACATTATCTCCAACAGTTACGACTTCTATGTGTTGAGAACCTTCAATATCCTCCTTATAGCTATTTGTATATTCTAACTATGTACTATATTATTGTTAACTAAAGTCATCCTACAGTGCTATAGAACACTAGAGCTTATTCCTCCTACCCAGTTATACTTTTATATCCTTTAACAAATCTCTCCCCATTCCCCACTTCCCTTACCTTCCCCCACCTCTGGTATCCTCTGTTCTACTTTTTACTTCTATGTGATCAACTTTTTTTTTTTTAGCTTCTACATATGAGTAAGAACATGCAGTGTTTAACTTTCTGTTGCTGGCTTATTTTACTTAACAAAATGTCCTCCAGTTCCATCCGCATTGCTTCAAATGATAGGCTTTCATTCTTTTTTATGGCTGAATAGTATTCCATTGTGTATATATACCACAATTTCCTTATCCACTTATCTGTTGTGGGACACCTAGGCTGATTCCATTTCTTGGCTATTGTGAATACTCCTGCAATAAACATAGGGGTGCAGATGCTTCTTTGGTATACTGATTTTCTTTCTTTTGGATAAATATCCAGTAGTAAGGTTGCTGGATCATGTGGTAGTTCTAATTTTAGTGTTTTAAGGAACCTCTGTATTGTTCTCCATAGTGACTCTACTAGTTTATGTTCCCACCAAAAGCATATAAGAGCACCCTTTTCTCCACATCCTCACCAACATTTGTTATTTTTTGTCTTTGATAATAGCCCTTCTAACTGGGATGAGATAATACTTCATTGTGGTTTTGATTTGCAATTCCCTGATGATTAGTGATACTGAGGATTTTTTCATACACCTGTTGGCCATCTGTGTGTTTTCTTTTGAGAAATGTCTGTTCAAATTATTTGCCTATTTTTTAATTGGATTGTTTGGATTTTTGCTGTTGAGATGTTTGAGTTCATTACATATTCTGGATATTAATCCCCTGTTGGATGGAGAGTTTCCAAATATTTCCTCCCACTCTGTAGGTTGTCTTTTCACTTTATTGATTGTTTCCTTTGTTGTGCAGAAACTTTAGTTTGATATAATCCCATTTGTTTATTTTTTCTTTTGTTGTCTATGCTTTTAAAGTTTTATTCATAAAATCTTTTCCCAGATCAAAACTCTGAAGCATTTCTCCTATGTTTTATTCTAGTAGTTTTATAGTTTTAGGTCTTCCATTTAGGTTTTTGATCCATTTTCAGTTGATTTTTGTACAGGGGAGAAGTGAAAGTCTAGTTTTATTCTTCTGCATATGGATATCCAATTTTTCCAGCACCATTTATGGAAAAGACTGCACTTACCCCAACATGTGTTCTTGGTGCCTTTGTCAAAATTAGTTGGCTATAGATGTGTGGATTAACTTCTGAGTTATCTATTCTGTTCTATTGGTCTATGCTTCCGTTTTTATGTTAGTACCATGCTGTTTTGGTTACTACAAACTTGTAGTATATTTTGAAGTCTAAAATAGTGTAATGCTAGTGTAATGCATCCATCTTTTTTTTCTGAGAATTGCTTTGGTTTTGGCTATTTGCTATTTGGAAGATTTTGTTGTTCCATAAATATTTTAGATTTTTGTTTATCTCTGTAAAGAATGTCACTGGCATTTTGATAGGGATTGCACTGAATCTGTAGATTACTTGGGTAGTGTGGTCATTTTAATAATATTAATTATTCTAATCCATGAGCATGGTCTGTTTTTCCATTTTTTTTTTTGTATCCTGTTCAATTTCTTTCATCAGTATTTTGCAATTCTCCTTATAGAGATCTTTCACCTCTTTGGTGAAATTTATTCCTATGTATTGTTTATGTAGATTTTGCAAATGGGATTGCCTTCTTGGTTTCTTTTTCAGCTAGTTTGTTGTTTGTGTATAGAAACAATACTGGTTTTGTATGTTTATTTTGTATTTTATAACTTCATTGAATTTGTTTATCAGTTCTAGAAGTTTTTTGTCAGAGTCTTTGGGTTGTTACAATTATTAAATGGAAAGCTTTCAGCTTTTCCCCAATCTATATGATAACTGTGAATTTGTCATAGATGGCCTTTATTCTGTTGAGGTACTTTCCTTCTATACCCAATATATTGAGAATTATTATCATGAAGAGATGTTGAATTTTATTAAATGCTTTTCCTGCATCTATTGAGATGATCATATGGTTTTTGTCCTTCAATCTACTGATATGATGCACCACATTTATTGATTTGCATATGTTGAACCATCCTTGCATTTCTGGGACAAATCCCACATGATCATTGTGTATTATCTTTTTTTGTGTGTTATTAGATTTAAATTGCTAGTATTTTGAGGATTTTTATGTCTAGGTTCATCAGGGATATTGGCCTGTAGTTTCCTTTTTTTGTTGTTGCCTTGTCTGGTTTAGTATCCTGATCATGCTGGCCTCAAAAAACGAATTAAGAAAAACTCCCTCCATTTCAATTTATTGAATAGTTTGAGAAGAAATTGGTATTAATTATTCTTTAAAGGTTTGGTAGAATTGAGTGGTAAAGCTATCTAGTCTTGGACTTTTCTTTATTGAGAGACTTTTTATTACTGATTCAATCTCATTATATGTTATTGGCTTGTTCAGGTGTTCTATTTCTTCTTGGTTCAATCTTGGTAGGTTGTATGTGCCCAGGAATTTATCCATTTCCTCCAGATTTTCAAACTTATCAGCATATAGCCATTCATAGTAGTTTCTAATGATCCTTTGTATTTCCATGGTATCTGTTGTGATGTCTCCTTTTTTGTTTCTGATTTTACATATTTGGGTATTTTCTCCTTTTTCTTGGTTAATATAGCTAATGATTTCTCAATTTTGTTTGTCCTTTCAAAAAAATTCTTGTTTTGTTGATCTTTTGTATTTTTGTCTCATTTCATTTATTTCTGCTACAATCTTTGTTATTTATTTCTTTCCACTAATTTTGGGTTTGGCTTATTCTTTCTTTTCTAGTTCCTTGAGATGCATCATTAGGTTGTTTAGTTAAAGTCTTTCTAATTTTTTTATGTAGACATTCATTGCTATAAATTTGTCTCTTAATAATGCTTTTTCTGTGTCTCATACATTTTGAGATGTTGTGTCTTATTTTCATTTGTTTCAAGGATTTTTAAAATTTTATCCTTAATTTTCTCCTTCATCCATTGGTCATTCAGGAGCATGTTTAATTTCTATGTATTAGTATAGTTTAACATGTTCCTCTATTGTTGATTTCCAGTTTTAGTCCATTGTGTTCAGATTAGATACTTGGTATGATTTTGATTTTTTAAAAAAATTTGTGATACTTGGATTGTGTCCTAACATATAGTCAATCCTGGAAAATATTCATTCCTACTTTTCATTGGAGTGTGTTTTTATTAGCAACATAAAATTGGAAGCAGCCATACTGCAGTAGCAAATCTAGGCATTTTATTTACCAAGATATTTGAGTTATAGCCCTAAGTTTTATAAACTCAAGGTGAAGTGGAGAAGAAAAGTTATAATTTATTGAATACTTACTATATACTAGGCACTGTGCTAAGTAAGCCTGCGAGTACACATAACTGCATTGAGACCTCCCAGCACCCCTATGAGTAGTTCTTCTTAACATCCACATTTTACAGATTGTAAGATTGAGGCCCAAAGAAGTTAAAATAACTTGACAAAAGCCACACAGATAAAAAGCAGAAGAGCTAAGATTCAGTCAAGATAGAACCCCAAAGTCATACCCAAATAATTATAATAAAGTAATAAGTGGCATACCACAGAAACAGCAGAAGACGTGAGAAAGGGAGTGGAGATCAGGTAAGCTTTCACACAGAAGGTAGCAAATAGGCTGGGCTTTAAAGCATGGGTAGACATCCACCAGGTATTTGAGTTGGTGGAAAATGCATGTGCCGTGCCCTAATGAAAGAAAAGGGTTCTGTCCAGAAGAATCAGAGGGTTGAATGTCATGGGATTATAGGGCATGCAGCAGAAAGTGATGAGAAATCACTGCCCTTAAGAAGGAGGAGGCTGTGGCAGGTGACGGAAAGCCCTGTTACCATAAAAGAAAGCTTAGGCTTTGCTTTTAGGGACTGGGGAGCCCTAAGCAAGATGTGGTCTGATTGAACTTGAGATCTAGAAAGAACAGTTTGGTGGCAAAGTGGAGAAGACAGGCTTGATCATGGAGGCCAAGGGACTAAACAAAAAAGTCTCAGGACAAGCAGGTACTGCCAACCCAAGAAGAAGGCCAGGAGGGCCCATGTGAATGGAAGAGTGTAAGTTGAGTCTGAAGTGGTCTCAGCTACCACTGATCAATTCTGGCAGGCACTACCATGTTGGAGAATGGGCCTAGAAATAGAGACTTTAAAATCTTTAAATTTTTTAATATCTTGATTTTTTAAAATCAAGTATTCCTTTCAATTCTTGCTATCCAAATACTACCTAGACTCAGGAACCAAATACAGACTCACTTGTTCTCTTGCGCTTACTCTGTATCTGAACTCTCACTGCCCTAAAACAGAGATGAGACAGATTTGGATGGTGTGGGACCTGTCAGCAACCAATATAAGCATTAAAAAATTACTTGTTAGGGCCAGGTGCGGTGGCTCACGCCTGTAATCCCAGCACTTTGGGAGGCCGAGGCGGGCAGATCACGAGGTCAAGAGATTGAGACCATCCCGGCCAATATGGTGAAACCCCATCTCTACTAAAAATACAAAAATTAGCTGGGCGTGGTGGTGCATGCCTGTAGTCCCAGCTACTCGGGAGGCTGAGGCAGGAGAATCACTTGAACCTAGGAGGCAGAGGTTGCAGTGAGCTGAGATCATGCCACTGCACTCCAGCCTGGCGACAGAGCGAGACTCATCTAAAAAAAAAAATTTCTTGTTCACTGGGCATGGTGACTCACACCTGTAATCCCAGCAATTTGTGAGGCTGAGGTGGGAGGATCACTTGGAGCCAGGAGTTCAAAACCATCCTGGGTAACTAAGCGAGACCCCTGTCTCTACAAAAAAAATTTAAAAATTAGCTGGGCATGGTAGTGTGTACCTGTAGTCCCAACTACTCAGGAGGCTGAGGCAGAAGGATCACTTGAGCCCAGAAGTTCATGCTTGCAGTGAGCTATGACTGTGCCACTGCACTCTAGCCTGGGCAACAAAGCAAGACCCTGTCTTTAAAAAAAAGAAAAAAAGAAACTTGTCAGTGTACATAATACGAATATAGATACATATGTATAAACACACACATACAAATACACATATGCACGTATATACACATATATACATATATACACACAAGAAAACATGTGTGCATGTTTATGTATGTTTATATGTGCATATACAGTCATGTGTCACTTAACGATGGGGACACATACTGAGAAATGTGTCAATAGGTGATTTCGTCATTGCGCAAATGTTGTACAGTCCACCTACACAAACCTAGATTGTATACTATACACCTAGGCTTTATAGTATAGCCTACTGCTCCTAAGCTACAAACCTGTACAGCGTGTTACTGTACTGAATACTGTAAGCAACTGTAATACAATGGTAACTATTGTGTATCTAAATATAACTAAACAGAGAAAAGGTATAGTAAAAATAGAGTATACAAGATTTAAAATGGCACAACTGTATAGGGCACTTGCCATGAGTAGAGCTTGCAGGATTGGAAGTGGCAATGGGTGAGCCAGTGAGTGAGTGGTGACAGAATGTGAAGGCATAGATCATTACTACTTGTAGACTTTATAAACAATGTACACTTAGGTTACACTAAATTTATTTACATTTTTTTCTTTCCTTAATAATAAATTAGCCTTAGCTAACTGTAACTTTTTTACTGTATAAACTTAAAACTTTTTTGTGACTTTTTGACATCTGTAACTTAGCTTAAAATACAAACACGTTATACAGCTATACAAAAATATTTTCTTTCAAATATTTCTTTCTTTACAAAAATATTTTTCTTAAATCCTTATTCTATAAGCGCTTTTTTCTATTTAAAATTTTTAAAATTATTTTGTTAAAAACTAAGACACAAACACACACGTTAGTCTAGGCCTATGCAGGGTCAGGATCATCAAGATGTCACTAGGCAATAGGAATTTTTCAGCTCCATTAGAATCTTATGAAACCACCACCATCTATGTCATTAACATAAACATAATTTTGCGGCACATGACACAGCTACTACCGTTACTGGAACTACAAACACTCAGTATCTCGGAGTTACACAGCCTGCCCAGGAACCCTGGGCTTCATCAAGCTCTTAAGACACATACTTTTTGCAGCCTTCAGTAAAACATGAGCCTCTTCTCTAGGTTTTCTCCCATTGCTTGATGTCCAAGACCCTGGAATTTTCCCCAGGAAGGTGACCAAAGAATTGAGATATACAGTTCAGACTTCAAAAGCAAAACAGAGACTTGGGTGGTTTGATCTACCAACCAAAAGTATAAGACAAGAAGGAATGTGAACCGTCCTCAGGGTGGTTCACCTGAGCTACTACTAAGTTTAATTTAGCAGCTGAAACCCTCAGCTCTTGTGTCGACTCAACTCTTTTAATAACTTCTACTCATAATCCGCTGTATTACTATATTGTTTATGAGGAAGCCTCTCTCTCTCTCTCTCTCTCTCTCTCTCTCTCTCTGTCATTTTCTATGACTAGAAATGTGTGAAAAATGCCCACTCCCTCACATGGCTTCAACTCCTCTTCTAGTGCTGATTTTCTCCCATTTCTTCCCATCACCACTTCTTTGCAATGGAAGCTGCAATACTTGTGGGCAGTTTCTTAATTATTTAATGTATTTGCAGTTGATTTCCTGGACATAACAAGAGTGCCATTCAAGGTCCCTGAGGGCTCTAAGAGTGCACTTCTGGAAGCCAAGGCTTCTCACCTTGCCCACCAGCATCGGCCCTCAGGAGGTTTAAAATCAAATGGTTCTCACATCACCTGGCCCTGCAATTCACCCGTCTGATTTATCACACTTGGCTGAGGGCCTAGGACTTGGTTCAGAAAAGGTTTCTGGCTGGATACTTCACAACCCAACAGTATGTCTGTAATTCATGGTGGTTTGTTTTATGTATAGCAGCAGAAATCCAAACACTCTCTCCCTTACCTGTTTTTGTGGCTGTTTTCATGTGTCATTAACAAAACTTTGAGCACCTAGGAATTTAATTTTTTTTTTAAATCTGCCTGAACTTGAGACAATTTCTGGAGCTAGTGGATAAATCCAACAAATATTTATCCTATACCTGCAATGTGTAAGATGCTGATCAGGAGTAGGGTAGGTGTAGACTAACTCTTTATCTGTTTTGTAAATAAAGTTTTATCGGAACACAGACACACCCGTTCATTTACATATGGTCTATGGTTACTTTCAAACCAGTGACACAGTTGAGTACTTGCAACAGAGATTGCATAGCCCATAAAGCCTGAAATATTTACTCTCTGTCACTGGATCAGCCATTTGACATTTTGTGGCAAATTGTCTGAAGGATCCTACTGGTTCTCATGGAGTTCACTGCAAATATTAGTGACTCTTAAAATCTATAGCTTTATTTGGACCTCTTTCCAAAGCTCAAAAATCATAATTTCAACATTCTGGGGGCATCTCCACCTGCTGTCCCAATATTCTACAGGATTTCCAAGCTCAATATCCCCATAGGAACCTCTCTTCCTATGGCGTCCCTTGTCTCATTTATGATATCATCACCCACAGATCTTGAGCCTTGGTCCCCTGGGTGACATCCCTGGATCTTCCCTTTCCCTCAGCTCCACATGTAACTGTCATGAGTTCCTCCTATAGATCTCCCTTACCCTTCTCTATTCCATCCTTGCTGCCACATCTACCTTCATCTCCTGCGTGGACACTGCAGAAGTTAACCCTTTCCACTGTATAGGAATAAGAATCAACCAAGCTAAGGCACAAATGAAACATGAGATACACAGCTTTGCATACAATTTAGGGGAATGGCTCCCATAGCTCTAAAATAATAATAGCTAATACTTGCATAGCTCTTACTATATTTCAGGCACAGTTCTAGGTAACTTAACTTATGATAGTGCCTTGGAGCCTCATAATTAACCTATGAAGTAGGCATTCTTTCTATCATTCCCATCTTACAGATAAGGAAGCTGAGGTTCAATGAAACTGAATAACATGTCCAAGGTTACAAGAAAGCAAAGGATGGAACTAGGATGCAAATTCAGGCAGTCTGTCTCAAGTCTGTGCTCTTAACCACAAGTCTGTTCTATGCTGCCTCTGTTGATCTGAGCTTTTTTGTATCTTGCCAGGGTTACCAACGTTCAACCCATAGTCAGATCAGGTCACAACTTCCTTATCGGCTGGACCACTCCTCAGCAGAATGTAGAGAATTCTTGCACAATGGATCTCAACTTGGCATGCCAAGAAAGGGGCTGCTCATCCACCAGGTTTCTCCCTCCTAGTGGTGGGGAGTGAAGAGTGAGGCCCAGGGGCTTATCACAGAAAGGATCCCAGAGCTGCATTGGTGAGGGGAGAACAGGATTGCAGGATGGGGCTGGAGTAGTTGGGGCAATTATAGCCTTTAAGCAGGCTTTCTCCTGCATTTGTCTGAGATAAAATCCATTACCAAGTTGCCTTTCTGCTCCCAGATCTGTCACTCTACAAGCTTTTATCCTGAATAACAACACACTTAAATATTCAGCAAGTGCCCCGCAGAGCAGTAAATACTGAAAGCACACATAAAAGGTCATGGTCTCCATCCCCTCCCTCCTCCCTGGATTTACAGTTTAAGAGGCAAGACCCCAAAGCTGCACTCTTAATAAAATGTGGCCTAAAAATGTAGAAAGAAATTATTTCTTGCCCTGTTTTTTCAACAATGACTTTCTCATGTCTTTGTTGGGTATAATCAGAGGGAAAAGGCAGATAAAATGACTTAGTGGATTCATTTGAACAAAGTATATTAAGAATTTACTCTACGCAAAGCTCCGTGCTTGGCATTGAAAGGGATCAACAAGAGCGTCAAATAATTACTACCTTCAAGAAGTTTTCTCTCTAGCAGTGGGATAGGTTCTATGTCTACATAAATATAACACCATACTATTGCCCATAAAACATTTACAGAAGGGAAACAATGGTGAGAATGCCACTCATTGGGCCCCTGTGATATACCAGGCACTGTGTTCAATGCTGCAAGTCTTCACTATCTCATAATCCTTACTGCAACCCTGCAAGGCAGCGATAATTAGCCTCATTTTACAAAGGAGAAAATGGAGGCTACTCAGAAAGGTTAAGTCACCTGCCCTAGAGGAAGAAAAGCTGGGATTTAAACTGAAGTCATGGAGACTGCAAAGCCCATAGCAGAGGCATTATGTAAGCTTCTTTTTGCCCCAGTGAGTGAGTGAAATGTTGAGGGGGGTGATTTGGGCCCGTGCATCCCAAGCAGAGGGAAGAGAATGGGGTATCAGAAGAGGGAAATGTAGGATTTGTGCCAAGGATGGAAGAGCAGGGAATGTGGTGGAGTAAGTCCTGAGAGCAGGTGGAGGCTTTGACTGGGTACCAAGGAGGTTCTCTCATTTGGTGGCTACAGAGTAACCACCATGGTGGTTCCCCCCGAGGGCCTCACATTTTTGGACATAAAACCAGCCTTAGAAATTTCTGGCTTTTTCTGATTTTAAGCCAAATCGTGTCCATCTTCCTCAATACTGTTCCTATCCCCTTTTTTAGCACAGCCAAATCTTGAGCAATCTTAAGCTGAGCAAACATGGATGTTCAGGGGCAAACTGCTTGTCCTTGCAGTGGGCCTTCATGCTCCAGTGATGGAGATGGTAGGATCTCAGCCGCTTTCACACTAATCCCTTCTCCCCTGGAGAGGAGTAGTTATTGCCTTGCATCTCTGCCTCATCAAAGACGAGCCAAATTGGTTTGTGGGCATTCTACTGGGATTGGTATGTGGCGTGTCGCATTAATAGAGTGTTTGAAATACAGCCTTCAGAAAGTATGCTTCCATTTGCAGCACTGTATCATAGTCAGAGACTCAGCATCAACCAGAAGAAAGAACAAAGTCTGAAGTCTACTTATTGGATGAAAAGAAGTAGATAAGCAGGAGTAGGAGATGAAGAAGTTTGTGGAAGAGACCCAATCCATGTTTTCAATAGCAAGCACATTTTCACATTGTCCAAATGATGTCTTATGAGCAGAAAGATTCAAGGTCATTGGAGGAAATAAGCATAAATTAACCAGGGCAATTTCCACAGTCTCTAGAGTGATGTGCAAGGGTGACCTCAAAGGTCAAAGAACTCGGATCATAGACTCATAGCAGAAAGGAACAACAGAGATTAGCCATCTTTTTAAAATGAAGAAGCTAAAGCCCAGAGAGTACAAACACTTATCCAAAGTCACATAGATGGTTAGCAGTGGGACAAGATCTGAAGTATCCTGCTTTCCAGCCCAGGGTCTGTTTATGACACCATGATGCCTTCTATGAGAATGTGACTATGAGCAAGCAGTAAATATTTTAAGATGTCAGAAACCTGAGTATGGGTGCAAAAGGCCAGGGAGGGCTTCAAGGAGGACATCGAAGGATGTGAAATGGGCTTTGAAGAATAGGTGGAATTTAAATAGGCAGAGAGTAGAGGACATTGCAGAGAGAGGAGGATGCCCTCCACCTGCCCAGAATGTGCCAAACCTGGCATCTCAGTATCAGAAAAAGAAGTCAGCAGATTCTTGTGGTGAAAAATTGCTACAACAGTAAAATTGAATCCCCCTTCCCGGAAGAAATGTAAGCCCTTGTAACAGATGAGAAATCTAAACCTTCGTGCCCTAGCTTAATAGTTTTCAGAAACCAACAAACTCCTTGAAAGGTTGAAGAGGAAAGGAGGAAAAAACTCAGCTTGCCTCTCCGCTTAAAGGAAGAGTGCTTCCTGCTGGCAGCTGTAAACATTCATGGAGCACCCTGAGGGCTTCAACCCCAGCAGGGCATCTTGGGCAGGGACAGAGCCCCCCAGAGCCCGGGAGGGGCCAGGTCTAGCTTCCCCAGGGCCTTGCCCATTCACCAGTGGGTGACAGGACCACAGGAGACCTGAGTCACCCTTGTTAATCGTGCTCAGATCATTGGCCCATTACAAATCTCCCTCAACCGGAATAAAATGTGGCCTCTAAAAGGATGTAGACAAAGGCAGCAGCTCACATCAGAACAGCATTTATAAAATGAGCCCAGGTGAAAAGCCCAGAACCCATGCCCAACACAGGATGATAACAGAGATGTAAAACATATTTAAGGAGGAATTAAGATTGAAAAGAAAAATGAACACAACTGTGTCCAGCTGGTGGGATGTTGGATGCTTTTTTTGTCTTTGAAAATAATCTTCATTACAATTGTATGTGATATAAATAATAAATAAATACATTTTGCCATACTTTTTTGAACTGTGCCAGCCTTTGTCTCCAATCCACCCGAACAGACGCTGAGCCCGTCAAGGAAGTAGACAAAGTTTTTCTCCAGCACTCACCGCACCCCTACCTGCCTAATATCCACAATTTACATCCTGCCTTATCTTCCCCAGGCTTAATTCCTTAACCATTATCTCAAACTAATGACTTTTCTCCCTCCTTCTTCCTGCCATCTACCTCCCCAAAATATTTCCTAGTATTGAAGCTGTTCTCGGTGCTAGCAGTGCAGTCACTAACTTAGTGAGGGAAGGGACAGGTAGGTTACCCTCTACGATAATGTGTCTGCTTACTGTAGTTGGATAGTCTGCAAAGATGGGCATTGTCAATGCCTGCCCTCTCTGCATACATAGGCTACTCCGTCTCCTTGCATCTGAGCTGGCCTCAGTGACCTGCTTGACCAACAAAATGCAGTGGAAGTGACAATCTTGGAAGTGGGGCTTCCAAGGCTAGGTCCCCAGGGAGAATGGTGGGCAGTAGGTCTGGCTGGGTAGGTTGGGACGCAGTTCTTTAGCGGCTCTCCTTGAGCAGCAGCCCTCTGGGCTACACTGTCAATATGTCCCTGAAGGCTGGGGTCAGTGTGATCTACATCCTCTGCCCCAATCTGGTCACCACTTGTTCCCAACTGCAAGCTTATCGCTTTGCTGAGAGACTAGAGATTCAAGAATGCAAGAGTTCAATCTAAATAAATCTCCAAGGAATTCAAAGTGCACATGTGTCTGTGTATAAAGCGCATGCCCACTGTATTTATGAACTGTAGCAAAGTCCACACCTTCACCATCCATTAATATTGATGGGCCATGAAGACGCTTTTAGGTGGGAGGGCATGATCATAGCTCAGAGTTAATGGGTGAAAGAATCGATCCCATTTCAACCTCTAGGGAAAGGCTGAAGTTGGAGCTGGAGAAGGGTCTTGGGTACTGTCCCCAGAGTATTAGCTGACCTGGGTTCCTAGCTCTGCTGGTCATTTGCAGTGTAAACTTGGGTAAGTCACTCTCCCTCACTGAGCCTCAGTTTCTTCATCTGCACAGAACAGAGGATCTCTGGGGTTCCTTTAAGTTTTGACATTTCATGATTCTATGAGAGAGAGGCACATTAAATGAAGTGGAGAAAAGAGGTTCTCACGTATCTGCCATCTATGGAACACACCTATGGAATTCAGACCAAGTACTAATGGCATTAATGTTTTGCTAGTGCTGTGCATCATAGTGTTTGGCTGAAAATAAGATCAAATCTCAGATTCCCATACAGTTGACTTTTCCCCAAGGCATCTGGAAACTATGACCACAAGTTTCTCCCTGGGTATCTCTCATTCCTGAGGTCAAATTTCATTATTGCATGCTTCAATGTAATACATGTAGATTTAGCCTCATGCACAAAGACACTTTCACTAGGAAAGGGGACATATTCTTCATCAGATTTTCTTTTTCACTTGTTGGGAATGTAATGTAACAACTTCACTGTACCATAAATTTACTTCAATGACTTGGAAAAACAATGTTCAGCTTCTTGATAATATTTAACTTTTATAGTAAAATTACTATAAGCAAGAAGCCATGAACTCATGATAAAGGAAATCACCCGCTCACTGATTTACAAGTTGAATGCTCTCAGTTCTTTAATTCAAGGAGGCACTATCAGTTTTATTTAAACAAAAACTTCACAACACGAAGTTGTGGAGTTCACACGAAACTTCACAACAGTGTAGGTCTCAATATCCTTAGGTCTGAGTACCAAGATGCACTTTCCTATACACCAACAAGTGTTCCCTGTCTCAGAGATTAAGGCCCAGAAAGGGGGTGGAGGTGGCATTTGCTGGCACTAGGACATGGTCAGTTTGTGCTGCTTCAGAAATGATGCACCATCCACCCTCTCTGTAGGTGCCATTCCTCCTCACCTGTGTCAGCTGAGACAACACCACAGACCACCTCTCTCTCTTGCTGAGCAACAAGGTAGGAGTCAAAGAAACTGCAGGATTCCACTAGGAATTCCTCATCATTTCTGACTTGCAGAAAGCAGTGGTGAAATGGGACCCCCAAGCAGAGCTCACTCTGAACCCCTCCCTTTAATATGCATCCTGATGAATGCCGAAAGGCATTCTCCTGCTTTCTCCTTTGGGCCAGAGAGATTTGGGGTAAGCAAAGGCAATGCTTAGTTTTGGGGGACAAAACAACTGTGTAGGAGAAAGACAGCCTAATACATGGTTCTAAGAGTCAAGAGGCAGGATAAGATAGTGGTGAAGAGCGTGGACTTCGGAGCCCGACTCTCTGGTTTGAATCTCAGCTCTGCCACTCATTATCGGTGCGATGTTAGGCACGTTACTTAACATCTCTGTTCATAGGTCCCTCATCTGTAAAACAGGGAAAGTTACAGTGCTTATCACATGGGGATGTTGAGATGGTTAAATATCAGACAAATGAAGCCCTGGAGCAATTCCTGGAACATGGCCTATGTTTGCTATCTTATTGCTGTGGGGACTTCAGTGGCTACCAAGAAAGCCATAAAATCAAGCTGGTTTCACAACTGCTGGCCTCCTGGTAGACTGTGGCCAGCCAGGAAAGAACAACCTTTCCAGGTCCTCCCCACTGGGGAGCTATACAAGTCAGGGGCAGCTCCTGGCCTCTTCTCTGCAGAGTTGGGGAAGGGCAGTAGAAGGCAGGGGAGTAGGGAGTGGGACCTGACACATACAGGAGAGTGACAAGGGCAATGACTGGACAGTCAAGACACTGGGTTCCAGCTTCGGTTCTTCCTTGGATTATATATTTGACCCCTGTGGGGATTGTTCTGGGTGGCCTTGTGGTCTCCCCTGCTAAGACTCTGACACACTAAGGCCTAGCACCCCTGCCCAATACCCGACTCTTGGGAAATGAGGTGCTGACAACCACAGCTCCCCTTTGAAAATTCTGACTTGCCATCATCCCCTCACCACCAACGTCTCTACAACTAGATCTGCAGCCCTTGTGCCTGCTTTATCTCACAGGGTTGGGCTCATTCCAGGTCCCATCTGCCTCCCATTCACACCTGCCTCTGTCCTGAGAAAAAGTGATGGTGCTGGACAAGTTTATGTGGAGGATATAAATCCTCCACATTGCCAGAATCCCCAACTTCCTAGGACCCCAGAAGCTTTTAGGACCCCAAGGATCACAGCCTATTGATCACTCCCTTTTTGCCTTCAGTAAGTTTAGCTCTTTTCAGGGGAAACCCTGAGATAACTAAGCCATACTTGCATCTCTGTCCTTATCAAAATAACAGCACATTTTTCTGGGTTATGTCAGCTCACTGAGCTGTCAAAGACACTTGAGAGGAATCAAATGTTCTTCGTGGATGGTGTGGCCACACACACACACACACACACACACACTCTCACACATTGCTCTGTAAATCACTGTATAGTAAGCCAGGCAAAGATAGAGGATGGGAGTTCAGGAAGAAGAGAAGTTTATATGCACTCATCCATTCTTCCTCCAGGTTGAATCTGTGGGCTTTAAAAATCCAGCTGAGTCCTGATTCTTACCTTCCTCTAGCTGAGTAAAATGTTTGGCCACCAGAGTTTAGTAAACAACTTTGCTGAGTGGGCAAAAAGGAGAGTGGGCTCCACTTGGTGCTGCCCCTGCTCCCCTGTCTCTGCAATGGCTAATGGGCCACGTGGTGATAGACGGGGACATGGAATGACCTCCAGAATTTGTGCTAGAATGCGAATGTCTAACATAGGAAGGCTTACTGAATTTCAGGCAAGTGAGTGATAGCTTTGCCACATCATGAGCTCTCATCAGGTCTTTCCTGACTGATGTTTTCTCTCACTTTATAGGCTCCCTTGAGGAATACATTTAATTGGGAAAAAAAACAACATACGGTTTCTACTTAATTAGTCCTGTCTCCCATAAAACCAGAACTCTTCACTAAAATATACAAGTACAAATCATTAATCTGAATTATCATAAATGTCATACTGATAGGGTCTGCCTATTTCAAATTCAGAAATATAAATACATAGATATAATTAGATGCTTTACTCTCCAAGTTTTAACTTTCTGGAGTGAATATTTAAACCAGTAGATCTTTACTTTATGGATGTTCTTGGACATCTTGAGATTCTCTTGACAGCTATCACCCCCTCCCTGTAAAAATGCATTTATAAACAACATTTTGCCTACATTTCTAAGGTATGCATAGACTGTCCAGAGCCCATCCATGGACTTCTTTCCTCCCCCATCCCCCAGGTCTAGGGACCCAGGTTGAGAACCCCTCACTTGGTCTCAGCCTTGGTCCTACCTTAAATGCCATGCATTAAGAACACCCCCTGAATTTTTGTAACATTGAGATTTGAGCAAAATCCTTTCCCTAGCCTAAATGATGTTTTAGATCCTGAGAATTACTGATGTTTGGCATCAAAGGCCCACATGGATTTTTCTTTATTAAGGCTTCAACTGCCCTAGCAAAGATTTCTCCCAAATTAATGAAAGATAGGCCCTTATTTGCCCTCTACCTTCTCTGTCTTGGAGCCTTTTTTTTTTTTTCAGCTTATACCCAAGAAAAAGAAAAGAGAAAATTGTTAAAGAGTAAAAAGGTCTTGCTGATTTTTACAAAAACTCATGATTTGCTTCCTTCTAATTAGGATGGGTTAATTTTTCCTTCTCTTTTAACAAACATATTTAAAGTTCCTGAATGATTTTGTAATCAACAGTCTAAAATAGATTAAGTCTAAATACTTAATCTTTCTCTTTAAAGACTCTCCTATGAGTTAAACTCTGTTGCCTTTGGTGTAAATTCCCACCACTTCCACCTCCAAAAGAAACAAAATATCTCTATCCAGACCAGAGAAAGGGTGTTAACAAATATGCTGTCTTTGTTAGGCTGGAATTCCTCAAATCTGATGTCTGAAAATGTTATTCATAACATCCAAATTGGATAAGGCAGAAAGTGAAGCTCTGAGCATTAGTCTCTTCATCTGTAGAAACAAGGCTGATAAAAACACTAACAGTACAGGGTTGCTGTGAGGATTAAAGAATGCAATGTGCTTAAATTACCTGACACAACACCTGTCATATGGCAGCTAATAGACATCTTCCAAGAGGGCTCACACAAAGGCCGCTGCAGCACCACGGACAGCTCCTTGTGCCCAGTCATGTTGGAGACGGTCTTCCTTCCTACAGCTGACGGTTGCTTCACCAGGCTGCCCTGCTCTATGGAGAAGGACTCTGCGGTTCTAAAAGGAACCTTGACCACCTCTTCCTTTTCTGTGTTAAGGAAATGATCCTCTTCATTTCTATCTGAAGGTGCAACCCATCAACATGAGGCTCATCAAAGGGATCTAAGTTCTCACAGGTTTTGTTGGATTCAATACTTGGAATTTCCATTAGTGTCCTGTGGCTAATTCCCCACCAGCCATGCTTCATAAATCCTTATTCCCTGGAGGTGAGGACAGGGACCTTAGGGCTCTTTGTACATCTGGCTCCATCCTTACTGTATTCCTTGACTAGCATTCACTTCCGGAGGGAATACTCTGGCCCTACTCTGTACCTTCTTTGACCTAGTGTGTGGGTTTCAGGGCACTTTCCTGCTACATTTAGGACAGCCAGCTCCCACAAGTGAAAATACCAGCCAAGGCACTATCTTTCTAAATAAAACGCTGACTAAATGTTAGCAGGCTTTTTCGTCAGAATGGGGCAGGAGCTGTGAGGGGGGCTGAACAAACATGTAGATGTGCTCTTTGGGGACAGTCATCAGCTGCTCGAGTTCCTGCCACAAGCTGCTCCATGGAGCTGCTCACATAAGAGCATGTGCATTTATGCCCTGGTCTCCCACCCCATCTACACTACAAGGCTCTTGGCTCCTCAGTGCCAGCACCACAGGTTGGCAATATAGGTGGGCTCTGCAGTTTTGATCTGGAAAATACATGTTAAATTCAGAATTTTGTAAAAATCAATACTACCTTGTCATTAGTTGATGTCAGGATTAAGTGCATGCTTTTCATTCCCAGTTGTCCCCTGACTGTGTGTGGCTCTTAACACTTTCATTTGCATATGTTCTGCCTCCTGCCAAACTGTTTCTGTCAGATGTTACGAGTTTGATTATTATTTATCAGCTTTTCCCTAAGACAGGTCTTGTTACTACTTCCATGGACAATAGTAACAGCCTCATGCCTTCTTTTTCCACCTTTTTTCTCCACCTTCAACCCAGTTTAGAAAAAGCTGCCAGATTAAATTTCCTAAAGTTTATCTAAGTATACATAGCCCCGCTTAAAATCCTTATTTTTAATGGCTCTTTACTGCCTACAAAATTACTTACAGACCCCTCACCCTGATATTTGGTGTCCTTGATTTGGATCTAACTAGATTTTCCTGCCCTTTTTCCTAATAAGTAACCACCATGTATCAGCTGGATTAATTGACAATTCCTAAATATGCTTGTCCTCGTGCCTTTATTCATGCGCCTCTGTCTTTCTGGAATGATCTTCCCCTTCCCATGAAATCCTCCCATTTTTTAAGGAATGGGAGAATTATTACCACAAAACCCATTCCTTTGCACAAACTTTGCTAAGTAGCAATAAAAGCTAACATTTATTAAGCACGAGGATATGCAAGACACTGGGCTAAACATATTACAGGCATTATATCTCATTTATTCCTAGCAAAGATAACCTATTACTGCCTATATTTTTCAGATGAGGGAACTAAAGTTTAAGAAGCTGGGCAGTTTGTCTAAGATGTCAGAACTATTAAGCAGTGAAGCAGGATTTGAACCCAGGTGACCTGAGTCCAGGATCTTCACCTTTAAACCACTCTCCTGTTCTGCTATACCCAGCCCCTAGCACTTGACAAACTCTTACAGTGTTTATTCCACTCCATCTCTATACTGCACTATAATTATCATGATGTACGTGTCTTCCTTTCCCTTACTCTGGATACTGAAAGCATTACTAACTTTGCTCTATTCATCTGTGTCCATAACCAGCACAGTACCTAAAGCTTCAGTGGGAGGAACCTCAATAAAAAGTGGGGAGGGGGCTGTTAGCAAGGATATTGTAGATGAAGGAGAGAATGTGATCTGCCCCAAGAGGTCTGTGACCATGAGAAGGAACAGAGTAAATCTCATTCTAAACATATTCTACAGTCCCTAGAGAAATGCCTACTTGCGTGGGGCAAATGGTCAAGGAGCTAACATCATTTCAGCCAGGCAAATCCCAGAACCCAGCTGCAGGGAACTGCATTTTCCAGCCAGCTCTTTCTTCTACCCTTGTCCATAGGGACCGCAAAGGGATAATAGCAAACTAACTCAGAGAGCAAGAGTCATGATGTGGTTCACCTCAGGAAAAAAGTATGTGGCCTGGGGGAAGCGAGGCTGAGGCAGAGCTGACTGAAAACTGGAAGGTGAGGACACAAGGGGAAGGGATAGAGAGGATGACCCACCAATGGGTTCCTTCATACTCTGGCTGTATGGGTCAGGGTCCCAGCACCCACAAGTTGGCTGATTTGAGAAAATGGACTCTTCTCAAGAGCGTGGTAGGTGGTAGGGAATTCATGGATGGAGGGTGCTGTGTACTGGGGTGAATAACAGTAGGGGCTTAATGGGGTAAGAGGGAAAAAGTGTGGATTGTGGAGGCAGAGAAGCTGTCTAACAGGAGCAGTGACCTTCAGTGAGGTTTCACGGCCAGCCCACAGGAACCTTGTAGCAAGGTTCTCCGAACCTCATTCTCCTGTCTCCCTCTAATCACCTACTTAGACTCCTCTTTGGCTAAACCTAACCAAAGCAGAGGGCAGCATTCCCAGGCACAACTACTCGATGTAGCTGCTCACATAAGAGCATGGACACATATGCCCTGTTCTGCCACTCCATATCCAAGAGAGGGCTCTTGACTCCTCAGTGCCAGCACCGCAGGTTGGCAATATAGGTGGACTCTGTAGTTTTGCTCTGGAAAATATATGTTAAAGACACAGGGCAAGGTGCAGGAGGGCAGAGAGTGGACCTGGAGGGGCAAGGGAAAGATAGCCGAGTTAGAATCACAGTCTAACCTCAGTGACCTTGTGAATGAAGTACAGACTCTCTGAGCATTTTGTGGACTGAATTTTGCTCTCCCCTTCACCAAATTTTTATGTTCAAGCCCTAACCCCCAATGTGACTATATTTGGAGATAAGGCTTTGTATCAGTTCATTTTCACACTGCTGTATAGAACTTCCCTGAGATTTGATAATTCATAAAGGAAAGAGGTTTAATTGACTCACAGTTCTGCATGGCTGACGAGGCCTCGGGAAACTTACAAACATGGCAGAAGGGGAAGCAGGCACCTTCTTCACAAGGCAGCAGGAGAAAGAGAGAGTATGTGAAGGAGGAACTGTCAAACACTTATAAAACCATCAGACCTTGTGAGAACTCACTCACTATCACCAGAACAGCAGGAGGAAACCACCCCCATGATCAAATCACCCCCAACCAGGTCCCTCCCTTGACACATGGGGATTATGGTGATTACAATTCAAGATGAGATTTGGTTGGGGACACAGAGCCAAACCGTATCAGGCCTTTAGGAAGGTAATAAGGTTACATAGTTCACAAGAATGTGGTCTTAATCCAATATGATTAGTGTCTCATAAGAAGAGAAAGAGACACTAGAGATGTGTACATACAGAGGAAAGGCCAGGTGAGGACACACCAAGAAGGTGGCTGTCTACACACCAAGGAGAGTGGTCCCTGCTGACCTTGATATTGGACTTCTGGTCTCCAGAATTGTGAGAAAATAAATTTCTGTTGTTTAAGCCACCCAATCTACAGTATTTTGTTAAGATAGCCCCAGCAGACTGGAACAGAGCAAGAGGAAACCTTGGAGAACATGCCATCTGACAGTCCGAATTCACAGAGGAGGAGTCTGAGCAGCAACGGGGGACGTTCTGTCCCCAACACCTCATGGCAGTGTAGAGGCGGAGTGTGGACTAGAACCCACAATGGCAAACTCCCAGACCAAAGCCTCCCACGACACCTAGAAACTACAAGCCAGAGATCATGGGTTAAATCCAACTTGCTAATGTATTTTGTTGGGCTTGTATTCAGTGTTGGGTTATAGCTGAATTGATTTCCCACTTTGAAAAACCAGGTGATTTCATATTAATATCCAGATGTTCAACTTCTGTTTAAAAATCAGAAGATCTGGCAACTCTGGACTCACATTCTAGGACGTCTACACGCAGCCTGAACTGAGATGCGGCTCTGTACATCCAAGGGGTCCACACCAACCAACCTGACATCATGCATGCTACTCTCATTTAGTCACTATCTGGCCCCAGTAAGCACTTCAAGTATCAATGCCTGATCACACAAGCTATTTTTTTCAAAGAGAACATGCATGGATATCAACAACTAATAAACATGCTACCCCTCACAGAAAATACATGCAGTCAGTAGCTGGAGACTGCAAGACTTTGGAAACAAGGGATATAAGACTGTCTTCTGGGAGACAAACTGTGATGTCAACCTACAGTTGTTCCGGCTAAGTCATCTTAAAGAAATAAATGTGCCCTGAGTGTGTGGTACAGGACAGGAACCTAAATGTAACATAAAGAAAGCATGTACCAATGGGTACAATAGGCTGAACGTTTGTGTCCCCTCCCCCAAATTCATATGCTGAAACCTAGTCTCCACTGGGATGCTATTAGGCGATGGGGCATGTGAAGTGATTAGGTCATGGATGGAATGATTGCCCTTACGTAAAAGGCCCCTGAGAGCTCCCTTGCCCTTTCCACCAAATGAGGACACAGTGAAAAGACAGCCATCTATGAGCCAGATGTGAGCCCTCACCAGATACTTGGATCTTGATCTTGGACATCCCAGCCTCCAGAACTGTAAGAAATACATTTCTGTTGTTTATGGGCCCCTCAGTCTATGGTATTCAGTTATAGCAGTCCCAAAGGACTAAGACAATCTTGTGGGGTTGATCAACCATGAACGCTTAGAAAACAAAGTAGAGTCAGAAGCAAACTGCTGATAACCACTCAAGCACCACTCAGGAAGAGAGGGCTGTAGTCAGAAACACAGCTGGACCATTCCCAGGACAGATAAGTTCCACCTTGCAATGATTGCATAGCCCATTAATCATTTGAATTATTTTATGCTACTTGCTCTGATGCCATGCTCACCAACTCCACTTCAGATCTCAGTTTCCATGTAGAAAATGACCAGCCTCTCTCACCCTCACCCTGCCCGAAGGAGACGGGAGTATTAGTTTCCTTGTACTGTGTCGTGCTAGCTTTTTAATGGATTGCATCTGTTTGGGGAGCTTGATTAAAGGGCTCCCACCTCTGAAGATCAATTTGACTCTCCTTGCCCTGAAAAATCTTGTTTCTGTGCCTGTGAGACTGAGCCAGATGTTCCCCTGGAGGCCTCTTGGGAGCCAGCAAGATGGCCTTTCTGGCACATTTCCTCTCTTCTCCCCTCCCCTACCCCCATGCATATGCCAGAATTTCATCTTTGGCCATATGGCCTCACTTTAAAATAATAATAATAATAGTAGATAAGCACTTTAACAAGGATATTCTGGACACAGAGACTTAATGAAAAGGAGAAACACTTGGATCTGCATGTCCATATGTGGCTATTTAAATTAATTCAAATTAAGTTAAATTAAAAATTTAGTTCCTCAGTTACTTGCCACACGTCACGTGTCCAATAGCTACATGTGGCTAGTGGTTGCTGCATCTGACAGCACAGTTATAGAACTGTTAGGAAAGGAGATAAGTGTGAACAGAGGCACTTTTTGAAGGCTCTCGAATCATCCCCCTTGGGCCTCCAGATGCTGCATCTATGAGTGAGGTCTAGTCACTTGCAGAGCCAGAATAAGTGAGGGCAGCAGGACAAGAGGCCCAGGTCAATCTCTTAGGGCCTGGCTGATGTCCACCTCACCAGCCTCCTGTCTAGAGATGAACTTGAAATCAACTGGGAGTTCTTCGCAGGTGCGTCATCACTCTTCAGCAGCTGAGGGCTTGCAAAATTCCAAACCTTGGAGGAAACTCCAAACACCTCTTTCCTGGGACCTGCCGCTCACTGAAACTCCACAAAGGGGACCAGAGGGCAGTAAAAGAACAAGCCCTCTCAGCAAGATGGCCCTGCAAGCGCCAGGTTCTCTGCCAATTTGCTCATTCATTCCTCATCAGAGCTTCATGAGGATGGCAGGGCAGGATGACGAAGGCCACTTTATAGATGAGAAAACTGAGGCTCTTGGTAAAACACAGAAAAGTTTCAGGTGAAGCTAGAGTTTGTAATTTCCCAACTCCTGGCTTAGTGCTTCTTCCTCTTATATCGTGTTGCCTCTTTAGAAAACAGTTCCCAAGGTTGCAAACCATTTGCCCAAGTGGCAGAGGGTTGGGAAACATAGTTTGAAAAGGTGAAGATGTCTCTGCACAACTGACCTCTCAATGCCAGGCAATGGGTGAAGATCCAGAGGAGGCCCAGCTTGGATGACACGGTGGGGGCCTTGGGAAACACACTTCACTTGTGACAAGGAGTTCTGCTTTCCAATCTGTAGTGTGGGGATGGTGCTAATGCTAATTGACTTTTCTTAGCCACATAGGGATGCTGGAATGATCGATGAGATCGTGGATGAGAAAAATCATCAGGAAGATGGTAAGAAGCCCAGAGGATTATAAGCCTCCTCCTTCTCAGAACCCAAACAAAAGTAAAGCTAAAATAAACAGGCACATTTTTTTCTTGCAGTTTTTCACTTTTATGAAAGAGATAAATGTCAAAGAAATCAAGTTTACTTCATACGGATTATATATAAATTTTCCCCTGGGAGTCCACGTGTCAGCAAAAGGTTCAGCTCAGCCTCCTATACTTACCCAGTTGGTGTCCAAAATAATGAGAATTACTCATAATGATGGAAAAGGCCCTACCAGACCGTGACGGGCCTTCTGAATCACCAGAAGCACATCCCTAGATTTGTATATAGCAGATTTCACTATAGTATCATTATGTGGACGTTGGTAATCTATGTGTTGCATGTATGGCAGCCCTCTTTTAACAAAATATTGCCTTTTTCCCTAATTATTTTGGAAAAATGGGAATTTTATTCTATTACTGGAGAATTGTTTGGATTTGTCATTGACTTTTTTGAGGATGTGGGTGCTGAGGGGTGAAAAATTTTATTTTCCCTGAGTTTTAACTTTTGGTCTAGCTTTATGTTTCATATTATACGGGTTGCAGTAAATAATGTTTTAATCAGATGGGGTATGGAAAGTCTCACTAAGGGCCAGCCATAGTGACATGCATCTGTAATCCCAGCTACTCAGGAGGCTGAAGCAGGATTGCTTGAGTTCAGGAGTTTGAGACCAGCCTGGGGAACATAGCAAGACCCCATTTTTAAAAAGCATGTTAAGAATTAGCCAAGTGTGGTGCCATGCACCTATAGTCCCAACTACTCAGGAAGCTGGGGCCAGAGGATCACTTGAGCCCAAGAAGTTGAGGCTGCGGTGAGCTATGGTCACACCAGTGCACTCCAGCCTGGGCAATAGAGCAAGACCCTGTCTCTAAAAAAAAAAAAAAAAATGAAAGAAGGAAAGTCTCACCAAATAATAGGCTTCCAACAATAAAAGAGAAGAACAGCCAAAAGGAGAGAAAGAGAGAATGTGTGTGTGTGTGTGTGTGTGTGTGTGTGTGTGTGTGTGTGTGTGTGTGTATGAGAGAGAGAGAAAGATAGAGAGAAAGAGAAACTGAGCCAACAGTAGTGCTTCTTCCGGTAAATCCTGTACCATCAAGTTCCCACCTGTGAGTGAAAGGATTTCTAAGCCCCCCAAGAGAGTTTACAGGGCTGACTCCAATTCTCACAAAGCAAAAGTCTACACATATCTAATAGCCTTTCCCAGCTACACCAATTCTAATCTAAGAATCATCCTGAAGCACATTGCAAGTGGCTGACAGAATCAGACTTTATTGAGTGTAATGCTGTCTAATGGAATTCTCCAGGCAATATTTCTTAGCTTTTCAGATGATTCTCATTTCAGCTCAAGCCTATTGATCTCCTGCCAGATGATCTGGGCAGCTATGTCACTGTTTACTGAGATGCTTCCATCAGTGCCCTGTGTTAACCACCATTCAGCTAAATGAGGTTCGTTTTCCTTTTCACCCCAGTCTGGTTCTCCCTTACCATTTCACTAGAGCAGGATGCACACCTGGAGGATTTTATTACCTTGCCAGGAAAGTGACGCTTGTCCCAAGTTACCTTTTCTCCCTAAGTCAAAACCATTCCACCCATTCACTTAACATACATTTTAGACCATTCAAACTAAGGCTTGTCCCCTCAAGCTCAGTTAAATTACCAGAGTTAATCCGAACCCAATTTCCCATGTAAAATGTGCACACGCATGTGCTTAGGGAAAAGGTTGACAAGGTACTGTATGTAAGTATAGGTTGCACTCCGTAAATAGACAAGAGAAAAGTCTTTGTGATTACATTTTTTTGTATTCAAAATGTACACTTTTCAATCCATCTGGACTCTATCAAGAGTCCTCTTCTCTGTGGCCTCTCTCTAGGATTCTTCATCTGCAGTGAGCTATGGTCACACCAGTGCTTCACGAGAATGGAGCCCTTCAGGGACCTGTCTGGATTGTCCAATTGTATCTGAGACAACTGCCCAAAGCAGAAGCCCAGGCTTCATCTGGGATCAGAGGGGAGGGATGAAGGAACTGGAGAGTGCAGATACCAAGCAAAGGAACTGCATCAACCACTGTGGAGACCATTCCATCGTGGACAAAACAAGGCCTGAGAACCAAAATGTCTGGGCGCTTATCCAGGCCAGCCACCTGCTCACTTATGACCTTTCTTGAAGATACCTAACCTCTCTGAGCCTGATAATTTCATTAGAAAAATGAGGATAAGAAGTGCCCATGTTCCTTCCAGAAAGAAACGAGGCTACACCTGTGAAAATGCTTCATAATTTTTTGTTTCAGTCAGGTTTGGCTAGGGTATGGTGCAGTAACAAGCAATCCCAAACATCTCAGTGGTTTACCACCACCAAAGTCTATTTCATTCATGGTACATTCCCCATGGCAGTGGGACTCCACTCCTGATGGTACCAGGGACGCAGGTGATGGGGCTCTATGCTGACAGCTGCTTCCACAGTTCCCATGCCAGGGGGACAGGGATGTAGTGAATCATGCACAAGCTCTTGAATCTTCCATCCAGAAGGGGCAGATATCACTTCTGCTAACATTTTGTTCACTAAATCAAGTCAGACGGCCATGCCTACCTTCAAAGAGATGAAGAAGCACAATTCTGTTAAGAGCAAAGGTGCTCTGTAAAACTAATCAACCCAAAGTTTTAGTCTCCTTGCTTACACAAGCCCCTTCCAGTCCCCAGGAGACGCCGAAGCAACACATTTACATGGCCATGCACTTTGTTAAATGTGTAAAGTAAGATCTTTTTGTATATTTTATACATTTATATAAACTTTAGGCCTCATAAAACCTGAATCTGTTCTAGATAGGAAGAACCACCGGAATGTTTGTGAATAGCTGCGAAGAATAATGAGAATTACCTATGTAAAATGAGCTTTTTAAACATGCTATTCTGTTCTACCAAGCTGATATAGAACCAGCCGATGGATAGCGTTTGACCTAAAAAATAAGGCTTAGGGAGAGAGTGATGATGACTAGGCTTCCTCTGCCCATCTTCTTCTCTTGGCCCCAAGCCCTCTTGCCACCTCCTGCTTTATCTGAGCTTGAGTCTTACCTCCCCATTAGATCACAAACTACTAGAGAACATAGACTGTGAGCTATAGGCTTCTAAGATTTTAGATTTGGATATGGCTTTAAAGGTCATATAGTATTATTTAGCCCAATCCGAGAACTTAAAGAGGAGAGGGACTTGTCAAGGTCACACAACTAACAGGAAGAGCCAGGTCTCCAAACTTTGAGTCAGTACACTTTTCTTTGTATCTCTCACATGGGTCATTAAATACATACATATTACTTGGGGAAACATATTACAAGATCAGTTAAGATGAGAAGTGGTGTCATTGTCACTATTGAGATGTCATTACTTCCTAGCCCTGCAATAGCAAGCAATATCCCAAGTTGCACACCAAATATCTCTATCCTTTCAACACTGATCATCACCATCTTTACCTCAGTTTCCAGACTTAAGGCAAAGCCAAGGGGAAAGTCCTTATACATCACATTTCCTAATCCTTCCCACAAAGGCAGCACACCCCCCAGTCCATCCCATCCACACAACAGACTCCCCACTTTTCTCCAACCATGCACCACATTCCTGGGTCATCTCATCCACTCAGTAGATTCCCCAGTCCTCCTCATCTACCCACAATATTCTTCAATCATCCCTGTTTATTAAATAGACACCTCGGATCTCCCCATTTACACACATATTCCACATTTCTTTCCATCCACACTCCCCAAACCTCCTCAATCATGTACCACTCTCCTCAGTCCTCCCCATTTATGCACCACACTCCCCAGTTCTCGCCATCTACATACCAAACTCTGCAGTCCTCCCCATCCACACACCATGCTCCCCAGTCCTCAGCCTCTGCCCAAGACACTCTACAATCCTCATTCACACACCACACTCTGTAGTCCTCCCCATCCATACATCACATTCCCCAATCTTCCCTGTTCACAAACCACATTTTTGAGTCCTCCTTGTCCATGCAACAGACTTTCCAATCAACTTTATCCACACACCATACTCCACAGCCCGCGTCATACACATGCTACAATCTCCAGTCCTCCCCCTGCATGCACCACACTTCTCAGTCCTCCTCCTTTACACACCACACCTCCCAAAGCTCCCAATCCACACACCAACTCCCCAGACCTTCCCATTATCCAGGCACAACACTATCGAATTCTCACCCTCTGCACAACACACTCCAGCATCCTCCCCACCCATGCACCAAATTTCTCAGTCCTCCCCATTCACACAACAAATTCCTCAGTTCTCTCTGTCTGAGCAATAGGTTCCACAGTCCACCCTATCTACACACCATATTCCTCAGTTCTCACATCCACAGACAACACTCCCCAGCCCTCACCATTTATGCATCACATACTTCAGTCTCCCCCACCTTTACAAACACTCCTTGGTCCTCCCCATTCATGCACCACACTCCCCAGTCTTCCCCACTAATGCACCACACTTCTGTCCATCCTCACACCACACTCCTCAGTCCTCTCCATCCTTACACCACGATCCTTGGTCCTCCCCAACCTTATACCTCACTCCTCAGTCCTTCCCATCCATATACCACACTCCTCAGTCCTCCCCATTCATGCACCACACACCTCAGTTCTCTCCATTCATGCACCACACACTTCAGTCCTCTCTGTTCATGCACCACACTCCTCAGTCCTCATCATTCATGCATCACACTCATCAGTCCTCCCCATTTATGTACCATGCTCTCTGATCCTGCCCATTCATTCACCATGTACCTCATTCCTCTCCATTCATGCACCACACTCTTCAGTTCTCCTCATTCATGCACCACACTCCCTAGTCCTCCCCATTCATCCACCACACTCCCCAGTTCTCCCCATTTATGCACCACACTCTCTGGTCCTCCCCATTCATGTACTATGCACCGCAGTCCTCCCCATTCAGGCACCACACTCTCTAGTCCTCACCATTCATGCGCCACACTCCCCAGTTCTCCCTATTGATGCACCACAGTCCCTGGTCCTCCCCATTCATGCACCACACTCTTTGGTCCTCCCCATTCATGCACCACACTCCCTAGTCCTCACCATTCAGGCACCACACTTCTCAGTCCTCCTCATTTATGCACCATACTTCCTGGGCCTCCCCATTCATGCACCACACTTTCTGGTCCTCCCCATTCATGCACCACACTCCTCAGTCCTCCCCATTCATGCACCACACTCCTCAGTCCTCCCCATTCATGCACCACACTCCCCAGTCTTTCCTATCCATATGCCACACTTCCCAGTTTTTCCCATTCACATACAATATTACCCAGTCCTCTCCATCCACACAATATACATCCACACACCACACTATATCCTCCATTCCACCTCTTCATAATCACATAGACTATTACAGCTAAAAAGGAACTTGGGACCCATTTGTTTAATCTGCATATCTTATTTATTTATTTATTTATTTTAGAGATGGGGTCTCACTATGTTACCCAGGCTGGCCCCAACCTTCCAGGCTCAAGTGATCTTCCCACCTCAGCTTCTGGAATAGCTGGGTTAGAGGCCCTATATTTTATAAATGTGGAAATGATTTTCAGAGAAATTAAACAGTCTGTTTCCTAGGACCTCTTATGTTAAAGGAAAGCTCAGGGATCCTGATTCTAGAGCAGCTGTACTTCCACTCTTCCAAATCTCTGAAATACGGAGGAGAATCTTATCATTCACTTTACTAATGAATAACACTAAGTGTCTAAGGAATGGTAAAGACCGTTACTGATTATTGTTTATAATCTGATTGCTCTAACCTTGATAATGCAGTTGAATGACTAAGTGTTATTTAGGGAGATACTTTTCTCTGTGTGTGTGGAGAAAATTTCTGCCTAGAAGCATTGGCCAATTTTTGTTTTAGAACATGACACTATGCCTTCTTGGAGGGTCTTCTCCAGAAGTTCTCAGCTGCAGAAGGAAAAGAGCATGAGACTTCTTTGCAGTTGGTGACCCCCTTGCTGCACGTTGCAGCCTTCCGACACGGTCACCGGGCATCTTCACCTAGTACGATAGGTGCATCAGTCAGAGTGCGGGGGGTGGGGGGGAATAGATGGCACACACACACACACACACACACACACACAATAATAAGTTGGAGATAGTTTAACAAAGGGACTATTTATGAAGTTGTGACCAAGGTGTGGAGAAACCACAAGAGACAGTGCACTATCCCAGGGCCCGTAACAGCAGGGCTGCATGAGTAGGGTTGGGGACCAGTCATGGATCCCAAAAGTAGAGAACCATCCTGGGAGAGAACCATCTGACAGGACCTGCTTTTCAGTGGAAGGCAGCAGCCAGTTTATAGAGAAACCACAGGGAAAGAGATGCAGGAATAAACACCCTGACTTTGTTTTTCTCCTTCTCTCAACATTTCCCACCGGGGCTTCCCATTGGCCAGAAGAAAAACATGTTCTTGGATTTAATCTGAACAGATAACTGCTCTGAGTGGGAAAATGATGGACGATGCCACTGGCAAGGCAAATAGGAGATATCAGCACAATTTACTCCAACACTCTCCATCTCTAAAAACTACCTTGGCAATCACATTGAAAGTGGAAAGTCCTTCCTCCCAAAGGCCGTCTCCTCTTCCTGCCACCAGGGAAAATATCACACCCAGTGTTAGAGGCCCAGAATCCCAATCTTAGAGATTTACAGAAGCTCTCCAGCCAGGCTCATTCTCTTACATCTGTGGCTTATAGGAAAAATATTCTTGTCTAATTTAAGCCCATTTCACTGCGTGTTAAGTTTGTTTCTACTGATTCTGTCCTCTGAGGAGCTGAAACATGGTGACTCCCTTGGCAATGGAGAGCACCACGGGTTGAAGGTGAGAAGATGATGTCTAGTCTTTTCTCCATTCCTGCCAGCAGTACCTGAGGCAAATCACTCCATCGCTCTGTGCTCCTCTTAGCTGTCAGGTATTTCACCAGAAGAAAATTACTGCTTTTTAAGTGATGTAGAAAAAAAGTACACTTATACCAGGGAGAGAGTTTTTTTTTTTTTTTTTTGATGATTACATCCTGAAATAGAAAATTTCTCAAGGTATCCTTGAAGATGATCATTAAATACTTTCACCCACAAAACCATTTATTTAACATGGTCTAACCCTACTTTCCTCAATTTTTCATTATAAAGGTGTGTTTTCAGCTTTTTAGATTTTTCCTTGATCCTTACCAAGATGAATTTATTTCTCATGAGCTTCTTTTTAGTATCATTTCTAAGAGGATCAATCTGAGCTGCTTAAAGCCTTCCTGGTGTTTGTTCTGTGAACACCTGCTCAGAGCACTTATGCCACGTAGGATTTCCTCCTCAATTCACTGCCCGAGTTAGAACAGAGCACCTAATCACTCCCACATCTCAGCCAGCCCAGCTACCCCTGGTCCCTCTTTTTGGCCTGGGAATGGAAATATTAGCAGTTTCTCTCCTGCTGCTTAGTACAGCCTCCAAAATATCTACCTACTGTTTCAGACTGGCCAGGGTCATCACTATTTTCTAGCCACAGTACATTTTCAAAGTTCAACTGGCTCCTATAGCTTATCTGTCCTAACTCTCTTGTTTTACAAATAAGGGAACCAAATAAAGAGACATGAAGAGGCAACCTTTATGAAATAATTTCAGACTGTTATAAGTTTGTTTCCCCAAACATAACTGTTCACAAATTTCTCAAATCATTTAAAAAATATTTTGTGATTAAATGAACTAAAAAGAAAAAGAAAAAAACCTAGGGCAACATAACAATATATGTTTGATAAAATGTAAACTGAAAATGTATCATATAAAAATCTAGGTATCATTTGTAAATGGGAAAGATCTAAAAAGTAACATGGATAAAAATATTGACTTGATTAGGTAATAGAACCATGGGAATTTAAAATTCCAAAATTTGAAAATGAATAAAAAGAGAACATCCAGTCTGGACAAGATTACATAGACTTGTTTCTCCCTAATCCTCCCTGCTAAGTATAACCATAAACCCATATAAAATGCAAGAGGCAGTCAAAGGATTCTGAGTGTTGTGAAGAGGAAAGAGGACTTGCTAGGGACCTCAGAACCACAGAGAAGCGTAGCAGCAGGGCATCTTCTGATCTCCCATCCAGCAGAAAAAAGCAATTCGGGTCCAATGTTTTCAATCCCCAATCTATAAACAGAAAGCACTCAGGTAGCTCATTCCTCCCCTAGATCGAATGGGAGCCCCACTGTCAACACCTGGTATGCCTGATGGCACCAGCAACTGGAGTCAAACAAGAACCTCACTGACAATGAGTGACCAGGAAAAGTGGTCTCCAACCCCATTGGGCTTGAAACTCCTCTCCCTCAATGAGAGACACCAGGTATCCAAGGAACACCAGCAAAAGGGATTCTACCAAAACAAGTGGCCCAGCCTAGGAAGCCTTTTGATTCCCATAGGCCTGAGATTCCCCTATCCCATGGATACTCTTGGCACAGTATGGGAAAACCTCTTCTGCTGTCTCAGGCAGTACCAGCAGGGACCAGTGGGAGGGCTAGCAACATCCAATAAACCAAACAGACCAAAATAACACTGCAAAGCTCTAAAAATTAAACTTTTATCAGACCACAGCCAATAACAGTAGGCCAGAACTGTGTGCTAAACTTAAAATGACTGCCTGTTAAAATAAAAAACAGTACTAACCCAAACTCCTAACATAATAACCAAAATGTCCAGGATACAATCAGAAATCACACTGATCATACCAAGAAACAGAAAAACCACAACTTTAATGGGAAAAAATAATCAACTGGTGCCAACATCAAGATATATCAGATGTTGAGATTGTCCATCAAGTACTTTAGAGCAGCCATCATAAAAATGCTTTAATAAGAAATTATAAATTATTTGGAAACAAATGGAAAAATTAGAATCTTTCTACAAAAACGTATAAACTGTAAAAAAGAACCACGTGGGAATTATATAACTGAAAAATACCATAACAGAAATTAAAAACATGCTGGATGTGTTCAATAGTAGAATGGAAATGACAGAAAATAGAATGAGTGACCTAGAGGACAGATCAATAAAATTCACCCATTCTAAACAACAGAGAGAAAATCATTTTTAAAAATTACTCAAATTTTTTCCTGTTAAACAGGAAAAAAGACAGGGCCTGCAAGACTTGTGGAACAATAGCATTGGTATTACTGGAGACTCAGAAGCAAAAAGAAAGAGTGGAGCTGTCGGATATATTAAAGAAATAATTGATTTTTAAAAACTTCCAAAATTTGATGAAAAACATAAGTTGACAAATTAGAAAAGGTGAGTTAACCTCAAATTTGATAAATCAAAAAGTATCCAGGCCAAGTCACAATGTGATTAAATTTTTGAAAATTAAAAATGAAGAAAAAATTCTTGAAAGCAGCCAGAGAAAAACATCAGTTTAATTATGGCGGAAAACAATTTGAATGACAGCAGATTTCTCAGCTGAAACCATGGGGGCCAGGGCAAGTGGCATAATATTTGTCAAGTGCTGAAAGAAAGGAATTGTCAACTATAAATTCCATAGCAAGCAAAACTATCCTTCAGAAATTTAAGAAAAAAAAAAGACTTTCTCAAATGAAAGAAAACTAAAAGAAATTGTCACTAGAAGGACTTCTCTTAAGAATGGGTAAAGGAAGTTTAACATGTAGAGAGAAAAAATTAAAGAAGGAAACTTGAAGCTTTCAGAAAGAAGAGACAACAATAAAAATATAGGCACATACAATAGACTACACTTCTCATGACTTGTAGAAATAATATTTGATGGTTGAAACAAAAATTATAACTCCTTCTGATACTTAAAACAATAATATTTAAAAATGGGGAAGACAAAGGGAAGTAAGGTTTTCACACTTCACTGGAACTGATAAAATATCGACACTAGATGATGATATGGAATATGTATATTGTAATGCCAGAAAAAAACACTAAGAAAACTTCATACAATGTACACTCAGAAACACTAAAAACAATAAATAGGAGTAAATAGTATCTAAAAAGATAATAGTAAAAAAATTGCAAATAATTGAAAAGAGAAAAAAGATAAAGAAGCATTAAAGATCATCCTAGGCTTTATGACAATGCCTAAGTACACGGGTTTGAGGTCCACATTTATATTAACTATACAGTACAGGAATTTCCAAGTCAAGAAATCGCATTACAAATAGTCCTCAGCAAGTACTTCTCCTGAGGTCCTGGGAAGAAATTAATTCAAAATCACTCCATTAAGAGGAAACACTCTCAAAATAGACCTCATAGGATTCCTACAGGTAAAGTCTTGTTAAGATAAACTCACAATGCAGAACTGTACAGCACAGGAAAAAATGATCTTGAGAAAAAGATATAATAAACTATAGAAATAGACGCCAAGGAAACATTAACTGAACTATAGAAGTGACAATAAAATGTGTGTCTTTTACATTATCAAAGAAACAAAGAGGAATCAGCAACATGAGAAAAAAGAGACAAAGCAGATTTGAAAAATTACCCAAATGGAATTTCAACAAATGAAAAACGGTAGAAGCTCACAGCAACTAGGGTGATATGACTCATACATACATGTGAAACTATACATGTATGGGAATGCAACTGGGAAAAAATGTAGGTGCCATCAAAGAATCACAGTCTACTCCAAACAACCAAGAAAAAGAGAGATCACCTATAAATGGAGGAACCAGAAAATGCTTAATAAAGGAGGCAGCATTTGAAATATTCTTTAAGGAATAAGTCGTAAAACAGTGGTCATTTTTGGCCAGCAAATATATCTTTATTTGACCTTCACAATGTATTTCTTTAAACATTTTATTTTGAGATAATTACAGATTCACGTGCAGTTGTAAGAAATAATACGAAGAGATCCCATGTACCATTTACCTCATTTTCCTCAATGGTAACATCTTGTAAAATGACAGTACAATATCACAACCAGTATATGAGAATCTATACAGTCAAAATAGCCAACACTTCCGTCATCACCACATGAAATCCCTCATGTTCCCTATTGCAGCCACAACAATTTCCTGCCTTCATCCCACCATTAACCCCTAGAAACCACTAATCTGTTTTCCATTTCTATAATTTTGTCATTTCTAGATTTTGTATCAGTGAAATCATACAGTGTGAAACAATGAGATTAGCTTTTGTCACTCAGCGTAATTCTCAGGAAATTCATCCACATTGTTGCATGTATCAACAGTTCTCTCCTTTTTATTGCTGAATAGTATACCATGGTATGGATGTATTATAGTTTGTTTAATCATTCACCCTTTGAAGAACAAGAACATCTAGGTTGTTTCCAGTTTTTGGCTATTACGAATAAAACTGCTATAAACATTTATATACAGGTTTTTGTGTAAATACAAGCTTCATTTCTCTGGGATAAATGCCCAGGAGTGCAATTGCTGGGTTGTATGGTAATTGCATGTTTAGTATTTTAACAAATTGCCAAACCGTTTTTCCAAAGTGTTATACCATTTTACATTCCCACTTGCAGTGAATGAATGATTCACTGTCTCTACATTCTGAACAGTGTTAGGTAATGTCACAACTTTTATTTTTAGCCATTCTGATAGCTGTAGTGATATCTAATTGTGGCTTTAATTTTGCATGTGTCTAATGGCTAATGATGTTGAAATATTTGTATGTGCTTATTTGCCAACTATTAATATATGTCCTTTTCAGTAAAATGTATGTTTGTGTCTTTTGTGCATTTTCTAATTGGATTAACTTTTTGATATTGATATTTGAGCGTTATTTATATATTCTTTGTTTTGTTTTGTTTTGAGACATGGTCTCACTTTGCCACCCAGGCTAGAGTGCAGTGGCACAATCTTGGCTCACTGCAGCCTCAACCTCCCAGGTTCAAGTGACCTTCCTACCTCAGCCCCCTAAGTAGCTGAGACAACAGGCACATGCCACTACATTGGGTTAATTTTTGTATTTTTTGTAGACACAGGGTTTCGCCATGTTGCCCAGGCTAGTCTCGAAATTCCTGACCACAAGTGATCCACCCGCCTCGGCCTCCCAAAGTGCTAGGATTACAGGCATGAGCCACCACGCCCGGCCAAGAGTTCTTTATATATTCTATATATTAATACTAGTTCTGTGTTGGATATATTATTGCAATTATTTTCTCCCAGTATGTAGCTTGTCTATTTATCCTCATAACAGAATCTCACAGAACAAAAGTTTTTTAATTTTAACGAAGTCCAATGTATCAATGTTTCTTTGCATAGATTATGCTTTTGTTTAAAGACCATTTGCCTAATGCTAGATCTTAAAGATTTTTTCCAAATTTTTTTAAGTTTCGTAGTTTAACATTTTGCATTTAAGGTCGTGAATCATTTTGGGTTAATTTTTGTATGATATGTGAGACATAGATCAAGGTTTTTCATTTTTGCTTTCCCTACTGATATCCAATTGCTCCAGCACCATTTGTTGAAAGGCTATCTTTTTTCTCCACTGAGTAGCATTTTTGCACCTTTGCCAAAAATCAGCTGGGCATATTTCTATGATTCTATTTCTGTGTTCTCTATTATGTTCTAATGGTCTATGTGTTTATCCATCTGCTAACATAATTAAGATGCAATCTTAATTACTGTAGCTATATAATAAGTTTTGAAATTGAGTAGACTGGTTCCTCCTATTTTATTCTTCTCTTTCAAAGTGGTTTTAGCTCTTATAGTTCTTTTGCCTTTCCATATACATTTTCAAATACTCTTATCTAAATCTACAAAAAAATATCCTGCAGAGATATTGATAGGAATTTTGTTAAACCTCGTCCTAGTCCATTTTGTGTTGCTGTAACAGAATACTTCAGGCTGGGAGATTTATAAAGAAAAGAGGTTTACTTAGCTCATGATTCTGTAGGCTTGGAAGCATAAAAGTATGGCACCAGCAGCTGCTCAGTTTCTGGTGAGGGCTTTCCTGTGGCATCACAATATGGTGAAAGGTTGAAGGGGAAGTGGGCACATGTAAAGAGAGGAAAACCCCAGGGAATCCTGTGTTTAAAACAACCCATTCTCACGGGAACTAACCCATTCCAAGAGAACAAATCCAGTCTCCCGCAAGCCAGAACTCACTCTACTGTGAGAATGGCACCAAGCCATTCATGAAGGATCTGCTTCTATGATCCAAACACCTCCTACTAGGCGCCACCTCTCAATACCACCACATTGAAGATCAAACTCCAACATGTGCTTTAATGGGGACAAACTCAGGTCATAGCAAACCTGTATATCAATTTGGAAAGAAATGACATCTTTACTATGTTGAGTTTTCCAATTCATAAGTTTGTATCCTTCTCCATTTAGTTAGGCCTTTGATTTCCTTCATCAGTGTTTTGAACATCAACAGTGTTCAGAATGCAACTTTTGTACATGTTTTATTCAATTTACATGCAAGCATTTTATTTTCGAGTGATTGTAAATAGTATTTTTTAATTCTGGTGTCCATGTGTTCATTGCTAGAATATAAAAATACAATTAACTTTCTAACAAACATTTATCTCGTGACCTTGCAAAACTAACTTATTAGATCTAGGAGTTTTGTTTGTTTTGTTTTTTGTATATTTCTTAGGATTTTCCATCTAGACAATCATGTTATCTGCCACTAAGAATACTTTCATTTCTTCCTTTCTTATATGTCTGTCTTTTATTTCCTTTTTCTGCCTTATTGCATTTGCAATATATTGAATGTGGTAAAAGCAGAAATAATTGTTTCATTACCAGTCTTAGGGAGAAATAATTCAGTCTTTTGTCATTAAGTATAATCTTAGCTGTAACTGTTTTCTATATGCTCTTTATCAAGTTGAGGAAGTCCCCTTCTACTCCTAGTTTTCTGAGATTTTTTGAAATGAATAGAAGCAGAATTTTGACAAGTGCTTTTTGGGCATTCATTGACATAATTTTGTCATTTTTCTTCTTTAGCGAGTTGATATACTAGATTATATTGGTTGACTTTCAAATATCGAACCAGCCTTTCATCCCTAGAATAAACCCCACATGGTCGTCATGTACAATGCTCTCTCTCTCTCTCTCTCTCTCTGTGTGTGTGTGTGTATACTATCTGAAGTCTATCTGCTAATATTTTGTTAAGGATTTTTGCATCTAAATTTATGTCGGGTATTAGTCTATAGTTTTCTTTTTGTGTATTGTCTGTCTTGTTTTGTTATCTAGTTAATCCCAACTTCATAAAACAAAAGTGTTCCCTTCTTTTCTATTGTCTGTAAAAGATGTGTAGAATTGGTATTAATTTTTCTTTAAACATTTGGTAAGTTCTCCAGTGAAACTATCTAAGTCTGGAAACTTTTTTTGGGTGGAGTATTTTAAATTAAGCACTCAGTTTTCTTTTTCTTTCTTTCTTTTTCTTTTTCTTTTTTTTTTTTTTTTGTCGCCCAGGCTGGAGTGTAGTGGCGTGCAACCTCGGCTCACTGCAACCTCCACCTCCCGGGTTCAAGCAACTCTCCTGCCTCAGCCTGCTGAGTAGCTGGGATTACAGGCATACACCACCACACCCTGCCTGATCTTTGTATTGTTAGTAGAAACAGAGTTTCGCCACATTGGCCAGGCTGGTCTTGAACTCCTGACCTCAGGTGATCCACCTGCCTTGGCCTCCCAAAGTGCTGAGATTACAGGCGTGAGCCACCACGCCCGGCTGCATTCTGTTTTCTTACTTGAGGACTATTCAAATTATTTAATTAATATTGGGTAAATGGCATTAGTTTACGTTTTTCAAGGAATTAACTCATTTTATCTAAGTTTTCAACATTAAATGTGTAAAGTTGTAGACAGTATTTTGTATTATCCTTTTGATGTCTGCAGGGTCTGTATTAATATCACATTTTATTCTTGATATTGGTAATCCGTATCTTCTATTTTTTTCTTTGTTAGTCAATCAGTTCTTGGAGAAGCTTGTTGATTATATTGATTTTTGCAAAGAATCAGTCTATTGTTTAATCGATTTTCTCTATTGTTTTCTTGTTTTAATTCCACTAATTTCATCCCTTGTCTTTATTATTTCCTTCTTTCTGTTTGCTTTGGGTTTATTTTGCTCTTCTTTTTCTAGGTTCCTGAGGTGGAAGCTTAGAATATTGATTTTAAGCTTTTTCTCTTTCCTAGTGTGTGTGTGTATTTCTTTTTTCTTTTTTTTTCTTTTTTTTTTTTTTTTGAGATGGAGTCTTACTCTTTTGCCCAGGCTGGAGTGCAGTGGCATGATCTCAGCTCACTGCAGATTCCACCTCCCAAGCTCAAGCAATTCTCCTGCCTCAGCCTCCCGAGTAGCTGGGATTATAGGCATGCACCACCATGCCCAGCTAATTTTTGTATTTTAGTAGAGACGGGGTTTTGCCATGTTGGCCATACTGGTCTCGAACTCCTGACCTCAGGTGATTCGCCTGCCTTGGCCTCCCAAAGTGCTGGGATTACAGGTGTGAGCCACAGCCACCCAGCCTTTCTTAGTATATATATTTAGTGCTACAAATTATTTTTCAGCACTGTTTTAGCTGTGTTCTACAAGTTATCATATGTTGCATTTTCATTTTCTACAGTTTATTATATTTTTAAACTTTCTCTTGAGAATTATTCTTTGACCCATGGATTATTTAGAAGTCTGTTTTTCAGTGCCAAAGTATTTGGAGACTTTCCTGTTATTTTTCTGTTATTAATTTTTAGTTTGATTTCACTGTGGTCAGAGAACACACTTTCTATAATTTCACTTCATTTAAATTAATTGAGATTTGTTTTATGGCCCAGGATGTAGCCTATCTTGGTATGTGCTCATGGGCACTTGGAAACAATCTGTATTCTGTTGTTGGATGGTGTGTTCTGCAAATATTAGATTAGATTCTGTTGATTGATGGTGTCATTGAATTCTTCTATATCCTTGTTCATTTCTGTCTAATTGTTCTATAAATTTGTGAGAGAGTGATGTTGAAGATTCCAGCTGTAATTATGGATTTGTCTATCCCTCTTTTCAATTCTGTTTTTGTTTCACATATTTTGCAACTCTGCTGTTCAGTGCATGTGTATTTAGGATTGCTATGACTTATTGGTGGTCTGACCCTCTTATGACCTTTCTGTTTCTGGTAATATTCTTTGCTCTGAAGTTTATTTTATCTAATATTAATATAACCACTCCTGCTTTCCTTTGATTAATATTTATAGGATATATCTTTTTCCATTCTTTTAATTTTGACCTGCCTATATAATTATATTTGAAGTGAGTTGTTAGACAGTAGATAGTTTCAATATGTGTTTTAATTCACTCTGCCAATCTCTGTCTTTTACGCTATTATAGACCATTTATATTTAATGTAATTACATGTACAGAAGGGCTTAGGTCTGCCATTTTGCTTTCTGCTTTCTGTTCTCTCTATTTCGGGTTCTCTGTTTTCTTCTTCCTGCCTTCTTTTCTTTTCCCTAACTTTATTCCTGTTTTCCTGCCTCCTTGAACATTTATTACAATTACATTTTTATTTATGCTTTTTGAGTATATTTTTGTGTAGCTTTTTACTTGTTAATTGTTACTTTAGGTATTGCATTATATATACATAGCTTGTTATACTCTAATAGTGTCATTTGACCAATTTGGGTGAAGTATAAAAAACTTACCTCCCTTAACATGTCCTTACCTTCCCCCATTTAAATACAATTATCTTAAATGTTTTCTCTATATACACTTAGAATCACATTATGCAGTTTTATAATTTTTAGTTTAACTGTCAAACATAATTTAGAAAACTCAAGGAAAGAAGGAAAGTCTATTGTATTTACCTGTATTTTAGCTTTTATTTTTTCTTCCTGGTGTTCCAAGGCTCCTTCTTTTACCATTTACTTTCCATTTAGAGAACTTCATTTAGCCATTTCTTTAGGGTAAGTCTGCTAGTGATAAATTCTATTAAAGTTCCTTCTTTTGAGAATATCTTCATTGGCCCCATTCATTCCTGAAGGATACTTTCACTGGATATTGAATTCTGGGTTGACAGTTCTTTTCTTTCAGCATTTGAAGAAAGCAAAACAAAATAAAACAAAACAAAAAACACTGTACTGCTTTCTTCTGGCCCCCATGATTTAAGATAAAAAAAGTCTGCTATTATGTTGTTTACTTGCTTGCTTGTGTGTTTTTCCCCTTCAGGTAAGATGTCATTCTCTGCCTGCTTTCAGAACTTTGTCTTTAATTTTCAGAAGTTTAATTATTATGAATCTTGACATGAATTTCTTTGGATTTGTCCTGTTTGTGGCTCAGTAGATTTATGTCTCTTGCCAAATTTGGGAAGTTTTCAGCCATTATTTCTTTCAGTGCTTTGTCATCTTCAGTCTCTCCTGTTCTTTCGGGATCCTGATAACATAAATGCTGGATGTTTTATTGTAGTCCCACAGGTCACTGAAACTGGTTTTTTTTTTTAGTCTATTTTCTCTGTGTTGTTTAAATGAGTTATTTTTATTGTTCTGTCTTCCAGTTCACTGATCCTTCCTTTGTCACTTCCATTCTGTTAAGCCTAGCCACTGAGTTTATTACTTCAGTCATTTTACTTTTCATTTTTCATATAGTTCTTTATATCTTCTATTTCTTTGCTGAGATTGTCTTTTTTTTATTTGTTTCAAGCATGTTTATATTGCACATTGAAGCATTTTTATCATGGTCACTTTAAAAATCTTTGTCAGACGTTTCTAATACCTCTGTCATTTTAGCATTGGCCTCTATTGATTGTTTTTCATTCAGTTTGAGATCTTTCTGGCTGTTGGTATGAAAAGTGAGTTTTTTAAATTGAATCTTGAACACTTTTTATTAAGTGATAAGCCTTTAGATCTCATTTAAACCTCTTGTTTTAACTTCATTTCTTTAATGCCACTTCAGCAGGGGGAGGAATAGCACTTGCTTGTCACTGGCAAATGGAGGTAAAAGGCCAGATTTCCCACTGAGCCTTTCTTGACACCAAAAGTGATGATGCAGGTTATGGGGAGAGTTCCTTGTTACTTCCTGGCAGTGGTAGGAGCTCTGGCTCCCCAGGTGGTCTCCATTAACACTTGGGTGGCATGGTTTTATTACTGCTGGCTGATAGTGAAAGTCCTGACTCTCCACCAGACCTCCTCCTACACCACCCTAGCAGGGAGGGAAAGAGAACCTCATTACTGCCAGATGAAGATAAAAGTCAATGCTACAAAGTTCCACAAGTGATCTCCAGCAACACATGGTTGAATGGAGGAGGAAGGCGAAGAGTTGGTCATGCAAGTTCTCTACTTGGCTCGATCTGACACCACCCTGATAAGGATGTTGGGTGCCTTATTACACCCTCATGGAGGATAGAACTCAACGCTCCCCACTTGGCCTTTGTTGACATGGCTGTGGACAGGACCACAGTTTTTCCTATAATGTTTGGCTGGAGTATGATAGCTATTGTCTAAAAGTTTTCTGTGTTGCTAGGCTGCCCCTTTCCTGTTACATCAGTCAGAGATAGCTTTTGTTGGGGCTTAGTTTTTCTGTGCCCACTGGTGTTTCTGGCTTGTTGACTCCTTCAATTCCAAGTCTGGGATATATGACATAAAAAGAAAGCCCAGGGAACTCACCAGTATGTTACATCTTGATTCCTGAGATCCTAAGTCTGTCTTCTTCTCTCCACTTTTCAAAGTCTTCTTATGCTTGTGTTATATATACTATCCAGGATTTTAGTTGTACTTATTAGGAGGAATAGGGGAATGTGTAACTACTCCATTTGTCCAGAAGCAAGAGTCTTTCACAGTCTATCTTTAAAATTTGAATTTGTTGCCAACATAAGTTTTCAAATGTGAGAATTCAGATATATGGCTTCTCTTGAAAACTTGGAATATTTGGCAATATTGGGCCCACATTCCAGAATGGAAGTAAATGGCTAGAGCTGCATTGTCCAATATGGTAGTCCACTAGCCACATATGGGCTATAAACATTTAAAATTAATTACATTAAGTAAATAAAAATTTTAATCCCTCAGTCATACTGGCCACATATGACTAGTGACTACTGTATTAGACAGTTCCGCTACAGAACATTTCCATCATGAAGAACAGAAAGTTCTTCACACAGCACTGGATTTGAGTGTGATGGGAACATGCATGTCCCAGTATGCCATATCCTTACCATGTGATAATATATTAGGTCATGTCATTCATTTACCTCACCTGCTGAAACATTTGTATTTATAATCCCTAGTTTACAGGGTAAGTAGGATTTTTGACTTACGGAGATGCAGAGGTAAGCGTTCCAGGTGGAAAGTCCAGCAGGAACAATAAAACAGGTGGGAGGAGCTGTGGCCCTAGAAAATCAAGGCAGTTAGATTTGGACAGAGATTAAGAGAGGAATAGGGAAAGAAAAGCAATGTAGAGGCCGGGCGCGGTGGCTCACGCCTGTAATCCCAGCACTTTGGGAGGCCGAGGCGGGCGGATCCCGAGGTCAGGAGATCGAGACCATCCTGGCTAACACGGTGAAACCTCGTCTCTACTAAAAATACAAAAAAAAAAAAAAAAAATTAGCCAGACGTGGTGGCGGGTGCCTGTAGTCCCAGCTACTTGGGAGGCTGAGGTGGGAGAATGGTGTGAACCTGGGAGGTGGAGCTTGCAGTGAGCGAAGATTGCGCCACTGCACTCCAGCCTGGGTGACACAGCGAGACTCCGTCTCAAAAAAAAAAAAAGAAAAGAAAAGAAATGTAGCTATTAAAGACTCACAGCGAGGATATAATAATAGTACCCATTTTGCCTCCAACTAGTTGTGTGGCCGGGCTAAGAGGAGACCTTGCCAATCTCACCTTGGATCACTTGCCCTATTGTTCTCTGAGCCCCAGCTTACCCTGGCTGTCTCTCAGTTCATTGGATGTCCCAAGTAACTTCCTTCCTTAGGATCTTCACATTGCCTAGGCCTCTGCCTGGACCACTCTGCACCCCAAGTTTCAACCCTACATGCTGGGCCAACTCCATTTAACCAGCAAACTCCCCTGGCCATTTGTACTCACAGCCCCACATTCAAGTCCATGGCACTCATCACAATGTATATTTATCATCAACTGGAGTATGTACTTATCTTTTTCTCTCTCTCCCCCTATTTAGCTGTGAGTTTCATGAGAGCCAGGACCATGGCCATCTTTGTCCACTGCTGTATTCTCTGAATAAGCAGAGAGCCTACCACAGAGTAAACACCAGAGCAGACATTGATTGCTAAAGTTATGAAAGTTATTCAGACCTTAGTTACTGCATCAGCAAAATGGAGGCAATAGTAACAACTGCCCTTGCATTACAAACATATTAGGAGTATAAAACAAGATAGATTATTTTTACATTTAAGACCAAAAAGCTATAAACATTTTTATTATCGAAAGGAAAGGTGTTAGTTAAAAAGTAATCAATTATGAGACTCTCTGGTGGCCCTGTTAGATGGACACAGTATAGAACTCAGGAGCTTAGCTGTAAGCTGAGGTTGTTAGAAAGTGGCTGGACAACACTGCTATGAATTTTGCCCTCATAGTACCCAGTTGATTACTGAATGTTTTGTTTGGCACTAGGTCTAATAGCTTTTATTTTAATCTAAAGCCTGATGGATTTCATTCCAGAGGGAGGTACATTTTATGTCTTAGCTAATTACTTCCAAGTCAATCAAGGAGCATCAAACCTTCTGGGCCTCAGTTTCCCCATTTGTTAAATGAGAATAATAATTGCTGTTCTGTTTAACTCACAGGTTTGTAAAGATCATCTGAGAAAACTAATGGGAACACAGCTGACAAATTATAATGCACTGTGCAAATGTAGGGTGTTCTTATTTGGAAGTAGTATTTGGGCTTCTTGCCCCAGGATGCTGTGTTTACAGGAGGATTGGCCCAAGGCCAACAGTGGTTTTACCATTAAAGAGTGTTCAATTTGAGTGACACCGAAAGAATTCTGAGTGTTGACCCCCAACAAGGCCAGAAAGATAAGGAATGCATTGCAATCTTTGCTAGCGCTATTCCAACACCTGCAGACTCTGCCTGGGAAGGCCTTGGGGCAGTGACTGACCTGATTCATAGTCATGTGCCTGGTGCTTTTGCTTCACTACCTGCAGCTAAGAACTTCAAAGGTAGAGTGGAATGATCCCAAGAGGGATGGACCAACTGAGCCCCACAATTGGGCAAAGGCTTTTCTTTCATCTCAGCGTTGCTGCCCCAACCTGGGACAAGGTGAGGCTGGCATGTCAGCAGCATTCACCTCTCAGTACAGCAGAGGGCAGTGGTGACTTCATCTCAGTCCACACCCAGGCCCAGTATGGAGGGGTGAGTACTCCTGTGCATGTGTGCAGGTCAGGAGCATAGGCCAGGCCCTCTGATACCTGGGATAAGCACTCTTATCCTCCTCCTCCACCCCAGTGACCACCCCCAACCCCGCCATGGCCAAAATACATACTCACAAGTAGGCATAGAGACATGTAAGCATACACATACACACATATGCACAATCACATGCATACATGCATATACACACAAAAACACATGTGGATACACACAGTAGGGAGTTTTCAAGTGAATCCCTACAAACTACTATAGCTTAAGCCATTTAACATCTATATTGAACAACAACAACAACAAGACAATTGCCTGAGGTTGAAAAGCCTGAAATTTCTTTTTAACTAAGCGAAGAGATGAGTCTGTTCCACCAGACAACCAGGAGTTGGTGCAATTAAGTGACCAGGGTGCTGCAGTCTAGAGATCAAAGAACCTTTTCTAGCCCCAACCAACCATACCACTGTCTGATGTGACCTAAGGCCAAGTACTATCTTCCTGTGCTCCAGTTGTCTCTAACATGAAATAAGGACGTTGGTCTCAACATTCCATGCACACTTTAATCTCCATGGCTCTGTTCTCCCCTGCTGCCTTCATCTTCCTAATCACAGACAGGGGAGGTGTCCTGTCTTCGCTCTATTGCCCAATCCCTGAGAAACAGAGGGCAGAAAGCCAGCTGAGCTGGAGAAGCTCCCTTCCTCCCTTCCAATGGTACTTAAAATGACTTCAGGCACCGATGGCGCATAGGGCATCATTTTAAGGTATATGGGTTTATTTGACTAAATTAGAAATCAGGAAAGAGGTCAAAAATGAAGTCAGATGAAGATTTTAAAGGGAACTGAGTTCATTCTGTCTTTTGCCTCGGGTAGGTGGGATCCCATAGGAACCTGAGCTTCTGGGGAGATTTGGAGCTGGGATATTAAGCCTGTAGTTTTTTTTGTTCTAGGAAGTAGGTTTTAGAGGGATGGGCTAGAGAACCAGGACCAGATTTCAGCAAAATTATGAGGTCAGTGACATTTCTGTTCTGTGTTCCTTCCTCCCATTGAGGGCACCTTCATGACCCATTTTCGAGACAGCCATCCAATGGCTTCGTGGCAGACGCAACTCCCTCCTGACCGCTCCCAGGCTGTCTTCCCACCCCCGGAAAACTGCCCTGGTTAAGTCTAGATCTCTAGATGTCACCTGATTTCAATGTAGGAAAGTGGATTTGCGTCCCGAAAAACCATTTCACTTCAACAAAATAGGTAATACTATCTATGAGGGGCCAGACCTATGCTAGGAGACAAGTAGGGCAAGACCCTGCCCTCAAGGGACTCCATGGGTGACATTCAACTATGTTCCTCCCTGTCTCCATTCCCTGACAGTTCAAGGCTGTGAACATAACTCTTTTAGGTGGACTTGAGATCCAAGTTGGCTTGAGGCCTGCCCTTCAACCATCCTCAGTCATCCAGGTGAAGCACATGTCCTGCCAATGCTCATTCTCCACCGTCTCCTTCAAATATTGAACATCTGAACCCAAGAGCTCACCATGTCTTCTCCATTTCCGATCATAGAGTTCAAATGCCCTGCTTATTGATAATGCACTTGGAAATCTGTTTTCTTTCTTCTCTAAGGGAATTGTGTAAAATGTCCATTTCCTCAAATCAAAATATTTCCAAGATAATTAGCCAATTTGTTGACTTATTAAAAATAACAGCATTATAAAGGAAGAGATGGCTTGGATTCTGCAGGAGAAAATCAGAAAATTAATTCTTCACAGATTTGTAACTTTCGAAGCACAGTAGTCTAGCGTGACGGAGTAATCATATGCTCCTCTGTTTTGCAAATGGGGCAAACTGAAGTTCCACCGTGTCACCCAAAAGACCCACATAATCATATTCCATCATTGCTGAAGGTTTGAGAATGGTGCCCTTCTAACAGGGTGCCTGTCCTTGATCATTACCATGGTGACTGCTTTAATATGTCTGAGTGTGTCTGGGAGGATTGGGCAGTGACACTCAGTGGCTCTGTCCCATGCATGTTAAATGGGAAGAGCCTGGGGTGTCAGGCTTCTCATCTGAGCCCCCTATAGAGGACATGACCAGACATCAGGAGAGCAGGTTGTACTCCTAACAAGCTTTCTGCCAGTGGAGCTCTGGGAGCAGAGCCAAGCACCTCCCACTCCAGGTCTCAATTTCCTCATCTGTAAAATTACGACTTTGGCTTGGAAGCAGGCTGCTCTTGAACCAATTCTGAACCATAATAAAGTTTTCCCTGAAATGAGGAAAGATGAGGCCTGCCTAGTGAGTTCCTCTTAAAGCCATATGTATTCAGTTTTAAGGACTGTCCTTTATCTTGACCACAGGTCTTGCTTACAGATAATGTTAAAACTTCACTTTAAAAAATTAAATAATGGTGCAAATAAATGATAGTTGAGTTTTGTTGCAAATAAATGATAGTTGAGTTTTGTTTTGTTTTTAATGTCTTAACTTGGCAAAATTAAAAGTTGGCCCAAAAAAAAAAACCCCAGCAATTCCTTATCAGTCCTCAAAATACCTTTAGAATTATACAGGTCTATGAAATTGAAAGAACTAGGAACCACTGGGTTGGATGTTCTCTAAGCTCCCTCCTGGCTGGGATTCTCACTGTGTCTGATCGCCACACCTGTTAGTGGAAAGTCCAACACTGCCCTTACTAAGAAAAGTAGTTGTCCATTTTTCAATGTTTTAGTGGTTCTCAACTATGGCTGCACCTAGGTTCACACAGCAGCCTTAAAAAGAGAGAGTATTGAACCCCCTTTGCCCCTCACCCAAATAAATGGAATGGGAGTCCCTAAGAACACAGCCCAGGAATGGTCACTTTGTTAAAATCTCTCCAGGTAGTCATACAAATGTGCAGCTAGGAATAAGAACCATTGACTGAGGGCCAGGCGCCGTGGCTCACACCTGTAATCCCAGCTCTTTGGGAGGCCAAGGTGGGCGGATCACCTGAGGTCAAGAGTTCAAGACCAGCCTGGCCAACATGGTGAAACCTCGTCTCTACTAAAAATATAAAAATTAGCCAGCTGTGGTGGTGTGTGCCTGTAGTCCCAGCTACTCGGGAGGCTGAGGCAGGAGAATCACTTGAACCTGGAAGGCGGAGGTTGCAGTGAGCTGAAATCGTGCCACTGTACTCCAGCCTGGGTGACAGAGCAAGACTGTCAAAAAAAAAAAAAACCACTGACTGAGATGTTCACAGGCCTGAATGTGTAACAGAATAACTTTAGGAAATTTTATAAAAATTCAGATTTCTAGGCTCTACTCCAGACTTACTAAGTCAGAAACTCTAGAGCCCAAGACATCTCCATGTTTGCAAACTTCCCAAATAAGTTTATTGCAGTCAGGCCTTAGACTGATATTTAGAAATCACAGGTAGCTATTACATGTTAAGTTGAGGGGTCTCAGGAAGGCTCGCTGCTCCTCTATGCTGTTTTTCTGACAAAAGGGTCAATCTGAAATATCAACATCTAGGAGTTTTTCATTTCCCCACAGCATCCTCCATTGGAATGTCTCTGTCTAGGAGTCCAATAACTTCATCCAGCCCATTTCATCTGAATGAATCTGAATTGAAAGGAGGATGAGTAGGTAATGCAGAAAGAGGTAGGAAAGTGCCAGAAATACAGGTTTCTCTGCCACTCTCTTGCCTTGCATGGCTCTGGATATGCCACATACTTGAGCTGCTTTTCAGGAATGGTGGCCATGACATAGACCATCCACAAACCCTCTTGCACAGATCCGCATGTCCCCTAGCACAATACAGCTAGGCCACTGGCCGTCAAGGGTAGAGGTGACCTCCCCATGAGAGCATTCATGTTAGACCATTGCTCGGCATATCCAGAAGTGAAATGTTCAGCAAAGCTCCAGCTGTCTACAATTCACATTTTTATCAGCTTAAGCTTCCCTTTGAGATGCTGAGAAGTTTGTTTGCTAGGTTCCTAAGCAAAGCCCAAAGGAGTTGGAAACCTTCACAAAATAATATTAAGCATCCGAAGGCTTTTGCGTGAATGAAATGGTTGAGACAAGATCTACTATAAAATAGACTAGTAATAAATGACTGCAAAGAAATGCATCCAGAGCACAAAGACTGTGCATATGCCTCCAAATCTCCATGAAATGCTCATGAGAATAGCAAGGGTTGGAATCCAGGAGGAATTGATGCATCCAAATGGCCTCCCAACTAAAGCATCAGCCCTGCATGTCTGCCCTTCCTTAGCCCAGCCTCACAGCCCAGATTTAAGAAATGGTTGTTTTTAAAAGAGAGTAACAGACACTGAGCTGGCCCCTGAGAGGATAAAAATTGAACACATGCATTCATTCATTCATTCCATAATAATGGAAATAGTCAATATTTATTGAGCCCTTATTGTGTAAAAGACACTATTCTAATCACTTTTTACTTTTATTTTTATTTATTTTTAAAGTAAAAACAGGTTCTCTCTCTGTCACCAGGGCTGAAGTGCAGTGGCATGATCCTAGCTCACTGCAGCCTCGAACACCTGGGCTCAAAGGATCCTCCCACCTCAGCCTTCTGAGTGGCTGGGACTACAGGTATGCACAACTATGCCTGGATAATTTTTTTAAAAAATCTATATTTGTAGAGATGGGGTCTCACTTTATTGCTGAAGCTGGTCTCAAACTCCTGGGCTCAAGTGATCCTCCCACCTTGACCTTCCAAAGTGCTGGGATTACAGGCATGAGCCACTTCGCTCAGTCAATACTATTCTAATCACTTTAAATGTAGTAATACATTTGCAATTCACAAAGATTCTTTAAGATAGGTACCATGATTCGCTACATTTTGTAGGTAAAGAAATGGAAACACAGATGGCTAAGTCACTTCTACAGGAACACACAAGAAGTACCTGTAGGAGTCAGGACTCAAACCTAGACACCCTGGCTCCAGGAACATGTGCCAGGCACTGAGCCAATGGTGGGAGACCATGCAGAGTGCCAGGGGATACAATGGTGGGAGACTGTGCAGAGTGCCAGGATGGTGAAAGGTTAAGTTTGAGGCCAGGAAGGCAGTGGGAGGGTTGTGGGAGGTAGATCTCCCACTGATCCACCAGTGGCTTTTCCCCTCTGTTCCTCTGTCTGTAAAATGTGAGGGTGACCTAAATATTCTCTAAGACATCCTTAGATCAAAAAGGATCAAAAACATAAAGTAGTGGACTAGGCTGCGGAACACAGTGGATAGGAGTTTCTGTATATGTAGAGAAGGAGTGGTTTAAAGAGGAAAAGCAAGCTCCTGAAGAAAGATGGAAAGATCCATTCTGTCCTGCTCTATAATCTGGGGGATGGGGGCAGGGGAGGCAGAGAAGGAACTACCCAAAGCCTTCTCTATAATCTGGGAAGCTTGTGCACAGCCAATGAGAGAGGGCAAAGCCGAAAAAAAAAAAAAAAAAAAAAAAAACAAGAATAGCTTTTCCTCTGCTCCCTGGTGAGTTTTCCTTTAAATGATGTATCAGCTGTCACTATAAAGGGAATTAGAGACACAGGGAGTTTGAGACAGGAACTTTGCTGGTCATTTCAGTGTACATGTTCCCAACAACCAACAGCATCAAATATTCATCCCCATCTGAAAGCAACCCTGCCAAGGCATCAGAAAAGTGCATTTGCTAAATACCTAAACATCTGGACAGCAGCCTTTCCAGAGGAATCAGAGCCAGAGAGAGCAGAGCCAGAGCTCAAAGTGACAGCGTAACTAGCTTAAGCAGCTGAAAGGACAAAGGTAGCCAGCCCTGCCATTGAGTGGGGAGGGCTGGTACGAGAAGAACCTTGGCAACGAGTTCCCAGTTTACAGCAATGGCCTTGGCTAACAAACAAAATATGTTGGTCTCTCCATCTTGCTCCAAGGTCAAAAATGAACCTCCTGTTCCATCTTTATCCTAATCAAACAATCTGATTCTAGGCCACTCTTTGAGTTTGGCAAAGCACAACCAACATCCTTCATGATGTGCTGCACTTTTGCAGATTAATTTGGAACTGTTCCCATGACAGCTATCAGCCTGGGACCTGATGCTTTTGGCTGAGCATACTTTACAGCTCCCAGTAGCACCAACACCATGAACCTCCCTCTCTTCCCCTCTCTGTCTCTCTTTATTTTTGTTTCCTCTCTCTCTCTCATAAAGCTACCATGAATTTCTTTAAAATGAATATATTTTTAAAATGCTATGCTCTAATAGGTAAGTATAGTATTATCATATGGCCCAGCAATTCCACGCCTAGGTATATATGCACCCCAAAATTGAAAACACATGCCCATACAAAAACTTGTGCACAAGGGATCATAGCAGCATTCATCTATTAAAATAGCCAAAGAGTGGAAACAACCCAAAAGTCCATTGATGGATGAAGGAATAACAAAATGTGGTAATTCCATACAATGGAATATTATTCAGCCATTAAAAAAATGAATTACTGATATATATTACAACATGGATGAACCTTGAAAACATTACCCCAAGTGAAAAAAGCCAGTTCCAAAAGACCATATATTGTATGATTCCGTTTGCATGAAATGCCCAGAATAGGCAAATCTATAGAGACAGAAAGTAGATTCGTGGTTGCTTAGGGTTGGGGTGACGGTATGGGGGAGTGACTAACTGCTAATACATATGGGGTTTCATTTAAATGAGAGAAAGATGTTCTAAAATTAGATTGTGATAGTGGTTGCACAACCCTGTGAATATACTAAAAAACATTAAATCATATACTTTAAATGGGTGAATTGTATGGTGTATGAATCATATCTCAATAAAGCTGTTTTAAAATGAATATATTCCTTAAATATGCTTTATAATGCAATATCATAAAGCTCACAAGGTATTTAAGTGGACTACATTCTTACACAGCCCTAGAGAAAGTGGAAGTGAAAGTTCTGATTACCTCCTTCCTCCTTTTCTTACTTCAGAGAGATGTTCTCACAAAAGTGGGAAGTAATTGCCTAACGCATTTCGCCTCACATTTCAATCTCAAGCAGATGAAAATCAGGTGTTTTTACAGCTACAGAGGTCCAGGAAAAGGATAATGTTTCAGCCAAAAACAAGAATGATGGAAACTGGATATACCGAAGAGGTTTTTTTTGACATGATATGATAAAATAGAAATATAATCAGCTATAGAAGTCTCACCCTAATGAACAATAGAAAACAGGAGACAATCTTTGGTCCTGTATTGTTAGATATTTGCCTTCAAGAGGCAGAGAAAGTGTCCTAATACTTCAAGATTCTTCTCTTCTAGTCACGCTTCCCTGAGGCAGCGACAAAGGGTTCAGCTTGCCTCCCAGAGCTACTGAGATGGACAATGCCAGGGACCTAGAAGACCCTCGGGTTCTGTCTTCATTGTGACCCCCATATTCCCTGGCAGGATCTCTTTCAGAATGCAGTGGTTATTTGGTGCCATTGGTGCTATAGAGCCTTGGCTGTGTGACCCTGGGTAGGTTGCTTGACTTTGGCAGTGCTCAACTTCTTAGCAGGAAATTAATTCCTGCCATGCCCCCTCTGAGGCTTGTTCTGAAAATTAAGTGAGGCTGGGCGTGGTGGGTCATGCCTGTAATCCCAGCACTTTGGGAGACCAAGGTGGGTGGATCACCTGAGGTCAGGAGTTCAAGACCAGCCTGACTAACATGGTGAAACCCCATCTTCACTAAAAATACAAAATTAGCTGGGCATGGTGGCGCACACCTGTAATGCCAGCTACTTGGGAGGCTGAGGCAGGAGAATTGCTTGAACCCAGGAGGTGGAGGGTTGCAGTGAGCCGAGATCACACCATTGCATTCCAGCCTGGGCAACAAGAGCGAAACTCCATCTCAAAAAAAAAAAAAAAAAAGATTAAGTGAAATAATGATGGGAAATGCTTTGAATAATATAAAATACTTTTCACATGTAAAGGTTTGTTCCAACTAATCTCCATCCTGAAACAATGTTAGTTTTGGCCATAGGGCATTAACTCTCAGACGTGAGGGTATCTGTGGTCACATGGAGGCCATACCACTGCAATGTGGGAAGACCCATCAATATTCAGAAAAGCAGAGCCTCTTAGAATCAAAGAATATTGAAATCAAGAGGAACTTAGAAAGTATCTGAATCTGGGGTCCCTAACCCATGGGCCATGGACTGGTACCGGTTTGTGGCCTGTTAGGAACTAGGCCGCATAGCAGGAGATGAGTGGCAGGTGAGCAAGCGAAGCTGGGCTCCACCTCCAGTCAGATGAGCAGTTGCATTAGGTTCTCATAGGAGCACAAACCGTATCGTGAACTGTGCATGCAAGGGACCTATGTTGTGTGCTCCTTTTAAGAATCTAATGTCTGATGATCTGTCACTGTCTCCTATCACCCCCAGGTGGGACCATCTAGTTGCAGGAAAACAAGCTCAGGGCTCCCACTGATTCTACATTGTAGTGAGTATGTAATAGTAATAGAAATAAAGTGCACAATAAATGTAATGCCCTTGAATCATCCCTAAACCATCCCCCATGCCCACGCCATCTGTGGAAAAATTGTCTTCCACAAAACCAGTCCCTGGTGCCAAAAGGTTGAGAACTGCTGATCTAGATAGTCCTTATTGGTACTTAAATCTTCTCCCTAACTATGTTGACAAATAATTCAGAGTCAAATCCATGGACTTTGTGTTCTGATCAACTAAAGCACCATTTTTTTCTACTTAGGAGGCAGATTGCAGCAGACCCACCTGAGAGACTCAACTAAATTAAAGCCAACAAATCATTTGTGCCCAGACTTGGGCTAGAAATTGGAGGTGGATGCCTGCCGTCTTGGAGCTTCTGATCTGGTTGGAGAAATAAACTTACGTATTTGAGTCAACCAGAAGACAATTCAAGGCAGTGTTTAAGCCAAACACCAGACGGCATTTAAAGTCCCTGTATTAGTTTCCTATGACTGTTGCAACAAATTACCACAAACTTGGTGGCTTAAAACAACACAAATGTATTCTCTTACAGTTCTGGAGGCTAGGAGTATAAACTATGTTTTATAAGGCTAAAGTCAAGGAATTGGCAGGGCCAGTTCTTTCTATACGCTTTGGGGAGAGAATCTGTTCCTTGCCTCTTCCAGCTTCTCATGGCTGCCAGCCTTCCTTGGTGTATGGAGGCACCATTCCAATCTCTGCTTTCCTAGTCACACTGCCTTCTCCTCTTCTGCAGTCACAGCTCTCTCCGCCTACCTATTCTAAGGACATTCGCGATTACATATAGCACCACTCAGATAATCCAACATAATCTCACCATCTCAAGATTCTTAATTTAATCACATTTGCAATGTCCCTTTTGCTATATAAGGCAACATTTGCAGGTTTGGGAGATTAGGACCTGGATATTTTTGGATGCCACAGTTCAGCTTATCACAGTCCTCAATAGCACCAATTGTTGGGGGGGGTGGTGATGGGGATAAATCAATTTTGACCGGGAAAGATGGTTTGAGGATAACGGAGTTAGGATCAGCTTAAATGTGGACAGAGTTTGATCAGGAAGAGAGAAAGAAGAGCACTACATTGATCAACAAAAAGAATGAAAATAATCAATTAGGCTCGTATTAAGCATCATTTACAAGCTCATATTTGTGCTAAGTCCTTCAATCTGTAGGGATTGAAATTCCCAAACACTTGGTCTCTGTCCCCAAATTTGGGTCCCCAAATTCCCAAACACTTAGTCTCTGTCTCAAGAAGCCTTTAAAGTATTAGGAAATGAAACATGTATGTGCATAAAGCAGTGAATATACCACTCACTTGCTTTCCACTGGGAAAAGGAGTTCAGTGTAAGCTGTGGTCAGTGCAGCCTCACTAGGAGAAGGGGGCCTTACATGAGTCACCCGCTCTTTCAAACAGCCAGTAGAGGTGGGGATGCGCTGAGGAGGATGAAGGCTAAGAGAGGGCAGGAAGCTTGGCAAGAGGCAGCTCACCCAAAACCTTACCCAGCACAGTTACAGTAGAACAGCAGGACTGAAGCCAGGCTCCAGCAAATCAGGAGAAAATGGATGGGTAAGAATTGGAGGCACAGCAAGAGAGAAGGGGAGAAAAATAAGAAGAAATGGGCACTCTTTCTAAAAAGAGTGACCGGTCAGAAAAAGTCAGGAGATGGAGTTTGGTTTTGTTCAAGAGAAGAGAAATCTGATCATACTTGAAAGAGAAAAAGAGGAGGAAAGGGCAAAATCAGAAATCCTGGAGAATGAGGTGATATTCGTGAACTGCAACTTGTAAAAACAACTTTGGTCTGGCACACTGTTCTCAGGATGAGGAAGGTGGCTGAGAACACAGCTCCAGGGTTAGCCCTGAGGCCACCCCTCCCCTCTTCACTGGTCCATTGGTGAGGGTAGGGGGCTGCATCCTGCTGGGTCACTTTGACATTTCCCTTAAGTTTGCAGGGTTTATTTAGAAACACTTCTTAGATGACAATAGAGGTAGGGGAGGTAAGAATTATCCCTCTAACCATTTTGGGCCCCATTCCAGTACTAATGAGGTGTCAAATCATTAATAGGTGGAGAAGCTTGTTAGCCTTGGCTTCATTTTTGTAGATAGTGAAATACTGTCCTTAAGCCTTCTGTCTCATTTGTTAGCAATGTCCACCTTTTTCAATTCTCTTTAGATGACATGAAGGCATGGTATCAGAGGCAGAGAAAAAGGGAGGTGAGCTGGAGGGCAGACAGGTAGGTAGGTGTTCTATGATCTCTGCTAAAAGGATGAAACTTAAACATAGAACCCCTAAACCTTTGGCTCTCAGGTCATGAGAATATTTCAACTCAATTCAACAAGGATTTATCGGGACCTGCTGTGTGCCTGCCACTCTGCTGAATGTTGACACAACATGGTTATGATTTATTTCCTGGCCCTTATGGAGGTCTTGCCTTTTGGGGGAGGTAGAATGAAAACAACTACATCCATCAGAATTTCATTGTTCTGTATGCAGCGCAATCCTGAAAAATAGAGAAAGGTATTCAGGGCTAGTTGGGGACATTGCTATTCTGAACAAAATCAGGATTTGTGGCATGAAAAAAGACAGGTAAGTGCCAGGCGTGGTGGCTCACGCCTGTAATCCCAGCACTTTGGGAGGCCAAGGCGGGCAGATCACCTGAGGTGGGGAGTTCAAGAGCAGCCTGACCAACGTGGAGAAACCCTGTCTCTACTAAAAATACAAAATTAGTTGGGCATGGTGGCGGTGCCTGTAATCCTAGCTACTCAGGAGGCTAAGGCAAGAGAATCACTTGAATCCGGGAGGTAGATGTTGCGACAAGCCAAGATCATGCCATTACACTCCAGCCTGGGCAACAAGAGCAAAACTCCGTCTCAAAAAAAAAAAAAAAAAAAAGACAGGAAGAACACAGATTTAGATGGGCACTAACCAGTAGTTCCAGAACAACCAACTCTAATACAGCTTAAGGGAGCTGTGCCCAAAATAGGAATCAAGTGATGTGGAAGCATAAAGAAAGGAGAGATTAATTCTCATACAGGGGTAGATAGGGGGCACCTAATATGGTTGACAGAGACATTTTTTCACCATGAAAATTAGACTTGAGCTAGATTTGAAGAATGATCAAACTTTCAGCAGGTTAGAGAAGAGGATGCCCCACGGATTTGGAGCCAGGAGCACTGAGGTGGGGAAGTGCTTGACAGATTTGGTGAATGGCTAATACAGGAAGAGAAGAGGTGTTGGAGGCTGTGGCACACGAGGAGAGTAGAGAGGAATTTGAAGGGTATGCAATGCCATGCTGAGGAGTTTTAACTTTATCCTGCATACAATAGGGAGTCATAGAAAATTTTTTAAGTAAACTAATGAGACAGTAAATATATCAGTTAGCTATTGCCACATAACAAATTACTCCAAAATCTCAGTAGCTTAAAGCAAAAATAATATACTATACTTGAGTTTACAAATCAGCTGGGACACTGCTCAAGGCTGTTGGCTAATCTAGTCTCAGCTGGGCTCACTCATGCATCTGCTGGTTGACTGGAGCTCTGCTCTAGGCCAGGGTTAGTTAGGGCATCTTAGGGAGGTTTTGCTCCATGTGTCTCTCATCTTTTTTCTAGAACCCGTGGACTAGCCAAGGTATCTTCCTCTCCTAGCAATAGCAGAAGCACACGTAAGCAAGAGGGAATGTCCCTAGGCTTCTTAAAGCCTAGGCTGGGAACTAACACATCATCACTTTCACCCCATTCTGATGGCTAAAACAAGTCACATGGTCAGTCCCAAAATCAAGGTGTGAGTAATATCCTCCCTCTTTTCGGTAGGAACTGCAAAGGCTGAGGCAAAGGGTGTAGGTTCAGGGAGAGGTGAAAAAATGGAGACGTTAATGCATTCTTCCAAATGTGTCTTTAAAAAGATGTCTCTTAAAACATAACTCAGGCAGTAATGTAAGGAGTGAATGGGAGAAGAAGAAAGTGTAAGTAAAGAAACTAGTTTGGATTATGGTTATAATTCATTCAGGCGATGACAAGAGCATGAACTACAGCAGTGGAACTTAGTGGAAGAGAGAACAGACTGAAGATGTCTTAACTGCTTCTCCATCTGGAGAGCTTTGACTCCGAGAAATAACTAGATGAAAACCCATCAATGAACATTGCTTGGTGATACCGATTGAGCTGTGTTGGGTTATCAATTCCTAACATTTCTTTCTCATTTACAAGACATGGCTATTTATCTTCTATCTTTGATCCTAGGCAGGATGATACCTTTTTTTTTTTTTTTTTGAGACAAAGTCTCGCTCTGTCACCCAGGCTGGAGTGCAGTGGCGCAATCTCAGCTCACTGCAAACTCCGCCTCCCAGGTTCAAGCGATTCTCCTGCCTCAGCCTCCCGAGTAGCTGGGATACAGGCGCATACCACCATGCCCGGCTAATTTTTTGTATTTTTAGTAGAGGCAGGGTTTCACCGTATTAGCCAGGATGGTCTCAATCTCCTGACCTCATGATCTGCCTGCCTTGGCCTCTCAAAGTGCTGGGATTATAGGAGTGAACCACCTCGCCCTGCTGGCAGCATGATTCTTTGCTTAAAAAGAAAAGTCTAAGAGAAAAGCGGGCGCCTGCTGGTGGCCACACAGCAAGTATCATGCCAGAGCTGCCGCTGAGGTCAGAGGGAACCTCAATTCCTTTGATTCTTCCTTAATCGCTTTCACTGACTGGTGTCCATCTCAGCCATACTCTTGACATTGATTATTTTTTCTTCATTTTCTCATTGTCTGTGGGCAGACCTGGTCTTATCAAGTATCTTAGCTTCCTCAGTTACACAGATGCCTGCTTCTCTTGTTAGACACACAGTGTAAGTACAATAAACATTTCTGGCCTTGATTATCATCTTTTGTTCCAGTTACACTGCCTGTATCATAAGGTCGAGTGTTATTTACTAATTTCTCCCACCTATGGGGCACCTGTTAGGAATTAGATTCAGCAGCCAGGATGTCTTGGAGAAACAGCAATAGGCTGCTCCCATGCTCTCTGGGAACACCATGTTCATCAGGCTGCCTTGGTGTTTCTGAGCCCCGGTGTTTAATTTATTAACTACTCTTCAGTTTGGTGATGGGGGAGAGACCTAAATTAATAGGTCTACTCCCTATAACTGATTTTACACCTTTCTAAATGGGTTAGGATCAATTTAAAGAAGGTTTGGAGATGGGTTCCAATCCTTACCAGGCCACTTACTAGCAATAAGATATTGAAGTCACTTAATATTATTGAACTAGCTTTTTGTGTGTGTAAAATGGGGATAATGATAATTTGCACTACACAGTGGCTGTTGGGGTCAAATAAAATAAAGTGATGTAAATGTTTTGTAAATAGTACTATGCACAGGCACATTATAAAAGTTTTCCAGGAAGCCTACGACATTTCCCTATATCCTAATTCCTTACCCCTTAAATCTCAGTCATAACAATCATCATCAAAGAGGTCTTCTCAACAAGTCTAATCCAATCTAGTCCCACTTCAGCGTACTAATATTTCTTGTTCTTTCTAAAGCAAGGAAAAATATGAACTCAGGCTATGCTGCTTTCAAAAGGAGAATTTTATATTTTATATGGCTTTCCATTCCCAACACCACCACATATGAGAGGGATATTGACAAAGAGCCAATTTAGAGGAGAGAGTTCAAGATGGCATAGGTGGGTGCTTTGAAAGAGCAGAGAAAAAATAGGAAAAAAGAAGACTATTTTGCAGATAGAGGTACAATGATAGCTAAGGTCAGTTTCTGAAAGGACCATTGTGAACCTGAAGGGTCAGGTTTGTTTGTTTTTGTTTTGTTTTGTTTTGTTTTCTATAGGTCCTTGTCTTAACTCAAGTTTCCTAGGAAACAGAGAGCCTGAGCTAAGGTTTAAGGGTTGAGATTCTATTTGAGAGGTGCAATCCCAGGGCAATAAGAGAGGGGGAAAGAGGAAGTGATTGCTGTGTGACATGTTAATATACTGTGTGACTAATGTCATGTGTTAACATATATCATGAGCCATGGAGAGACACAGCTGATCACTTGTTCAGTCCACATGCTTCGTCACACAGGTTTTTTTCAAACAGAGACAATGGCAAAAGTGTAACTTGGAATGGTCTATGAGAGGAAGCAACAGAAGGATATTTACCCTCTTATCTGTTTGCATTGGTCAAAATTTGACCACACAGGGAATGAACTCCCCTGCATGTCCAGGTGGCCCCTCAGGAGCTATTTGGGATGTCAGATCCCACACCTTATGGTAGAGCATTTCATCTAAGTATGGACGGAGTAGGAGTAGCCAAAAACTCCAGATGCGTAACTGGTTGGCCAGGCTACAAAGCAACAGTAAAAGGAGATGGGCCAGCTTTCTGGACAAGTGACTGGTGGGCCCCAGGAAATGAAACCATACAGACCCACGCTGACTCAGCAGCTGTAGCTGTCATTCTCAGAGTGGCCTCTACTATGAGTGGTCTCTCAAAGAAGGGCAGACACGGTGGTGGCTGAGATGGACAAGCAGCTGAGGGTGCAGAGATTAGGGTGCCAAGCAGATCAGAAAAGGTACATAAGAGACGTTCTATACAGGCTCCTCTGTTCAATATCTTTTGGTGCCAACTATGTACCAGGCACTTGCTGACCCTGAGACTACAAAATAAATTAATAAATCTCACTAAGTCACAGCCACTTCCTCAAAGGCATGCACAGCTCTGTAGATGCAACAGAGACATGGGCAAATTATTGCTATATAAAATGGTAAAATGATAAGCACAGTATATAGAAGGCATAATACAGAGGCATGCTAGAACACTATTGCTCAAGAAGAAGGAGAAACAACTTGAGAGCTGTACAGATGTGGATTGGGCTGCTTCACAAAGTAGTGGATTTCCTGTCCCTGAAGTGTTCAAGCACCAGCTGGCCAGCCACCAAACTAATACACCATATGGAAGACAAAAGCATCCAGTAGATGAACTAGATGAGGCTTGAGACCACTCCAGTTCTGGAGAGCTGTATTCTTCTGGTGGATTTATACTTGACATCTATAGCCAGATAGTTCCATTGGTTAGAAATTTTCATTAAATATCTACATGTGAGGGACCCATATAAGCCGATAGTTTTGTTTCAGTTTTGTCCAGACCACACCCTGAACCCCATCTGCTTGTGTCATAAACACATGTCTTTGGTCACCAAGAGGTCAGGATGAAAGAATATGACAGATTGCCTTACTGCTTCTAGCACAGAAAAAATAGTTTATACCAGGAACAGCCAACTGGAGAATATAGTAGAACACACAATAGCCAATATAGCAACAAAACTATAAATATCTCTAAACTAATCCCACAAAGAATACATGTAATACATAGAGTTTTCATGTATTCAAAAAATTTAAACAATTAAAAGGCATTAAAGAAGATGTGAAAAAGGTAAAGGGCCACTCCATGTTATTAGATGGAGCAACTTAGTGTAGAAATGTCATTTCTCACCAAATTAATCCATAAATCCAATGCAATTCCAATAAACATTCCAGCAGAGTATTCTGAGGAACTTGAAGACTTGACTCTAACATTTATATGAAAGAATAATGGTACACAAATAGCAAAATCTATTTTGAGAGCAAAGAGAAGATATCTGTTCTATATGATAGTAAGATGCACTACAAGTCAAAATATATTTTTATGAAGGATGCTAGTGACACAGTTGCAGAGAAGGAGATCAATAGAGCAAAATAAGGAGCTCTGAAAAAAATAGTATAAAATAGGGAAGGATCACAAACCAGTGAGAAAAGGATGGGATGTTTGTTCAATGTTGTTGAGGAAACTGACTGACTCTATGAAGAAAAAGCAAGTTAGGTCCTTGCTTCAGACCATACATAAAAATAGTCCCAGATATGTTAAGGACCTAAATGTGAAAAGTAAAATTATTAAAATAATACAAATGAATGTAGAGAATATCTTTGTGACTTTGGGGTAGAAAAGGACTTTTTGAACAAGATGCCCAAATCATAAAACATATTCAAATTTGATCCATCTGACTACATCAATGAAATTATGCTTGACTAACAACCCCACAAAGCTGATAAATAGGTGGCAAATTGGAGGAAGATTTTTCATCACTATATATATATACACTATATATATATAGTGTATATATCTACACTATAATAGGAATCCTACAAATAAAGAAAAAATAGAAAATGCAATAAAAAAACAAAGAATATAAATAAGTTATAGAAGGGTAGGGTGACCATATCATTTATTAACTTAACCGGGACACTTAACAGCAAAAAAAGGCACTTTTAATAACTTCACCAGGGCAACAGCCAAAAACCTGGACTGTACCAAGCAAACAAGGACTTGTAGTCACTAGATAGAAGGGGAAACTGTAATAGCTAATAGAAGAGATGAAGAGATGCTTAGCCTTATTAGTAATAATATAATTAAATAAATGCAAAATGAAATAATAATGAGATACAACTTTCTACCCATTAAGGCTGCAAAAATTAGAAAACTATGTAATACCAAGTTTTAGCTGGATGGGTACAATTGGCAAGTGTTAAATGATGTAATTTCTCTAGCAAACAATCTGACAGTATGAAATGGGATTAAATAGATTTACACTCTATGATCCAGTAATTCCATTCTTGCGTATATACCTTGGAAACATGCGTAAAAGACCACAAGTAGAGATGTACAAGGATGCTTTTTTGCAGCACTGTGATAACAGGCTGCTAGAGGCAACCTAAGTGTCCATCACAAGGGGAGCAGGTAACAAAAAGTAATAGGCACATATGATGGAATCAGATACTTTGATTGAAGCCATGACCTGGATGTGTATACAGCAACACAGATGTCAAAACCATAATGTTGAGTGAAACCATAGTCAATACAGAATGAGATTAACACAAGGCCATTTGTGGAAATAAAAGTACATACATAAACAAAACAACACTGTGTGTTTTCAAGGATACAAGCATATACCAGGTCATATATAAAACACATTACAGTGGTTGCCTGGGAGGAAGAAGGATGAGGAAATATGGGAACATGAATTGGAAATAAAGGGGTGAAAATACTAAAAGAAAAAAGAAGAGGAACTTTGATCTTTACTCATCATAAACTGAGGAGTAAGACTAACTCAACAATCAGCTGCTCAGTTAAATAACCAGCCAACAAAAACAAAAACAAAAATATGTTTCTCCCCATTGAGGATAGGTCCAGCATGTCACTTTTTAAGATGAAGTCCCTGGGTCCCCAATTAATCTTGTCTTCTTTAAACCCTCATTAGTCCTAATCCCCCAATTTCTTTTCCTCAATCAGAGCTCTTTGTCTGCATAGGGGATCAATCCTCTCAGTCTAGATTAAGAAAAATATGACAGCTTATGAGAAGTTTACAGGAGATCTATCTCACCAAACTCAAGGGCATGCAAATGCCAGACAGGCTTAGGAATGACGGTGACATGGGGCCTACGTTATTCTCCCCAGGACCGTGTAGTCAAGCTCCCTGTCTACACAGTTGCCTTATTTGCTCTCTGCAGACTGCTTTTCTTTGCCCCTCAAAGACAAGTACATATCTTTGCTATGGCTTCCATATGTACATGTTCTCCTTTCAAGGGACCAACTAGGAATCACTTATATTTCTCTGTCCCAAACCAACATCTGAAGGAGAGAGTATCCATTTGACCCAGCTTAGTCCAATCCACTAGTCAGGCACACAAGATTGCTCAGGGTCTAATTCTTTGAGTGATGGGGATGAAGGGCAGAGTTCAGGAAAGAGGCTGTGGGCCGGGCAAAAAAGTCTCATATACTCTCTTTGTAGATATCCCCTGTCACACAACCAGAGAAACAGGTTTTGACCAGGTCAATAGAAGAGGCATTGAACTAAAGTGATGTCACTTGAGGTTCCATTGATCTTTCCATCCATTGCATATCTTGAAGGGTTTTATAAAAAGAAAAAATTAGAAGGTTAGAGTTCAGCTGAAACTTAGAGATCATTTAGTCTTGGCCCATCATCTGCAGGTTAGAAAACTGGGGCTTGATGGGATTATAAAACAGTTCAAGGTCAAGTACATGGTCAAGCAAGGACCCACCCAGTTGGATCTCAGACTCCCAGTCCCAGGGTTTCCATCTCACCTTGAAACCACAGTATTAACCTGGAGTACCTTTCATCCAACAAACGAAATAGACATCAAGCCCCTTGAATAGGAATTAAAATCAATATGATATATACATACACACAGATATACGCTATATCTGCAGTCCCCATCAATATTATGCCTTGAGGTCCATGACATATTCAGAGAGTCCATCAAGGTTATAACCTAGTCTGGTGGACTAAAAAAATTCAGCTAATGCTTTGGCTGAATCCCAGTCAAGGTGATTATAATCACCCATCCCCCAGGCCCAGGAGAGCCTCTCCTGTGTGCATCCCCTTTTCTCTAATCATGTGCTTCCTTCCCACCCTGTGACTGAGGGAACCTTCACTAACAGGTGCATTGGGTGCAATGTTACAGTTGGAACATTTTAGAGTTGCAATTTTAGACTTGGGAGAGTACTTAGCGGTCATCACTCAAGCCCTCTGAATTTTACAGACGGTGAAATTGAGGTTCAAAAAGAAAGGATGAGAGGCCCAATGGCACAGGACTGTGGAAGCATAAGAAAAATATATCATTTCTCTCTGGTGCCATTTCCATGACTGCACCCAGGCTGTTTCTCTCCTATTTCGGCAGACAATTCCCTTATCAGCAGCTGAGGACCCAAATGAGTAAAAGCAAAACCATGGGGTCCTGAGTGGTTTCAGGTGATCCACAAATTTGACACAAAAACAAAACCAAAAAAGCTTGTAAACAAAGGCCACTATGTGGCAGATGCTATTAGTTCCCCACCCTCCCAATACCCTTGAGGATGCACCAGCCTACGTCCAGTTGCCGGGACTTGTACCTTTCTCTAGCTGACTTACTCCAAGGCACCATGAGCCTCCAGTGCTGGGGAGATAAACTCTCACTCTCAACAGCTCTCAAAAAATGACTGACAGAAGGTAGTGTATACATACCCCAGCCCCCTTTCCCATCAATAGGATAACTTGGAGGCATGTTTCTACACCAGTTCAGAGTTTCCTCACAGGATCAAGCTCCTCATTCACAGTGGTAGCTGTTCTGATGAACACCCTGTATTGGCTCATTTCTTTTGCCATCTCACTCTCTCTCTCCTGCTGGTGTTTCCTACACCTCCCAAACAACTACTTGTGCTTGACTCCTTGTCTCGAGGTCTGTTTCTAGGGAACCCAAACTAAGAAAGCTTCATAAGAGATGTGCGTTCTTGGCTGGGCATGGTGTCTCACACCTGTAATCCCAGCACTTTGGGAGACTAAAGCAGGAGGATTGGTTGAGTAGTTCAAGACCAGCCTAGGAAACACAGTAAGACCCCATCTCTAAAAAATTAAAAAGCTAGTCAAGTGTGGTGGTGCACACCAGTAGTCCCAGCTACCTAGGAAGCTGAGGCAGGAAGATTGCTTGAGCCCAGGAATTAGAGATTACAGTGAGCCATGATCACGCCACTGCACTCCAGCCTGGACAACAGAGTACAACCTCATCTCTAAATAAATAAGTACATACATAGATAGACAGGTAAAGTGCATTCTCTCTGGCCTTGAGAACAAAGTGCATTGTCAGAATAGGCTAGGTTATATTACTGTAACAAAAATAATTTCAGTGACTTAACACAAAGTTTATTTCTCCAGTCAAAGAAGATATGGTGACTCTTCTCAGGCAGCTCACCTTCCAGTGGCCACTCAGGGATCTCTGCCCGGTCCATGTGTGGCTTTATTATCTTGGGGCCCTTCTCTTCCAGCCTTGTGGAAGATGGAAAGAGGGAGAATGGAAAATTACAAGATGTTTTAAGGGGCAAGCTTGGAAGTATTCTACATCATTTCCACCCACATTCAGAATTCAGTCACATGATTTTACCTGAATGCCTTTTGTGTGTCCAGGGGGAAAGTAAAGGGGTCGATGAAAGCATCCCATTGTCTTTTCCATACAGATATACAAGGCATCTGGCTGGAGCCTAGAATGGGAGAATCCTGACTTCCAGGCCATAGCCCTGGTCAAGGAAATGGTATTGGCCATCAGCAGCAACCTCTTTTTGGCCTTTGTCTTCCCTAGCTCCTGAAGCTACATCTCCTGCTGATCCCACCTGCAGACCTTGGCTGGTTTCAGTCATTCATTTAACACACAGTGTGTGAGCACCTACTGTGTGCCAGACGTTATGCTAGGCACTGGAGATAAGCTGGTTTCTGAAGCACGGGTTTTGGCCACAGCAATAGGTGTTCCAACAGCTATCACCCACCGTTCAGTGGGAACTTAGCATCTGTGTTATTCAACCAGCTTTCCTGGAGACACCCCTTACAGGGCAGTTCTAAGTTTCCAGGGAGCCTCCAGCACAGCACATCGCCTCACCCCACCAGTTCTCTAAATCAGGCTGTTCATGAGCCTGGACCTCTGCTGAGGTTCCCTCTCTGGGGTTTGCCAATTTCCCCCAGTCTCCTCTAAGATGGCGATTCTTAATCTGGGGCCTACAAACCTGGATGGTAAACAAAGGTTGCATTTTTATTCTCACTAACCCCTAACTCATGGGTTGGCACATTATGGCCCACAGGCCAAATCTGGTTGGCTCACCACCTATTTTTTCATAGCCCATGAGCTCTGATTGTCTTTTACATTTTCAAATGGTTGGAAAACACAATCAAAAGAGGAATAATATTTCATGACTTGTAAAACTTATATGAAATTCAACTTTCACTGTCCATAAATAAAGTTTTATGGGAACACAGCCATGCTCATTCATTTACATATTATCTGTGGCTGCTTTCAAGCTATATCAGCAGAGTTGAATAGTTGCTGACAGAGACCATATGGCTCACAAAGCCTAAAATATTTACTATCTGGCCCTTTACAGAAAAGTTTGCTGACCTCTGCTATAACTGAAAGTTAGTGTTTTCTTCAATTATGAATAAAGGCAATAACCAGAGTGGTCACAGTACCTGTGACTTTGTCACCAATAGAATTCACAGGTATTTTCATAACATTGTATTGTTACATATTTTGAAATATCATGTATACTCATCATTATTTCAGAATTAGAGCAATTATTAGACCCATCATTTTATCTTGTCATTTTAAAGCATTAAAAAAGAAACACATATATATTCTGAAAAAAGGTCTATGGGCTTCGCCAAACTGCCAGAAGGTTTATGACCCAAAAAGGGTAAAAGTCCCAATTCTAGGAGAAAGAGGACCCATCTGGCAAAGTCCTGATTTCCCACCCAGCTCTGGCCAGTTCTCTTGTGCAGAGGGCTAAAGCCAGCTCCCTGTATCCCATCAGCTCACTGGGAATGGAGAGCTCCTGGACGAACAGGGAGTTTGTGTTGCCTTCCTGGCCCCGTGTTAGCACTTGATGCTTGAATCCTCGGCAGCACTCATTTCTTTCCCTAGTATTGCCTGACCAGCAGTGCCCTTGCCATGCCCATGGGGCCTGCATCTTGAGCTGCCCAGCCACCCTTACCCAGCCAGCCTCAGGAGGGCTTTGATGTCAGGGCCCATGGACTCTACTAGAGACCTTGGAGGTTCAGTTTCAGGCTGGGGGCTGGGAAGGGATGCAATGCCAGGGCCCAAGGACTGATAGCCCAAGAGGACCCTCTTGCCCTTTCCCACTCCTGTTTCCTGCAAGAATATCATCTTTACTAAGTTAAATCCATGTTCCGTGCCTATCCAAGAAAGATGGGGGGCTCATGTTGCTTCACACAGGAAGCACCACATTGGACTTTGTATGGAGAGGCCACATTTACTGCCCCTAAGGTCCGAGCATCTACATGTCCTAGATTCAATAGAGGCATTGAATCTAAAATTCCCACTTAGGAATTTGGGAGACTTTAAGGTACTATCCTGAAAAGGTCACATGACTTTTGACTAAGCCATATATACATGGAAACCTCTAGAATAAATATGGAGGACAGGACTGGGTTGCTCCAGTTGGCAATGTGGTTAAGATCTTCAATATTTATGTTTCTTATGAAATGGTACCTGAACTTTCCTTGCAAGAGAACATGATCACATAACTATGTGTGTGTGGCCCATGTGGGTTTTCAGAGTCAGTGAAGGTAGGACAAGGCTGCTGGGTGGAGCCAGCGCCCTGAAGGAGATATCTGAAAGCAGACACTGCCAACCTGAGGAAGGTAGGTTGTTGTTGAAGTTTAACTTCCCAACCCCCTCATTCCTCAGGAAATCTCCTCACAGAGCCTACAAAGTTCTCCTTCTCGGGGCCTTTCTGAAAAGGGAAAGCTCCCAGAATGGTCTCGGTGATGGAAAGATAGGCTCAGTGACCACCAAGGATTCCAACATTCAGACATCATCCACTAGACATTAACCAAGAATCTCCTGGTGAACCCATCAGTGAACCAGGCCTGAGAAAGCTATCCACAGTTTGCCTGGGCTTCCTTGGTCCAGGGAGGGTGCAGATATGGAGCGTCAGCCTCGGAGATGGGTGACCAGCCATCTTCGTTTTCCAAGAAAGCCCCAGGAAAACTGGGACAAATTGGCCACCCTACAGGAGACCTTCAATTCTGCCTTCTAGACCTTGCCAGTTGTCTCACTGGGTGACTTCGAGCAAGTCTTAATTTCTTCATGTGTGACATGGCAGCCTGTCATCTTATTAAAACCAACCAGCTAAGCATTCTATTGAGTCCATTGGTTTGTACTCCAGGGTCAATATTTATGAAGAACAAAGCTGGTTTAATATCACTGCTTTGATACACACCATCATTGTTGCCTCTTGCATTCTCTACTGCATTTCCTGCCAAAGGATATTCACAGCTATGGTCTCATTTTAGCCTAACAACTCTGTAAAAGAGAAAAGATAAGAAGGAGAGATCGAAATTTTAGTTATCCCCATTCTGCAGGTGCACAAACAGGATCCCAGAAAGAAGTGACTTTCTCAAGGTCACCCAGTGAGTAGGCAGGTGGTTCTGTTCTCTGGATTGCTCCCCAGTGCCTTTGCTTAGAGTCTTCACATTTGAGCAACTCTGCATGCTGATAATATTCAACCCCACGGTGTCTCATGTACCACTTACCCTAGTTCTTGCCTCTCTTGTGAGAACAGGTCCAGTGTGTCACAGGTAACACAGACTTACAATCACAAAATGGGGTATTGCTATGAGGGATGTTGATGAGACTTTAAAGATGGAGTAATTGGCTGATAACATAATGAGCCTTAAAGTAGATAATAATATTGAGCTCTAAAGGGGATATTAGTATTGATCTGCCTCATCAGTCCTGTTGGGAGGATTAGCTCACTGGCAATTGTAAGAAACTTTGTAATGAAGGAGCACAAATGATAGCACATTTGAGACTCACCTTATGCCCTTTGGGATGCCTCTCCCTAGAATGATTTAAGTAGTAATCTGGATGCCATAGCAACTAAGACCTGCTTGATGGAACCCTTCATCCCTCTGCTCCCTGTGCACTTCTGTATTCTTTAACTCAACCCTAAGGCGAAGACTTCCCTTTCCTAATAAAACAAAAGTGCAGCAAAAAGCATTTGATTTTTGGCCCCTAAAAGCAGCAGGAGCATGGCAAAAATGTAGGATGCTTTTAAGAATTCCAACTAGATGCAATACTCTTATCTGTGGCCACAGAAGTCATGGGTGGAAGAGTCACACTTAGAATAATCAAAGATGGCCAAAGGGGCTCTGCCAACTAGGGGCTCAAGAGAGGCCATATAGGAGGCATTGATTTTGTGGTTCTGATCTGGAGTTCTCTTTACTGCCATTAGGGAAACATTAGCTCTCTCTCACCTGCTCCCATAGCCAGTCCATGTGGAAAGAGTTCTCTGGGTTGTTTTCATAATGTCATTATTGTAGTAATACTGGTTTCAGAGTAGAAGTTTAATAAATGCTGACTGATTGATGTTCTGGTGTTTATGTGTGCATTACGTGCTTACTCACAAGCAAGCTTTTCCAATTTTGCCTTTGCTTTGCACTGAATCACATGCTTTTTTTCCTGAGCCCCTTGTGAAAAAACAAATGAATGAAGAAGTGATTTGCTCAAAGTCATGCAGCTTAAAAATGACGGAACCAAGATGTCCCCAGAGCTTTTGACACCAAGCCTAGAGCTTCTTCTATTCTGCCTTCCTGCCCTCCATAACCATGCTGCAATCCAATCACAAGCACTCAAGGGGACTTATGCCCCATGCTTGTTTTTATTTTCTCTGTGCTCTAACCAGCTAAGTGTTCACTCAGCAACAGTCATTCATCAAGGGAGGCCATTGAGCAGGAGGTTCTGTTGACTGTGCTAGGGGCAGCCCAGCCTCTCCACTGCCCCAGGGATACCTCTAGGGGACACCTGCAACCCTTCTTTTGCACAGAAAAGTAGTGAAGTTCACCTTGGTATTCAAGATGCCTGCATTTTCTCCCCATCCTCTCAATTCCTCCTCTCTCAAAAGTATTTTAAAGAAAAAGATTTAAAATTGCTTGGAAATTGAAGCAAGATTGCCTGGTTATTGATTCAAATTCTGGCAGGCCTGACTTGAAGCTGTCTCATTTGTTACTGTCACCAATTCCGATGGCTAAAGAGGAATCCTGAGGAATTGGGCTGAAACCAAATGATCCAGGAATCTCTCCATCCCCCACCCCACCTCCATGCAGGAGAATTTCATATTTCCATTCCAGCTGAGGTCTATTGCAGGATGTTAATTGGGATTTCGGTTGGTGTCTCTCACTCTGGGGTTTTGCTTAAACTAATATTTTTGGTTCTTTGTTTCTGTATCTTAACAGCAGACAACAAACAACCTCTGATTAGCCACAGAATGACAAGAGCTGGGTTTATCCAGCAATTTGGCAGATAGACACAATAACAGTAGCCTTTGAAGCACTGCTATTGGGAATGTGATAGGGAATGTATTGTGGCAAAGAAATCCTATACTTTGTGTCATCCTCTGCATAGAAAAAGAATCTGGGTCTATTGCATCTTGTAAGAAAAAAGATATTAGAGAGACAATAAGATACTAGTAATAACAGTCTGCTTATATGCTAAAAGGGCTTGAGACACAATCATACAGACCTGAATCTACTTGTAATTTTGTAGGCTTCCTTTAGCAAATTTTCTTTGCTTGGTTTCTATGGAAACTGGAGGCTGCACATGAGCTAGAGACACTCAGTAGTCTTTCCTGGCAGATGTGTCCATTTCAGATATCTCTGATTTAAGTGATGTCATGTTTTAACCACAAAGATTAAAAGAAAAAGTAATACTAATCCATTTGTTGTGCTCACATAATTATTGCTGAGAAAGTCTATGTTGATAGCTACCATTTATTGAGCACTTGCTGTGTTCCAGGACATATTCTAAGCAATTATATATCTTCGCTCACTTAATCTTCCCAGTAGCCCCATTGGTTTGGTATCTGTAACAATCAAGGTCCAGCCAGGAAAACAGAAACCACTCTAGGTGTCTCAAATAGAAGGAATTGAATATAAGGAATTAGTTATGAATACACTGAAACTGCTGAGAGGCCAAACAAGGGGCTGGGAGGCAGCTCAGAGAGTAGAAAATATAAGGAGCTACTCTAAACCCTGGGGCTGGAGAGACAATGGAAAGAGGTCATGTTTCCTGTGCCAAGTTGAGACGGAGTGGCATGAGCTAGAACTATCACAAGGACTCCATGTAGGAGCTGAGACCAAGTTTCCAGTTAAGCTTGTTTTTAGAGCTCTACTGGTAGAGGTTGAGAAAGCTGACACCAGATTTTCTTTCTCTATTTCAGGAAAAGAGAAACATGCTCACTGGCGTAAAGGGGTATCAAGAGGTAAGGAAATCCAACAACAGCAGAACACTAACCTCTGTTTACCCAACCCCGTGTCATGGTCACCAAGCCCAGGGCATGGGTCAGTGGTTAAGAGGACACTGGAGCTGCAGCCTGGAACCTCCTCCTGAGGGGCAGGAACTATCTGGTGGGCACTGGACCTATGAGACTGCTACCAGCACATCACAGGAAGCAAAGAGAGAAAGAGGGAGTAATGCCCTGCCTTCTCTCTGTCTCCTACCCTCAGACCTTCTGTCAAGTTCTCCTATTGGCTTGAATCTGGGGCCAGAAGTCAAAGGATTCTGGGAAATGAGTTCCCCTGTGATTCAGAGAAGAGCAGAGGAAGTACAGAGATGAACCTGAGAGCAAACTAGCAGTTGATTCGTGGAGTACTTCTATACCCATTTTATTAATAAGAAAACTGAGGCACAGAAAGATTATTTTCCAAAGACAAACATTAGCAAGTAAAATGACTTGTTATCTGGTTAAATCCACCCCCTTAACCACTTTATAATATCTTCTGTGGAGGGAAAAAGGACGTCACACACATAAAAATCCTATATCAGATGCCTTTCACCCAAGTAGGCCCAGTTGATTATGAAAACATTCAATTGTGGGAGACTGCCCATCTTAAATTTGCCCATCTGGGGGTTCTGGATATTTATTTAATGTATGCTTATAATTCCAGACGATTCAGCCTGGCTACGTATCCATGCCTTGAGTCATAAAAATATGAAAAGGGCATGTCCTGACTAGTGACATGGACCTGGGAGTAGGGGAAGACTGAACTGATGAGGAACCTCACTTTTCTCATATTTGCTTTGATTCCATTTGGTTAGAGTGTCACAAAGAGGTGAGGGAGAAAGTAGGAAAAAATTCCCAGTTCCCATTTTCTCCCTTAAGGTTTGACCATCTGCTGCTGCTAAAGTTGTTAGAGAAATCTATCAGTGGAAAGCTAAATGTCTACCTGAAAGCTTCATCTTTTCTCTGAATTGGGAGAAGAAGACCATTTAGCTGAGGGACAACTTGGCAAAACTTGAAGAGAATTGTTTCATCTGATAGCCAGGGCAGACCCTTCCTAGAGGCAGTCATGTCTTCAGAGAGCTTACTTGAAAACCAAGGAACATTGCAATATAAGGATTTTCAGTGACTAGCAATAAGATAACATTTCTGGTGAGCTTATTTTCCTTGTTTCCTTTTAAATGTATGCTTTATGTGAAGGAACTTCGGTATTTGTAACGCTAGTCCTGCTTACCTTAGCAGACAAATCCATGGAAACGTGCGGATGCTTATCTTCCTTCCCAAAGGGTCCGAAGTGCTTCCCTGGTTAAAGACCCCTGAAGGGGGATGTTTTTCTCCCACTGAATCCCCAAGACCAGCAGGGAGAGTGGTAGACTCTGTTCCTTGCAGGACAGCACAGTTCTGGCCTGCCCCTGACCTTAATCCCAGGGAGAAAGCAACTTGTGGAAACCGAAGCAGGCAGAGTAAAATCCCTTCTGTCCCCCTCAAAATATTTTTTCCAGAACTAATGAAATTTAAGGCCAGGTAGGGTGGCTTATGCTTGTAATTCCAGCATTTTGGGAGGCTGAGGCAGGAGGATCCCTTGAGGCAAGGAATTTAAGACCAGCCTGGAGAGCATAGCAAAACCTACAAAAAAATACAAAAATTAGCCAGATGTGGTGGCATGTGCTTGTAGTCCCAGCTACTCAGAAGACTGAGGTGGGAGGATTGCTTGAGCCCAGGAATTTGAAGCTGTAGTGAGCTATGATCACACCACTGCACTCCAGCCTGGGCAACAGACAGAGTGAGACCCTGTCTCTGAAAAAAATATAATAAAATAAAATAAAAATAATTTAAAATAGCCTTGCAATTGACAGCAATAGACATTTAATGGCCAGGAAGTCTTAATACTTACTTTCTCATTATGGATATGAGGTGAAATACATTTGCATAACAAAGAGTACCTGTTAATTTTGCCAGGTGCCTGGCTTTAAAGACAAGAAAGAAAAATCCTATATCCTGTGACCTCCATGAGTTTCCTTTAAGTCTGGATCCAGGCTATGTGGGGCCTGATACAATCCTAGGGGCCCTCCTTAAGAAAAAGAATGCAGAATTAGGACCATCAACTTAGGTATAAAAATGTTTATCCATTTAGAATGAGAAAAGAGATCACAACACATTAGGAAATTGTTAAAAGCCAAGAGATGCCTAAAACTTACAAAATCTAGAATGTAATGCTTTTGTGTTAATACTTTCCCTACTTTTTTACACTTTGTGATTATCCCTTCATACAATAATTCTGTGATATCTTCTATCAAGAGACTAGAAAGATAAATCAGCATTTTCTTCAACATAGTTGACCAAATTTACCTTTTTATTTTTCATAGTTCAGAAAAATTTATTTTGGCTTTACAACTCATTATTTATAGTGAGATGCCCATCTTTAGGACTGTGGTCAAATATGGAAAAAACTTCTAAGTGTTTTCTGCATGTGAACTAAGACTTAAGGGTATTTCAGGTTTTCTCATGAGGTGATTAACCTTAAAAATACACTTTGAAAGGACAGCAGCCACTAACCACTTGTTGTCAATGTCCTTGTTTCTTTATACTGAGTGACTTGGCCTATAGGACACTGGGAGTATCCCTAAATGCCACCACTTAACTAGACTGTGAAGTGACTGAATGACACAGAGGCATACCCACTGAACCCAACATTCCCAATTCAACTTCCCATTAGGTATTCCCTAAAGATTCCCATAGCTATTACAAAGCCACCTAATACAAGGGGATGATGACAGAGGGGAAGTTGGCATGAAAAGAGACAGCAATCTTAACTGATTGCAGTGAAATAATGTTTCTAGTTGGCCATGGTGGTGCACACCTGTGGTCCCAGCTACTCGTGAAGCTGAGGCAGGAGGATTACTTGAGCCCAGGAGTCGGAGGCTGCAGTGAGCTATGATCACACCAATGCACTCTACCCTGAACAATAGAGTGAGATCCTGTCTCCGAGAGAGAGAGACAGAGAGAGAACTTTTCAGGTCCTTGAATGGGGATTATGTAAAGGAGGGACCCTGAAATTTACAACCTAAGCTTTCTTAGTTTGTGATAAATCTGCCTCTGGTTTTATCGACATTATCATCATCATTATTATTATTACTCCTGCAACATGGGGGCTTTCTGGGGATTCCAACAAGATAATGCGTACAGACGTGGAACATAACAGGCTGTCAATTGATTGTATTTATCATCATCATCATCATCACTGTACTTGGCTCTCAACAAGAGGTAAGGAAGGAAAGAGTGTCATGGCCAAGAGGCTTTCTGGAGGAGATGACCCTCCTGCTGGGTCTCAGAGGCTCTCCTTTTACTTTTAACACCTGTAGTACTCAATTCTTTTCAGGTAAGGGCTTGCAGTAACCAATTTCCAGGACACAACAATCTAGACAGAGCAGAGGATATTCAATGGGTTCATATTTGCTGCCATTTTTTTAGTCTGGACTAAAGTAAGAGCGTTTGATTATTCAAATTATTTTAAAATTGATTTTATCATCTTATTGAAACTTTAGGATTAGCAGAGTTTTAAAAAGGAAGGAAAGAAAGAATGACAAAGAACCTCAAATCTCTGTTTGTTCGAGATGGTTTAGTTTTGAAAGATGTTGGTAAGTTGATCTACCTGTATCAAATTATTCTATAGAGAAAAGCTTTATGGAGAGACACACAGGCTGGATCTTTCCTCTCCAGAACCAGCTAAAAATACTTCTTTTCCTTATCTCATGGGAATCTGACCCATCTCAGCCATTGAATTGGTACCAGCAAGTGGTACCAATGGGGGAAAGCCATGCTTCTGTCTTCCCATGGAAAATTACATTTGGTGGAACAGGTGGGGCAAAGAGTAGGTTCCTGCAGGAGGTGGCACACAAGGCTTCCAGGAAGGTAGGCACCCTGCCAACCACCTCCTTCAGCAAGCAGAGACACTCTGCCCCCACCCAGACCCCGCCAAGCACAGCCACAGAGGCAATGCCTGCCTTGGCGTGGATGGAGTACTCTGCCATGAGCCCTGTGCATGGCGATGGTGGCAAGTTTCCTGAGTCCCCAAGTCAACAAATCCACCCATCTCCCCAGGCCTGAAACTACTCCTGTAGTCAGCCCCTCGGGTTAAGGATGGACAGCCCCCCATACTACTAAGATACAAATGTGTAAAGCCCTCCTCCAGCCAGGCACTAGCACTAGAGCTGAGAGTGAACTACCGGATGGCCCAGCTGGACAGCATGGCCATGAAAGGAAGGGCTGCTCCAGCACCATGTTTGGGGCTCCCCACAGCACTTTGCAGGTCTAGGCTGCCACTGTGATTCTCTAGACCTCTCCTTCCTGGAGCAACCACAGCCACCATCAAGCTCACACACTTTCCTTCCATTCCATTGTCCAAATCCCACCTCTCTGCCCATCTACGGCTCCCAGGGAGCATTTCCAGACCCCACCCATAATGGTCACTCTTTCCTCTGACCTCTCATAGCTTTTCATTTATTTTAAGAAGTAAATTACTTTTTACATTGACTCATAGTTAGGCATGTCTTTATTTCCATTCTACTGGTTGCTGTGTTTCCACCATGCTTATAAATGTTTGCTGAATAAATGAACAGATGACAGTCTGGAATCAGAGAAGAAGGTCCAAGCATAGATCTGTGGAGAGCATGCCTGAGGAGGCCCAGGAAGGGTGCTGAGGAGCTTGGAGGGTGTCTCAGGATGCTGCATGTTCTGGGGGTACCAAAGGCCTTAGCAGGGAAAAGGAGGGGTTTCATAAGCAAATCCTGACATCCGATAATGCCTGGGGGCCCCTGGTAGGCAGTCAGGACCTTTTGGGTTGCAAGAGACAAGAGTCAGTTCAAACCGGCTTCAGCAAGAAGGGTATTCTTGGCTTTCTTGGATGGGAAGGATACTGAAATGGCTCACAGAATGAAATGAAGTGTTCCAGGAACCAAACCCAGGATAGGAAGTGAAACCCACTAAGGATCCAGGAGATGTCTCTCCTCTCCTCTCTTCCCTCTCCCTTTTTCCTTCTCCTCTGTCCCCTCCCCCATCCTTTTTCCCCTCTCCCCTCATCTCTCTCCCTCTCTTCCTTCTCTTTCTCTCTCTCCATCTCATTTTCACTGTCTCTATTTTAATAGCACTCTCTTTTACATCAGAAAAGTTCTCTCCACATGCCAGAGAAAATAGCTCCTAGCAACTCCAGATATAAACCCTTAATGATTTAAAACTAAGAAAAACTAGCTTTCCACCTCCAATCAGAAGATTCCATGGGAGGCCCCCAACTGGCCTGGATTCTGTGCATCCACCCCTTGGACGAGTCACTGTGTCCAGGGATGTGACACCATTCTTGGCCCAACTGTGTGAAGGAGGCCAGGCACCATGATTGACAGCTCCACTAGGGCCACACGGAGGCATAAAACAAGAATGTCAGAGACTCGCTACACTAGCAGACAAGGGCTCTGGGATGGGCTCTTGGAAGGGATGATGGGGAGGACTTAGAAATAACTTCAGGCCGGGGTGATGATATCAAGACCAGGGATGTTTTTCCAGGCAGCAAAAGAGAGCCCCTCTGAAACTTTGGACTCTTGTCTCCTAGGGACACCCTATTTAAAAAGATCTCAACCCAGCAGCTCCTTTGAACTCTACCTCTGGCCTGAGAGTTGAACCTCAAATGGCAACTCCAATTGTTTGGGTTTTGTTTTTGAGACAGGGTCTCACTCTGTCACCCAGGCTGGAGTGCAGTGGCACAAACATGGCTCACTGCAGCCTTGACCTCCTGGGATCAAGCAATCCTCCTGCCTCAGCCTCCCACATAGCTGGGACCACATGCATGCATCACCACGCCTGGTTAATTTCTTAAAAATGTTTTGTAGAGATGGAGTCTCACTTTGTTGCCCAGGCTGGTCTCAAACTCCTGGGCTCAAGAAATCCTCCCACCTTGACCTCCCAAAATGCTGGGATTACAGATGTGAGCCATCACGCCCAGCCAATAACTCTGCTTCTTGTGACTATCAGCCTTGTGTCAATGGGTCTCTGAGCCTTGCTGGGACACATGAGAACCTCCAACCTTTCTCACCTATAAAGCTGCACTGGATTAGGACTCAAGCACCTGATTTTGAGCCTTGACTCACTTTCTCATTTATAAACTGAATGTGTGGATAATATCTGTACTGCCTTCTCTTAGAAGTTCTTGTGAAAATCACATAATGGAATGTGTGAAAAGCGCACACTGCAAACTGTAAAGTACCATACAAACTTAAGAACTTGCTATTTCAAAGTCGTTCACCTCATCTCACACTTGAGGCTCTATATCACTCTCATTAAACTTTCTTTCATTCACTTCTTCTACCTGAATAAAAATAAAATTATACTTTCTAATTATTTTTTAATTAATTATGGTCCTTTGTAAAAGTGATACACACACATAGTTTTCAAAGGCACTTAGTTCGACAAATACATGATTAAAACAGTAGTCTTCTGGTCATCTATAGAAATCCCAGATATTTAGCCAGGTGTGGTGTTGCACACCCATAGTCCCAGCTACTCTGGGAGGCTGAGGCGGGAGGATCACTTGAGCCTGGACATTGGAGGCTGCAGTGAGGTATCTATGATAGTGTCACTGCACACCAGCCTGGGCAACAGACAAGATCCTGTCACAAAAACAGAAAACCAAAAAACAGATATGCTCATCTCACATCACATTGATGCAAATATCTTAAAATAGCACTCATGCTCATCACTACTTCAAAATTACAGTCATTCTGCCCTTCTTGTTATTTAATGTGCTCATTAAAAAGCACATACATTGCTATATCCCTATTTTGTTTTTTGATATTTTGACAACTATATTTCAATATGATCAGTTTCCTTTGTACTTCTATGCATTTTATGTGCTTTAAAATATTATTCTGTCTTCATTCCTCTCTTCCTCCTTCCCCCCAATTTTCTATAAACCTTAAACTGCTCTAAAAATAAAGTCTATTAATAAAATAATTTTTTCACTTGTTAAAACAGCATTATTTTGAGAAGAGATCCATATGCCTCATCTGATTGTGGGTCCACAGCATAAAAAAATACTTTGAATCCTTGCTTCAGTTCAATGTCAGGTGCTAGACCTCCTGGTTTAATCCTCTCATTGTGAAATCATATTCTGTATTTTTGTGCTTTTGTTCTACTTTCTGCATAATTTCCTCAGTTTGATCTTCTGACCCCATCCATGACTATTTTATTGCTGCTGCATTCCCTTTGATAACATCCCAGTCTTATTCCATAGCTGTTCTATCCTCTCATCTCGCTTAGGGCATCAAGTCTGGGGTGTGATTTATTCCTGTTGATCTCAGACTGTTTACATGTGGAAAAAGTACAACAAGGTGTTTGGGAGTTCTGTATCTAAGTGTAGGGCTTGCTGGCTGGTGGCTTCCCTGTGGGGTTATTGATCCATCACTAGGCATTTCATTCTGGGATCCCCACATGGCAGAATCGGTGGATCTTTCCTCTTGGGGAAGTCCATGCCTTCAGGGAGAAATCTCCTAATTCCCTGCTTGGAGGGAGTGGGGATGTACAAGTCAACATCCTGGGAATCACTTAGCAGGAGAGACTTGGACCTTATCCCTTGTTTTTCATTCAGCTCAGTGCTGTTCACAACTGTTCCTGGCTATTCCCTCAATCTGAATTCTCTCTCATTCAATTATCCAGGGATTAAATCTCCTATTTCCTGCTGGAGCAAGGGAGAAACAGCTGACAGTTGTTTGGACTGGGGAAGGAGATCCCCTGAGACAGATCTTCGACGCATCTGCCTGTGTTCCGCCCGACCCTCTCCCGGCTTTGATCATTGGTTGGTACCTTCAATTCCTGAGCTCTTCCGAGGTTCTTGGATGTGAGCTGGCCTGCTGCCTCTCAGCTTTCCCTTCTGCCAAGACAGCACTCAGCCTTCCACTTTTCACGTTCCCAAGTTCTGCTGATCTTTCTTCTCTGATATCTTTTTCTCTCCATTTTTCTTCGTTCTTGTAAGTTTATACCTTTTCTTTGCCATAGTGTTAGCGGGGTTTTGGGAAGGAGCTGACACTACAGAGCATACTCGGCCTGTCACATTTATCCGCATGTCTTTTAGCCTTCCAGTTTCTCACTTCAGCCCAAAGAATAATAAAAGGCACCATCAGTCTTTTATTGATACTTGTGGGGACTTTTATATCCAACTTGATGTTGGTGCAATGTGATTTGACAGCAAGAAAACAGTGCTCTTGAATCTTGGCTGCCAGCCAGGGGACCCGAAATGTCAGCACCCATCCCTAACAATAAGTAACCTGAAACTACAGGAACTGAACTACAATATGATAAAGAAAGCAGAAGGCCAGGCGCGGTGGCTCACGCCTGTAATCCCAGCACTTTGGGAGGCCAAGGTGGGCAGATCACGAGGTCAAGAGATCGAGACCATCCTGGCCAACATGGTGAAACCCCGTCTCTACTAAAAATACAAAAATTAGCCGGGCGTGGTGGCTGGCACCTGTAATCCCAGCTACTTGGGAGTCTGAGGCAGGATAATCGCTTGAACCTGGGAGGCGGAGGTTGCACACTCCAGCCTGGTGACAGAGAGAGACTCCGTCTCAAAAAAAAAAAAAAAAAAACCAAAAAAAAGAAAGGAGAAGTATCCAACATCCAAAATGGCGATCTTCAGATGAAGTTGGAAATGTCCAGCTCCTCCAGGCAGACGACCAGGCTAAGGGAACAGAGGTATGAGTCTCCTTCTCTGCCACTCAGTCTCCACCCAATGCTGGGATTTAAGAGATGAAAGATGGACTGAATGAAGCAAGGCGAGGGAAACTGAGCCCAGACACAGTTCCTGTTAAGAGAGAAGAAAACAATATTTCTAATTTGCCAGGACTCCAATTGGACAGGATTTCTATAAATAGGCATGATTATATTTTCTGGGGTCTGATGAAAAATCAGAGGCGAGGTTTGAGTTCAAGACTGAAAAATGAAAATGTCCTGGCTATAGCTCCCTACTCTACTGATGAAAAAGTCTAGCACTGGCCAAATCTAATATGAGCCACAGGCCTACCACTACACGATTGGAGCAAAATTCAGCAGAACTGGCCACACTGCTGTGGAGAATAGCCAGGTTAATTACTTGGCCACGCGCTGGTACATCAGGACCATTTTGAGAATGCTTTGCCCTAAAACAGAGAGACCCAAGTGGAAAGAATCACGGGAGATCAGTGAACATCACGGAGAGAGCAGTGACCAGAGGTGGAAATTCCCATAGGGGTGATATGGTTGGGATGTGTGTCCCCTCCAAATCTCATGTTGAAATGTGACCCCCAGTCTTGGAGGTGAGGCCTAGTGGGAG